>NC_000016.10:25456182-25759213 GCF_000001405.40 Homo sapiens
AACAGGGTGAAACCCCATCTCTACCAAAAATACAAAAATTAGCCAGGCATGATGGTGGGCACCGGTAATCCCAGCTACTCAAGAGGCTGAGGCAGGAGAATTCCTTGAACCTGGGAGGAGGAGGTTGCAATGAGCTGAGATCATGCCGATGCACTTCAGCCTGAATGACAAGAGTGAAACTCCGTCGCAAAAAAAAAAAAAAAAAAAAAAAAAAAATCAGAATGTGGGCTGGGCACAGTAGCTCATGCCCATAATCCCAGCACTCTGGGAAGCCTTGGTGGGTGGATCACCTGAGGTCAGGCATTCAAAACCAGCCTTGCTAACATGGTGAAACCTGGTCTTTACTAAAAATACAAAAATTAGCCAGGCGTGGTGGTGGGCGGGCTCCTGTAATCCCAGCTACTCAGGAGGCTGAGGCAGAAGGATGGCTTGAACCCAGGAGGTGAGGATGCAGTGAGCTGAGATCATGCCACTGCACTCCAGCCTGGGTGACAGAGTGAGACTTTATATTAAAAAAAAATCAGAATGTATTATTGGGCTGGTTCGTGGCTGGCAATAATCATCAAGAAACGAGTAGGGACTCTTTCCCTCTATGTGGGCATATGTTTTTAAATGTAGGTTTTGATTATTATTATTCACATATGGTAAGGCCAACAGATTGGGGATGATTGCTATTGAAAATGCAGTTTGTGGCTGGGTGGGGTTTGTGCCTGAAGTCACAGCTACTTGGAGGCTGAGGCTGGAGGATCGCTTGAGCCCAGAGGTACTAGGGTTGGGCAGGAGGTAGAAAGAGTGAGGGAAAATTTAGGCAAGAATCTTTATTGAGGTTTCCTTGGTCAAACGTGAGGCAGGGCAGGGTGAGCAGGTTTAGAATTGGCTAGTGGGAATACTTTCAATGGGCTTTGGGGTGTAGGGGTTGTCCCTAGTTGTCTAGTGCTTGACTCTGGGGTGATCAGGGCAGGGAATAGTGGCCCAGAGTGAAAGGATCTGGTGTTCGGGGGTACAACGGAGATGTCTGGGGGTATCCACTCTGGATTGGTTAATTTGCATATAAAAGGAGCTCACAGGTGAGTCATTTACTATCTCTAGGAATTGACAGTACCTGGGAGAGACAGTCTTTCCAGGGTCAGCAAGACCTGAGCTGTCAAAGCATCAGAAACACAGAAAATAAAAAGGTATGATTAATAAAGCATGTGGGCCAGGCACAGTGGCTCACGCCTGTAATCCCAGCATTTTGGGAGGCCAAGGCAGGCGGATCACGAGGTCGGGAGATCAAGATCATCTTGGCTAATACGGTGAAACCCTGTCTCTACTAAAAATACAAAAAAAATTAGCCGGGCGTGGTGGCATGCACCTGTAATCCCAGCTACTAGGGAGGCTGAGGCAGGAGAATCACTTGAACCTGGAAGGTGGAGGTTGCAGTGAGCCGAGATCACACGACTGCACTCCAGCCTGGGTGACAGAGCAAGACTCTGTCTCAAAATGAAAGAAAAAGAAAGGAAGGAAGGAAGGAAGGAAGGAAGGAAGGAAGGAAGGAAGGAAGGAAGGAAGCAGGCAGGCAGGCAGGCAAGCAAGCAACAAGCATATGGCCTATAGTTTACTCTACTCCTCACTCAGCCAAATTCCTTCATTTATGTGACAAGCATTTGAATTTGGGACTTCTGGCTTGGCATCAATTTCCCACTGGTATGGTGATGAGGAATATTTTTTGACCTAGAAAACAACTATCTGTTTTCAGGTACACACTGTGAATAGCAGAGAATGTAAAAGCATGGGGAGTTAGTTGTCCTATGTAAGAAGTTAACACTGCAGAGCGGGAAGCAGCCACACTAGCTGCCAGTGCTCCCTGCTCATGGCTGATGGATTTGGGCTGACAGAGGAGAATGTTGTCTCTATAACCTCTGACTAGCAAATGATCCAGCCAACAAGGCAGAATTTTCCGGCTGGCTGATCGATAGGGTTCAAATCCCTTTGGACAATAATTGTCCTTGGTCAATGCTGTCTAAAGCATTGCTCGGACCTTTTGTTTTTACATTTCTAGATTGAGACCAGCACTCAGGTTCATCTCCCCCAATACTGGAGCCTTTGGAGACTGGACAAGGAGTCAGCATTTGGAGACTTTGTTCACCGGCACAATAGGCCAAAGTGTCATCCCATCTCATAAAGCCTCCCTGCCCTTGAGACAGAAATTTTTGTAGTGATTGCCTTAGATTCCGAATAACATAAAAGAAACAGTCTTTTGCTCCTTGATTCTTATCCAGTGTAATATAGTGGGAATAGTCACGTTGTTCAGTTATCCACACAGGGTCCTGCGTCAGAAGGACCCAGGTTCAAATCCCAATTTTTGCCACTCTCATTGTGCGATGTTGTGGGATTTACCTAGTGCTTTTTAGTCTGTTCTTTATCTATAAAAACTGAGGTAGTAATATTTGTACAGGTTGTTGTGAGGGCTAAATAAGTCAACTCAAGTAAAGTGCATAGAATCATGCCTGGAACAAAGGAAATGCTCATATAGATTGGCCATGAATTTACTATTCATCAAACACACAATGCCAGTCATGGTGCTGGTGTTACAAAGATGATAAAACATAGTCTCTGTTCTAAGAAAAAAGCAACCCAGTGCAATCAATACTATAATGAGGAAAGGTACAGAGTTTTCACGAGGAAGGAATGACAGACTGTTCTTGGGGAAGGAGTGGAGTATATCTGGGGAGGCATTAAAGAGCTGGGCTAGGTGCGGGGTAGGGCAAAGGAGGTGCTGAGGGGCACAAAATTAGCACTTCGGACACCTCACTTGCCTCATCTTAGTCCTTGCCCTATTAAAAAGAAGGAGCTATTGGAAATAGATCTTGAAGATAAGAAGGGAATGTCCAGATGCATATCCCAACAAAGGGGAAGGCATCTATAAAAATAAAAGGCAAACAATAGAATAAGGCATATTAAGGTTGTTCATGATGAATGAAACATACTGTGGCCACAAGAAAGAGTGAGAAATGAGGCTACTAAGGTAGGTAGGGGTCAGATCATGAAGAACATTTATAGGCATGCAAAAGAACTTGACATTTATGCTTGGCCATGGAGACAGCCATACACTTGATAAGAAACATTCCAGGACCCGGGCACGGTGGCTCACACCTGTAATCCCAGCACTTTGGGAGGCCAAGGTGGGCAGATCACTTGAGGTCAGGAGTTCCAGACCAGCCTGGCCAACATGGTGAAACCCTATCTTTACTAAAATACAAATATTAGCTGGGTGTGATGGGGGGCACCTGTAGTCCTAGCTACTTAGGAGGCTGAGGCAGGAGAATAGCTTGAACCCAGGAGATGGAGGTTGCAGTGAGCTGAGATTGTGCCACTGCACTCCAGCCTGGGTGACAGAGCACGACTCCATCTCAATAAAATAAAACGAAATAAAATAAAATAAAATAAAATGAAACATTTCAGGAGTTGTATGTTTATTGCAGCACTATTCATAATAGCAAAGACATGGAATCAACCTAAGTGTCCATCAGTGGTTGATTGGATAAAGAAAATGTGTTATATACCACATTATACACCATTGAATACTACAGAGCTATAGAAAAGAATAAAATTATGCCCTTTGCAGAAACATGGTTGGAGCTAGAGGCCATTATCCTAAGTGAAATAACTCAGAGACAGAAAATCAAATACCACTTGTTCTCACTTACAAGGGGAAGTTAAACAATGAGTACACATGGACACAAAGATGGAAATAATAGACACTAGGAACTCCAAGAGGGAGGAGGGAGGAGAGACAGGGTTGAAAAACTACTCATGGGGTACCATGTTAACTATTTGGTTGATTGGTTTTCTGAAAGCCCAAACCTAACCATTTTGCAATATACTCATGTAACAGACCTGCACATGGACCCCTGAATCTAAAATTTAAAAAAGGAAATGAAACATGCTGGACCTCAACAAACACAAATATAAAATTTTCAGAGACAATTAGTCGGGTGTGGTGGCTCACACCTGTAATGCCAGCACTTTGGAAGGCCAAGGTGGGAGGATCACGAGGTCAAGAGATAGAGACCATCCTGGCCAGCATGGTGAAACCCTGTCTCTACTAAACATACAAAAATTAGATGGGTGTGGTGGTGCTCGCCTATAGTCTCAGCTACTCGGGAGGCTGAGGCAGGAGAATTGCTTGAACCTGGGAGGTGGAGGTTGTGGTGAGCTGAGACAGCACCACAGCACTCCAGCCTGGGCAACAGAGCTAGACTCTGTCTCCAAAAAAAAAAAATTTTTTTTTCAGAGAGGCATACAAGTAGTCTTGAACAAATGGAGAAACACAGAGCTGACTTTGAATTCCTCAGATCATCTAGACGTAGTATAAACTCTGTGAACTATATGGCCATCAAACTATTCTTTTGTTTTGTTTTGTTTTGTTTTGACACAGATTCTTGCTCTGTTGCCCAGGCTGAAGTGCAGTGGTGTAATCTGGGCTCACTGCAACTTCTGCCTCTGCCTCCCGAATAGCTGGGATTACAGAAGTTTGCCACCACGCCCTGCTAATTTTTGTATTTTTAGTAGAGATGGGATTTCACCATGTTGGCCATGCTGGTCTCGAATTACTGACCTCAAGTGATGCACCTGCCTCAGCCTCCCAAAGTGCTGGGATTACAGGTGGGAGCCACTGCGCCTGGCCCAAACTATTCTTTTTCTGTTTTTCTGAGACAGGGTCTCACTCTGTCACCCAGGCTGGAGTGCAGTGGTGTGATCATAGCTCACTGCAACCTCAACCTCCCTGGGCTCAGGTGATCCTCCCACCTTAGCTTTCTGAGTAGCTGGGACCACAGGTAAGAGCCACCGTGCCCGGCTAATAATTGTATTTTTTGTAGAGATGGGGCTTCGCCATATTGCCCAGGCTGGTCTCAAACTCCAGGGCTCAAGCGACCTGTCCGCCTTGACCTCCTAAAATGTTGAGATTACGGGCATGAGCCACCACAGCTGGCCCAAATTATTCTTAATGTCAGACTCAATATCATCCAAGGACTCTCAACTCGGCCTAACCTGGTCAAATCCTGGATAGTGTCAAGCAGTAAAAAGTTATATCTCCATTTCATCAGTGTGATTTCTGAACTTGCCTACAGTAGCAATGAATACAATGAAATTCTAGAGTAGTGAAGGGGCAATGACAAAAATAGGGACCCTCTTGCCTTGGTCCTTCCTCCATGAGTCTGGAGATACATATGTCCAAGACTTTTTATGAGATCATATATTGTGATGGGAGTCTACTACTGAGGGGTCTTGGACATGTCATCAGGGAGATAAAGAAATAGAATATTTCTTGCTTCATATATTGTAGAGAAATTCTTACCTGCCACCTGCGAAAAAATCAAGAATCTTAAAACAAAACAAAAGAAAACAAAACAAAACAAATAGGCCTTATAATTTACAATCACTGCTTCTGGTGAAAGCAACTGCATCAGTCAATTATTTGCAGCAATATTTTGTATAACAAACTATCCCTAAAGCAGAAGCTTAAAATATCCAGCATTTATTTCATGCTTATGGGTCTATGGCGTGGCTGCAATTTGTTCAAGTTAGGGCTCCATGCTTTGAGCAGCAGGATGGAGTTTGGGTTCAGGCTTTCTCCAAGTGTCCTCATCCTCTTTGGAGTAGCCAGTTCCTCGGGCGTCTCTTCTTGTGGTAGGTCATGTTGCAGGAAGAGGATACATGGAAATACATGGTGCCTCTTCAGGCCTTGGCTTGGAACTAGCACACATAATTTGTGGGGTAAAATAAACAAATGGCCAAGCCTGAAGTCTATTCTGCCTCAGAAGGATATGTTGGACAATAATCCAATTTATCACAGTGACATAACAGGATGATTGGGTTTGTTCACGATTCAAATAATAAAACCTCGTTAGTCACATCTTCTTTGGGAAGTCATTTCTAAGAATGGTATCAATCTACCTTCTAGGCTTATTTTTGAAACTCCAGCAGGTGTAGAAGTGCTCTTTAAAAGCCAAAGCACCTGAAATTTACTCTTCATAATTGTTACAATAGCGATGATAAAAACAAATTTGTCTGTGAACCTCAACCTGAGCATCCTACTTGGACATTAATTTTCTGCAGGATGGCTCCAGGGATAGTCTAATGCTGCCGCTGTTGATACGCAGAGTGCAGATCTCACAGCTGATGCTGACTCGAGTTGTAGGATGGCAGAAAGAAGATGACGGGATTGGGGCACATGCTCTAAAAATGTACACTGAATCTCTTTCAGCATTTAACATTTATCTATTTCTGGTTTTTAACCTGCCCTCCATTGCAATTGAGAAACTCTGTAACTCTCTATTTTTTTCCTAGAAAGCCCACTTGTTAGTCCAAAATGAGCATTGCAGGCCAAATATCTTCCAATGAGCTCAAACCCTGCAGACAGCTCTCAACGTTATGACTGACAGGTGTACTCTACTGTTTTGCCTGTGTCATCTGCACAGTGGGTAGGGACCAATTACCTACAAATATACAGGAGTGAGTCTGGGGTTGGAAATCAGGACGCCTGGCTTCTAGGGCTGGCTTTGTCACTTTTCCTTCTGGTTCCTCATCTGTAAAAATGGAGATAATAATAACTGCCCTACTTTCTCACATGGTGGCTGTGAAGACAAAAATGAGAAAAGCATGTTGCAAAATAAGAAACACTATTCAAATGCAAGACAGTTTTAGATTCTTCGATTCCTCTCTAAATTAATGATAGCTCGTCACATTTGTACAATGCTTCTCAATTTTCAAATCACTTCTACTTGTGTTATCTCATTTGGTCTGCCCTACCATGCTCAGTTTTTCAGGGTAGGACACGGAGGATTGAAGAGGTCATATGGCTTGCCTAGGGTCATCCAGTAAGTAGCAGAGTTGGGAGAATAGCCTGTTTTCCCAATGCTAATTCTGCACTTTTTACATTGGAATCCTCTGTTTCAGCTTCTCTGTCAAAGCCAGCCCTGGAAGCTCATCTGGAAAGTGTTTGTGAGGCGGAATGTGCACACAGGGTTATTGAGAGTAACTGTGGAGTCTGTCCAGTACTGGGAAATACTGATGGGCTTTGTGGTCAAGCTTCTGGGTCACCTGCGGGGCTCTCCCCAATCTCGTTCCGCTGGTGTCTCCTTAGGATGGTAAAAAGCTGGGCACCAGGTCAGATATCCAAGAGGGATTTCTTGAATTCTTTACAGTGATGGGACAAAATCTCCTGGGACATAGAGCTATACACTTACTTAAAATGAAAAGCAACTCGGAGATCTTTCTAGCTCAAACTGCACGTGCTACAGATAGAAAATAAAGGGTTGCAGAAGAATAGAAACTTTCTCATGAGTAAAGAATGGGTTTTGGGGCCTGGCGTGGTGGCTCACGCCTGTAATCCCAGCACTTTGGGAGGCCGAGGCTGGCAGATCATGAGGTCAGGAGATCAAGACCATCCAGGCTGACACTGTGAAACCCCGTCTCTACTAAAAATACAAAAAATTAGCTGGACGTGGTGGTGGGCGCCTGTAGTCCCAGTTACTCGCGCCACTGCACTCCAGCCTGGGCTACAGAGCAAGACTCCATCAAAAAAAAAAGAATGAGTTTTCACAGATCTGGGGATTTATTCTCAGCTCTTCCACTTACTGGTTGAGGAGCCAGGATGATTGGGAGGATACCATGAGATAAATGTATTTAAAGTATTATTTAAAGTATTGAGAATATAGTGGGCACTGCAGCTATAGTAAAGTCTGAGTTAGTGAATGTGCTTGGCTGCAGACAACTGAACTAATTCACCTGAGGTTCTTTGAGCAGAAAAGGGATCTTTTAAATAGGATATCAGATAGCTCCTTCATGGAGCCTTCAAGGGTGCTGAGTCAAACTTCGAAACAGCCAGGAACAAAGTCTCTACCTGGTGAGACTGCTCCAGTGAAAAACCTAATGCTGTCACTGCTCAGTGCAGATGCTAACAGCCTCTCCCATCTCCAATGCATCCCTAAATATTCTCATCAGAAAATGACTTCCATGTGGTATCTGCTCCCCAGGTTGCTGTCATTCAAACTGAAATCTCAGGAGAGCCTGTATGATTGGCAGAGCCTAGGTCACATGTCTGTGCCATAGTTGCAACGGAGGCTGGGAAAGTTAGTTCTGGGCTTCTGGATTGGGAAGGAAATGTTTATAATGCGGAAAATTCCCTGAACTTAGGAAGGATTTTCAAAAGATGGTAGAGTGTTTAAGACATAATCACTGAAGTTTCCTGTGTTTGTTTCTTTTATTCCTTGACCCTTTATGTGCACAGAGATTGTAGCAGACTCAGGCTCCAGAATTCCAAACCATTTCCTTTTATTACACTGTTTCCTCCATCCTGGCTTCTGAACTGGCCCAGGTCCTCTCATTTAAGGCACGTAGCACTTTGTATCTTTCCTGGGTACAACCCCACATTCATTGCTAGCCCAACATTACATTGCAAGCGTTTTTCCATGCCATTAATTTTTATTTTACAAGATGATTTTTATTAGCTAATAGTATTCCATAGTGTGAGGCATCAAAATTTATTTAACCAATTGCAAATTGTACATTAAAAAGTAGGAATTTTTGCCAATTTTTTTGATATTACAAATGATTTACCAGTAAATATTCTTACACAATAATCTCTGTGCATACTTCTGATTATTTCTTTAGTTTAGTTTTCTAGAAATAGAAGTCAAATGGTCTTTAGATGTTCTTGATAGATATTGCCAAGTTGGGATCTAGAAATGTGATATAAGCTTTTATATTCTCAATTGCTGTGGCAACCCACATTTGATCATATCCTTGCAAACACTAGATGTTATCATTCTTTAATTTTTATGATTTTATAGATGAAAAATGTTTCTCATTAGTATTTTGGTGATTTTTTGACCAGTAGTGATATTACATATTTATTTTTATGTAGTCAAATTTGTTAATTTTTTCCTTGTTTTCTTAAAAATATAATTATGCTTAGAAAGATCTCTTTCCCAAGGTCTGATGACTTTTCTTATGTATACATATTTACATTTTCGTATATGTTTACAAAACATGTAACTCTTTCATCTATCAGGAATTTAAAAAAACATTCATATGGGACTATCAAGTATTTTTCCTACTGGTTTTCTCAGGACCATTTCTGTGATATAGCAATCTTTATACGTCTCTCGTTCATTCTCCATGGCAGTTATTCCAGACTATTTCTAATCTATTTAATTCTTCCTCATCACTTTGAAGCTGACGTTCTTGCCTCCCAATTTGCAGAGAAAATAGGAGCCATCAAGCAAGAAATTTCCTGACTTCCTGCCATAAAAGGATACAAAAGATTCTATATCCTTTTTCAAACTTTTTTCCTTTCCCTCTTTTGTCACATGGTTAATTTCTTGATCTGTACTTTAAATCTCATTTCCTACCACCTCCTTCCACCAGGAACATCCCACTCTTTCCTTGAACTTCTTTATTGGTTTTTTCTCAAGTTCATTTCAGTGTACTCAAGTCATTCCCATTTCACACAGTCTCTGAAGCCATCTGATCCAAGCTAGTAATTTCAGCCAAGACATCTGTTGCAAGCCAAATTGTGTCCTCTGTTTCCAACCAATTCATAATGTTGAAGTCTTAACCCCAGTACCTCAGAATGTGAGTTGATGCAGAGATAAGGTCATTGAAGAGGTAATGAAGTTAAGATGAGGTATTCAGGGTGGGCCCCAATCCAATACGATTTATGTCCCTATAAAAAGAGGAAATTTGGACACAGACACACACAGGGGGGAAGACCACATGAATACAAAGGGAGAAGAAGGCCATCTACAAGCCACAGAGAGTGGCCTCAGAAGAAACCAACCCTGCCAACACTTTGATCTCTGGCTTCTAGTCTCCAAAACAGTGAGCAAATAAATTTCTGATCCTTAAGCCACTCTGTCTGTAGTACATTGCCATGGCATCCTTAGCAACTAGTCACGCCTAATCTCCCCTTTTCCAAAATAGTATGCCATAATATATTTGGATGTGCTATTGAAATGTTCATTTTTTAAAAATGAAAAACCCTATTCATATTGGAAACCAGAAAATGAGGACATGCATAGGTTAAAAAACTTTGAAGAATTTCAGTAAGTTAAATTGCAATGGGACAAACCTAGTGAAGTATCATGAAGCCTATGATATAAAGCCTTTGGGGGTGGGGCATAGCAGCAAGGAAAGAGTTGATCCTGAATTCCAATCGCATTGTTGGCCTCTGTAGCAGAAGCAAAGCTTAGAGGAAGATTTGAGTGTTGGGAGTTTAAAGGATGCAAAAGATTCAAAGCTCTTCTCTGCTCACCCTACTCCCTTTCTCTCCAGTTCTATTTCCATTCCTTCTCAGGGAAGTTAGTTAGATTTCAGAAAATGGATTTGGATGTGCTTTATAGCACATGGAGTCTTGGGAAATGAAAATTCTTTCCTTAGGCTATAGTGGATTGGACATTCTGTGCAGAGGTAGCATCAGATATGCAGGGAGAGAAAGAGAGCCCCTTACGGCCCCAGCCTTCTAAGCCATATGGTTCGGCTCGTTTTACCCAACTTCTGCATTGAGATTTAGGAGCAAAGCCAGATCAAACAATGGATTGCCATTTTCCTTGAATTTTCTGTTCATTTTTCTGTGCATACATATTCCTTTAGGTCGTAATGGGGAAAAGTGATGGTTTATGGGCAGAATTAGGTGGTCTGGCCATGATAGCATCTTAAAAAAACAAACCTCTTTATTGTAAACTTTTCCCCAAATACATACAAAAAATTTATAAAAGTCCCACGTACCTATTACATAGTTTCCACAATGAATAACTAATAGCCAATCTTGTTTCATCTATATTCAAATGAATTTTAGAGATTGCTTTTTTTTTAAAAAAAAAAATACACAGTTTCAAAGTCAAATATACAGATCATCATATATTTGGAGAGGTCTGTTTTCTACTCCTGTCTCCTCCATTCTCTTCTCACTGTTTAAACAATGAGTTTTGGTTTATACTTACACACACACACACTCGCACACACGCACGTGTGCACGCACACACGCGCGAACACACACACACACACAGATGCAGTTTCTTGTTTTTGCTTTGCTTAACAATATATCCTAGAGATGATTACATAGCAGTATGTATAGATATTTCATATTTTTTCCAGAGCTTCATAGCATCTCGTTGTGTGTTGATACATCATTGTTACGGAACCCAGCCCCCTACTGTTGGGCACTTGGGTTTTTTCCAGTCTTTTTCTATGACAAATCATGCTGCAATGAATAGCTTTGTGTTATGTGCTTTTCATGCTTTTGTCTGTGTATATTTGAAATAGATTCCTAGAAATGGGATTGCTGAGTCAAACAATAAATTCACATACAATTTTGACTCTTATATTTCTTCTTATTTAGACTTCACTTCTGAGATGATTTTTTAAAAATGTTAAACTCTTGTTATATTCTGATCTAAGTCTATCAGCTTTCTGCTAAAATCTTCCTTTAGTCCAATCATCTCATTTCTATATTTTTTCCAATTATAATTTATATTGTTCTTTCACGGTTTCAGTCTATTTTGGTTTGGCTCTGTGAAAAAAGGGCCCTGTTATTATTATATTTTTATTGCGTCTTCTCTTCCATTCTTCAGTTCTCTTCCCCAGAACTCTTTTTTAAAAAAAAAAAAAACAAAACCAAAAACAAACCCAAACCAGCACACTTTTCCATTTAAAGCTAAAATTACCATTCTACCTCCCTTCCAACCCTCCTGAAAATTTCCCCACAAACTATCTTTGCTATATCAGACATCATTTGATGGTAGTGCTAATCAGCATAAATCTATTTTAACAGAGTAAGGAAATAGATTGAATAATAGGAATATGAAAAGATATTTGGTAAGAGATTTTTGTAATGGGTATATGTACTTGAGAATAATTAGTATATACTATTTTGTCATTAAAAATAAAAGTTTGAATCAATAGAGTTAGAGGGACAGAACTTGCTGGCAAAAAGAACATGCCACAATCAGCATGCTACTGGAATTTGGATGCAAACATGGCAAAGAGGAAGACACGGTGTACTTTTTGTTTGTTTCTTTGAGATGGTCTCTCACTCTGTTACCCAGGCTGGAGTGCAGTGGCAAGATCTCTGCTCACTGCAACCTCCGCCTCCCAGGTTCAGGTGGCCTCCTGCCTCAGCCTCCCAAGTAGCTGGGATTACAGGTGCCTCCCACAACCCCCGGCTAATTTTTGTATTTTTAGTACAGACAGGGTTTCACCATGTTGGCCAGGCTTTTCTCAAACTCCTGACCTCAAGTGATCCACCCGCCTCGGCCTTCCAAAATGCTGGGATTACAGGCATGAGTCAACACACCCGGCCAAGACATGGTATACTTTTAAATTTGTGGTGACCACAAAAGGGAAAGAAGACTGCTCTCCAGCCTGGGCAACAGAGAGAGAGTCTGTCTTAAAAAAAAAACAAAACACAGCAAACTGAAGCAATTAGATAACATTAAGTGTAAAATGGCATGATATAGAATTTTACAGATGAGGATCTGAGGGATGTTTGCACACAGCCTGATAGGTTAAAACATATGGGGAAGGCTTAAATATAAATGAAATAGCATGCAGGGACCCCATCTTCCTGGGTATGGCACCTGCTTTCTGTTTCTTCTGCTGGATTGGAGATGTAAATATTTTTAGAAAACTACCAACACCGGAAGAAAATAATATAATCTTGAAATGTAGGAGGAATTTCTAATCCCTACTTGAAAGACCAACACCAAAAGAAAAAAAACAAAACTTGTGCAGATCTAGCTACATAACAATCAGAAATTTGGTATTTAAAAAATCACATAAGCAAAATCGAAAAAACAGTAATTTGGGAAAATATTTGCATCATACATGAAAAATAGTTAAGTTCCTCAATATATAGAAAGCATCCTCAAAACTACAAGAAAAATACAAAGACTTCAACAGAAAAATGAGCATAAGACATGCATAAACAATTGCCTTAAAAAAACACTGAGATAATAAACATGAAAAACTGCTCAGTCTTTGCTATAATTAAAAGAAATGCAGGCCGGGCACAGTGGCTCACACCTGTAATCCCAGCGCTTTGGGGGACCAAAGCAGGCAGATCACTTGAGGTCAGGAGTTAGAGACCAGCCTGGCCAATATGGTGAAACCCTATTTCTAGTAAAAACACAAAAATTAGCCAGACGTGGTGGTGCACACATGTAATCCTAGCTACTCAGGAGGCTGAGGCAGGAGAATTGCTTGAACCCTGGAGGCAGAGGTTGCAGTGAGCCGAGATTGCACCACTGCTCTCCAGCCTGGGCGACAGAGCGAGAGTCTGTCTCAAAAAAAAAAAAAAAAAAAAAAAAAAAAACACACACACACACACACAGCAAACTGAAACAATTAGATAACATTAAGTGTAAAATGGCATGATATAGAATTTGCATAATTTACATGTTCTCAAAAATAACAAAACATCCATGATCATATACTGCCTCCCATGTAGGTAGTTGTTATATTTGAGTTGTGGAATTATGTATTATTTTTCTGTTTTTTTCATATATTAACTTTAACTTTTTAGACAACAAACAATTGCTTTTGAAATAGGAAGACCTGTTATTTATGTGTTTACTTATTGTTAGAATAATAATACCCAGTGCTGGCATGGTTGTGTGAAAATGAGTACTCTTATGTCCTCCCAGGAGAAGTATAAATAAGTTTAACATTTCTGGGAAGCAATTTGTTAGGAGAGAAACCTTCAAAATCTACATTCATCTTTCAGCTGACAATTCTGCTTTATTAAATTTATCTTAGAATACATGAAGGGTATATAGAATACTATGCAGCCATAAAAAAGAATGAGTTCATGTCCTTTGTAGGGACATGGATGAAGCTGGAAACCATCATTCTCAGCAAACTAAACACAGGAACAGAAAACCAAACACCACATGTTCTCACTCATAAGTGGGAGTTGAACAATGAGAACACATGGGCACAGGGAGGGGAACATCACACATGGGGGCCTGTTGGCAGATTGCAGGGAAGGGGAGGGAGAGCGTTAGGACATTAGCCCCGCATGCATTAGGGAGAGCATTAGCATTAGCTCCGCATGCATTAGGACAAACACCTAATGCATGCAGGGCTTAAAACCTAGATGACGGGTTGATAGATGTAGGAAACCATCATGGCACATGTATACCTATGTAACAAACCTGCACGTTCTGCATATGTATCCAGAACTTAAGGTAAAATAATAATTATATATGAAGGGTGTAAGACAGAGACAAAAATACTCATTACAATGCTGATATTTGTAGGTAAAAATTATGACAACTAATGTTAAAGAAGACAGGACTCGATATACAGTAATTAACATGCCTCTGCAGTATGTTGTTTGAAGTGCCTCAAAAAAGTAAATTGTGCTCAAATAAATTTGAGAAAACCCATGTTAAACAAAGTCAATTTTTTTTAGTTGTAGGGTTTTCAGACTTTAATAGCTAATGTGCACGATAATGGTTCAAATGGGCAGCATTTTCCTAACTTATTTTACAATGAAACGTATTTTTCTCAATGTGCCTATTAGAATGTTTTATAATAATATTTAGAGATCATCAGTTTTGGAAGCACTGTCATATAGAGTTACTCAAATGCTGTTGTAGAAGAGCATTGTATGACAAGGAAAGGTGTTCACAATATGTATAAAATGATAACACAGATTTCAGAGGAGTATGAACAATGTGGTCCCATTAATGGAAGACTGTGAGTGCATTGAAAAGAAATTGGACAAAAAAAAAACATTGACAGCAAAATATTAAAAGTGGCTATGTCTGGGTAATGGAAAGTGGGTAATTTTTATTTTTTCTCTTTGCTTGTACACATTTAATAAGATCTCACAATGAACATATATTACCACTGAAATAAGGAAAATGATAAAACTTACAAAAATCGTGTAGAAGAATATGTAATATATTGTTCACAATGTGTTCTGTGGGAAAAGGAGATTATAAAACAGTGTGTTCATTATAATTTCTTTTTAAAGATACTTACCTATATGGATAGCTGTTCAGAGAAAAAGGAAATGTACCAAGATACTAACACTTATAATTTTGGGGTTATATCTGGGATTACAGATAATTTTATGTGCTCTTGGTCAGAAGAATATATTGAATTGTTTCTAAAATGAATGTTTTATGTCTTTAAGTTAAATAGGTACATAATATATACTCCTAGAAACATGGACATTTAAAAATAAATACATATCCCTTTTTGATTGATCTCTTGTTCCTAAGAATGAGACTTAAACCTTGTGGTCATTTAAGGGAGAAGTTCTCCAAAACAGGGTGCAGACATCCCAGGGAAGGTGTGATATTGAACGGGAAGCATATTAGAGCATACATGTATTTCTCTCATCTTATCTTTTTTTTTTCAGTTTTTATTTTTTGAGACGGAGTCTTGCTCTGTCGTCCAGGCTGGAGTGCAGTGGTGTGATCTCAGCTCACTGCAACGTCTGCCTCCCAGATTCAAGCAATTCTCCTGCCTTAGCCTCCTGAGTAGCTGGAACTACAGGTGCGTGCCACCATGCCAGGCTAATTTTTGTATTTTTTTTTTTTTTTTTAGTAGAGACAGGGTTTCACCATATTGGTCAGGCTGGTCTCCGACTCCTGACCTCAGGTGATCCACCTGCCTCAGCCTCCCAAAATGCTAGGATTACGTGTAAACCACCACTCCTGGCCTTATTTTTCTCATATTTTCAATGTCTATTTTTGTATGTTTAGTAATGTACATAATCTATTAGCATAGTAGTACATGTATGGAATTTACAGATATGTGAATACGCATTGGTGGTCCATTCTCCAAAAACTTTTTTCAAAAGATATTATGATCTAAAATGTTTCTTAACGATAGCTCTAAAACACTGAAATGCTGGCAAGTGACATCTTTGACCACACTTCCACATTCCCAGGCTTCTAAAACAGGGGTCCCCAATCCCCTTGCTGAGGACTGTTACCAGTCCATGGCCTGTTAGGAACCAGGCCACACTGTGGGAGGTGAGTGGCTGGTGAGTGAAAGAAGCTTCATCTGTATTTACAGCCACTCCTCATCACTCACATTATCACCTAGGCTCTGCCCCCTGTCAGATTAGTGGCGGCATTAGATTCTCAAAGGAGCGTGAACCCTATTGTGAACTGCGCGTGCAAGGGATCTAGGTTGCATGCTCTTTATGAGAGTCTAATGCCTGATGATCTGAGGTGGAACAGTTTCATCCTGAAACCATACCCCCTTCTCCCCACCCATCCATGGAAAAATTGTCTTCCATGAAACCAGTCCCTGGTGCCAAAAAGATTGAGCACTACTGTTCTAAAAGGTACTCTCCTGACCACGTGGGTGCAGGTTCAGGCCTAATTGCTGAAATCTCCCTGGATTTGCTGACCAAGTAGTCTGATGATCCCCATCTTCCACTCTGCTCATATTCCCAGGTCCCAGTCTGTGTTCCCTGGACATGGGAAAGGACACTGTATTGATACAGTAGCCAGCAGTGCTGCACACTGACTGTTTCTGGTTCTGCAGTCTTCTAGGTGCATGGTAGGATGGCTGTTCTTGGCCCTCTTGGGTTGGAGCCATGTGGCCAGTTCTGGCCAATGAGCTGTGAAGTGTAGAGTCTTGTGTTGCTCCTAATTAAGGCATTAGATTACTAGTGTAAGAGTCCCCTTTCCACCACCATGATGGACAATGTTTGATAGTGTGGGGGCTCCATCAGCCTGAGTCCTAGAGAGAGGACAATGATGCTGGACAACAGAGCTACCTTTCTCCCCTTGCTGCGTGAGTGAGAAGTACGCTCCTATTGTTTAAGCTTCTGAAGTATGGGCATTATTTGTTATTATGACACAACTTAGTCTATGCTGACTTTAAGATCAGAGTTCCCCAGTTAACTCCAAGAGGGTTCCTGATGGGCTCAAACCAATTCTGCATTAAAGTCCTTTCCTTGATTCTTATGAGTGAATGGCAAATAATCATCTAGATTTTTATTTCTTTGTCTAATTAAGAACCACTTATTTGTGACCCAAAGGTGTTATTAAGCATCTAAAAATTGTTATATATGGAAACAAAACTTAATAGATTTTTCTGAGGAATTTATTCATTATTCTACTAAGAAATCTTTGATTCTCTCCGCATTTCCACAACGGACTCTCTGTAGACTCCTTTTCTAATTTCCACCTTGTTGTTAAGAGATTACAATAGAGCGATAGTTTATGCAGGAGTGAGGTTTTAAAGTCAGTGAACAGAAAACAGTATATACAAATAGGTAGTTGAGTCTCAAAAAGTTTTTCCATGGGTTTTATGATTACAAAAAGTGTTAATTACAGCTCTGAAGCATAAAAAAGCCTTGAAAATTTCTTAAATTGCTTTTTAAAGAATAGTACACATGATTTTTCTATGAACAGACCTGCACAGAGGCATAAATATTAACATATATAGTAATCTAAACTATGTAATCAAGAGTACCTACATGACCACATCTACACACACTAGAATCACACTTGGTGTTGCAAATGCTTGCACTGTGAGAGGCTCAAGGGAGCTGAGATTGGTGGGAACAGTGAATTAATGTCATCGACCTCATGCTCACTTTCATATATAAGCTTGTGGAGTGCATGGTGGGCAGGATTTCCTGTGCTGCTTAAACATGTTCTTTTTTCCCTTTCTGTCACTCCTGCAACATATTTGGATTTTCATATATTCAATGAATGAATGTTATGGTTACGCTATGCTTCCTAATTATAGCACTTGATCTACTTCTTTCTCCTCTATATTTTGTCGATTGACTTTTCTTCTTTATGAGAAGCAAAATGAATATACAACTATTGAAGAGATTTCCTGTTTTAGCCAAATGGATGCTTGTTCACTTTGGGAATGCTAGATATGCCGTATGCTACATGTCAGCCTCTACCATCCCCTTTCTGACATCTGACTGCTGAAGAAGGTGGCTGTTGTCATACGACCTCGGCTCTCTGGCTTCTGAGCAGGAGATTCACTTGGCCTCTCCAGACCCATGCTCCACTCTTCTCCAGCTGCTCTGTGCTCTGGGAGGCTCGCCTGGGAGGTCGCATTACCCAGTGTATTAGTCTGTTCTCATGCTGCTAATAAAGACATACTTGAGACGGGTTATTTAAAAAGGAAAGAGGTTTAATTGACTCACAGGTCCATATGGCTGGGGAGGTCTCACAACCATGGTGGAAGACAAAGGAGGAGCAAAGTCGCGTCTTACATGGCTGCAGGCAAAAGAGCTTGTTCAGGGGAAGCCCTCTTTATAAAACCATCAGATCTTGTGAGACTTATTCACTACCATGAGAAAAGTATTGGGGAAAACCACCTCCATGATTCAATTATCTCCACCTGGCCCTGCCCTTGGCACGTAGGGATTATTACAATTCAAGGTCAGATATGGGTGGGGACACAGCCACACCATATCACCCAGGCTACCTCTCCTTCAGCTCCTGGTTGTGTCAGGCCAATGGGACGCACCAGCAGGAGCTGGGAAGGTGAGATGAGAATGATATTCAGCCCTCGCTCCACAGTCAGGCTGCAGGAGTCACATTCCTGAATAGAGGCCACATGCCTCTCTGCCAGGCCTCTCCACGACTCTCACCAGGTTTCCCTAAGTGCTCCCCACTCTTGTGCCTTCTGACCTAGGGGCAGTAATGGCTCTCATGTTGTTAGTCTTGAGGTGCTGCACCGTACCCATGCTGATTTCCCTTATCCTGCCCAGCCCTTTTAATTTTTTTTTTCATTTTAGAGACAGGGTCATGCTGTGTCACTCAGGCTGGGGTGCAGTGGCATGATCATAGATCCCTGCAACCCCAAACTCCTGAGTTCAAGGGATCTTCCCCTGCCATTCTACCAAGTAGCTAGGACTATAGGTGCACACAACCACACCCTGCTAATTAAAAAAAAGAAAAAGTGTGTGTAGAAACTGTGGGTCTTGCTGTGTTGCCCAGGCTGATCTGAAACTCCTCTTGGCCTCAAGCAATCCTCTTGCCCTCAGCCTCCCAAATAGCTACCCACACCTTTTTCAGTAGCCCCTTTATTAAACTCTCTTCAATAACCCCTTCTAAGTGTGATATGTGTTTTCTGCTAGGACCTCAACCCTCAAAGACTTTTGGGGAACTAGGGTATTACTAAGAAATTGAAACTAGAGTCCAGGCTCGGTGCTCACACCTGTAATCCCAGCACTTTGGGAGGCCGAGGTGGGCAGATCACAAGGTCAAGAATTCAAGACCAGCCTGACCAACATGGTGAAACCCCATCTCCACTAAAAAAAAAAAAAAAAAAAAAAAAAAAGCAAAAATTATCTGCGTGTGGTGGTGGGCGCCTGTAATCCCAGCTACTCAGGAGGCTGAGGCAGGAGAATCGCTTGAACCCAGGAGGCAGAGGTTGCAGTGAGCTGAGATTGCGCCACTGCACTCCAGCCTGGGTGACAGACTGAGACTCTGACAAAAAAAAAAAAAAAAAAGAAAGAAAGAAAGAAAAAAAGAAATTGAAACTACATAAATTTTCCAAGAAACTAGGATATTTCAGGGGAAAAATAATGCCTCCCTTTAAAAAAATTATTTAACAATTAAGATGTAAAGGCAAGTGAGGTACAATGCAATGAATTCCCATGCATCTAAAGAAATAAAAATATCAATATTGGTAAAATCTTGTTTTTTATCTCTTCTGAGGTATATCCCTACAGTGCTTCTGAGCTGAGAATCAAGAATCAGACCAGGACCTACCTTGCTCATAAAAGACCCAATTTCAAGGTGACAGATACCATCTGGGGGATTTAGAAAAGTCAGTGTTGAACTTGTGAGTGAGTGTGTGTGGTTGAGAGAGAAATATTTGAAATAGGCTTTATGAAACAACACGCTGACCCAGCAGGAATACTATTTAAGCAATTGCTCTTTCTTAAGTCATTAGGTGTGAGCTGAAAGCACCTGCTTTGAAATGGGACAGGCTTGCGTCTAAATGTTGACTCTTTGATTCATTCCTTCTGTGACCTTGAAGGAGCCTTTTCAAGGGTGGTCTTCGAATATAGAGGCCCATTCTCTATGGTAAGACATGCCCCAGATGGCATGGTGTATATGGCGTATAGTGGTGTGTAAAAGAGCATTCACTTACTACAGGGCTTATGGTCTAGCAGGGGAGATGGCATATGTAGGCTGATGAATATAATCCAAGGCTACATTTCATAAAGGCATTGAAATCTTAAGAGCCAGCCCATTAAGGTTGCTATCGAAGAAATAGAAGAAAGGATCTTAGAGCTACATTCATCTAGCTTCCTTATCATGGAGAAGAGGAAACAGACAGTACCACACTACCAGTTCTAGCTCAGCCCTAACTCCCGACTTCTATTTAAATTGTTATCTCTGCACTGTATTGCCTTTTAGGCCTATTCTGGCTCAAAGTGGCTGCTTTTTTGTTTTGTTTGTTTGTTTGTTTTGATAGACAGAGTCTCACTCTGTCACCCAGGCTGGAATGCAGTGGTGTGATCTCAGCTCACAGCAACCTCCGCCTCCCAGGCTCAAGTAATTCTCGTGCCTCAGCCTCCTGACTAGCTGGGATTACAGGCATGTACTACCACATCTGGTTAATTTTTTGTGTTTTTGGTAGGGACGGGGCTTTGCTATGTTGGCCAGGCTGGTCTTGAACTCCTGACCTCAAGTGAACTGCCTACCTTGGCCTCCCCAAGGTGCTGGGATTACAGGCATGAGCCACCATGCCTGGCCCAAAGCGGCTGTTTTTATTCTAGTTACACTAGGCATCAGCAGTTTCTTATTTCCCCTTTTCAGAGTTTTAAAATAAAACACATTGTATGGGTAAGAAAATCCAGATAAACGAACAAGTATGTTGTTGGTGTTGCCACATCAATGCAGTTTTTAGTGCGCTTCTATTTGTTGAGTAGAGTAGACAAGAATATGGGCTCTAGAATGCTACAAACTGGGTTCAAATTCCAGGCCCACTATTTATTGTCTGTGCATTAGTCTCCTTATTTTCAAAATAAGAATAATAATAACGCCTATCTCATAGGATTATATAAGTATTAAATGAGGTACTCTCTCTATGTGTATATGTGCACACATACACACACACGCCCCTAGGACAGTGCCTGGGACATATGACACTCAATATCTTTTAGCTGTCACTATTTTCCTGCAGTAGAATATAAGCCCTTGAAAGTAGATTTTGAATTTATTTGTTTCATTGCTGCTTCTCCAATGCTCAGGAAAATGCCAGTTATACAGTGAGCTTTCAGTAAATATTTGTTGAATGAATGCATGGATTCCCTTATTTTCCTTTCCCAGAGTTTAGAGGGCATGGTGAAGTTCTCAAACTTGCTCCAGGTGAAAGAACAAAGCCACATGTCCTTTTCTCCACTCACCCCTGAGCAGTGGCCATTTAAGGATGTTCACAGTGACAGTGAAGACTTTAGGATGTTCACATTCATTCATTCATTCAACAAATGTCTAATGGTAGCTAGTGACAGAGATAAAAAGATGATTAAGACTCTTTTTCTGCCCTCTGAGTAAAGGCATAGAAAGATTACATGCTTTGTGCAGGTGATTTCAAGTGTCATTTCGATGTTGCTGGCACATCAAGGGTGAGGCACATGTTGCTGGCAAGAGATGAAACTGGAGAATTAGGCAAGGGCCATGTCTTGGAGGACTTTGCAGTCTGTCTTAGGTTGAGTTCCCCCAGAAGCAGTCCCTGAGACTAGGATTCAGATACAAGTGATTCATTGAGAAGTTCTCCTAGGAAACCCTGCCAGGCATGGTGGCTCATACCTTACATCACAGCACTTTGAAAGGCCGAGGTGGGCAGGTATACCTGAGGTCAGGAGTTTGAGACCAGACTGGCCAACATGGTGAAATGCCATCTCTACTAAAAATACAAAAATTATTCTACAGCCATACTATCCTGAATGTGCCTGATCTCAGAAAAATACAGAAATTAGCTGGGCATGGTGGCTTACACCTGTAATCCCAGCTACTTGGGAGGCTGAGGCAGGAGAATCACTTGAACCTGGGAGGGGGAAGTTGCAGTGAGCTGAGATCGCACCATGGCACTCCAGCCTGGGCAACAGAGCAAGACTCTGTCTCAAAAAAAAAAAAAAAGTGCTCTTAGGAAAACCTGATAAGAGAATGTGAGGAGCAGGATAGAGAAGGGGAAGAAGTGTGGTCTCCAGCATCCAAGACGGTCCTCAGCAATCCTCACTTCCTGCCTTTTTTGTAATCCCCCTTGCACGTTGTACCAGGACTGACCTGTGTGGCCAACAGCATATAGCAGAAGTGGTTGCATGTCACCTCTGAGGTTAGGTTCTGTTTTGGGTGCTGTCTTGCTCATTTCCTAGCTCTCTCCTTCTCTTGGATCATTTGCTTTGGGAAAAGACAGCAGCCCTATAGAGAGGCCCATCTGGCAAGGAACTGGAGCCTCTTGCCAGCAGCCACGTGAGGTGATCTTGGAAGCAGATCCTCTATTCCCATCAGATGACTGCAGCCCCAGCTGACAACTTGACTGCAACCTCATGAGTGACCCTGACCACAGCTAAGCTGCTTCCAGATTCCTGGCCCTCAGATACTATGCAAGATAATAAATGTTTGTTTCTTTCAGACATTAATTTTTTGGGGAAAATGTGTTATGCAACAATAGATAAATAATATGCCAAGTAATGGTGTGACTTTAGGCAAAGTCTCAGCATTAATCTGGTGCTGCTGGGGAGCTCTGGAATGTAAGTTACACCTCAGAGTTTGTCCTTATTTGAGCCAAGGGAGCTGGGCTTTAACACCTTGGTATCAGTCACTCATTGGTTGTAGGCCGCCCTGACACTTCTGACTCTTTGTACCTGTGAGCAAAGGTGGTCAATTCATGTAGGGGCAGCCCTCCCAAGAGAATCTAAGGTGTGGGCCCTTACAAGCAAAACACACAGAAGCTGGGGTTGGGGGAATAGGTACCCAGAAATAGTAGAGGGGAATCAAAGGGCTGTGGAGTGTGCCCTTGCAGTGTCCACAACCCAGGCCATACTTGGCCTTGAACTTAGGCCTGTAGGTGATAGGGAGCCACTGTAGAATGTCAAGCAAAAACTTGATGGTAATTTATTTTCTATTCTGGCAGTAATCACAAGAGGCAGCCAAAGAGGAAGATAGCATTATGAAGCTGTCATATGATGATTTAGGGAAGAGGTGCCAAGGATTGGAAGGAGGTAATGGACGCAAGAACATTTGGAGGTAAAAGTCAGCACGACGGTGATGGAGAATCGAGGGAAAGAAGAGAGAGGAATTATGGATGCCTCCTAGGTTCTTAACTCTGGTGTGAGAGAGAGATACAGAGAGAAAAAGAGAGTGGGGGTAGGGGAGGGAGACATAGGACAAATTGAAATAGAGAAGTGGCCAGGAGCAGTGGCTCACCACCGGTAATCCCAGCAATTTGGGAGGCCAAGGTGGGAATATTGCTTGACCTCAGGAATTTGAGACCAGCCTGGGTAACATAGTGAGACCTTGTCTCTACTAAAAGTCAAAAAGAATTAGCCAGGCGTGGTGACACATGCCTGTGGTCCCGGCTACATGGGAGGCTGAAGCGGGAGGATCAGTTATGTCTGAGAGATTGAGGCTGCAGTGAGCTATGATTGCATCACTGCACGCCATCCTGGGAGACAAACCAATACCCTGTTTCAAACAAACAAGCAATCAAACAAAAACAATAACAACAAAGAAATAGAGAAGAAAGACTCTGAAATCTAAGGGAAAAGCTCAGTGAAATGCTGCATTTCAGACTGCAAAAATATGGAATCAACCTCAGTGCCCATCAACTGATGAGTGGATAAAGATAATGTGGTATATATATATAATTCCATAGTGTGTATATATATATTTCACAGTATGTATATTCCATAGTATATAGAATCTATAGATTCCATATACATATATATACACACACACACACACATATATGTATACTATGAAACGCTACTCAGCCATAAAAATGAATGGAATAACGTCTTTTGCAGAAACTTGGATAAAACTGGAGGCCCTTATCCTAGTGAAGTAATTCAGGAATGGAAAACCACATACCACATGTTCTCACTGATCAATGGGAACTAAACTATGGATACACAAAGGCAAACAGAGTGATACAATATAATGGACACTGGAAACTCAGAAAGGGAGGGGTGGGTGGGGGTGAGGAATGAAAAATTACCTACTGGGTACAATGTACACTGTTTAGATGATGGGTGCATGAGAAGCCCAGACTTCACCCCTATATGATTTATTCATGTAATGCAAAACCACTTGTACCCCCTAAAGCTATTGAAAATAAATAAATAAATAAAAGAACCACAAGCCGTAAGCTCCTTTGGCTGGATTCCTTTTCTTCTCTACATTCATCTTTATTAAACATCTACTCCAAGCACCTTGCTGATGCTATGAAAGTTACAGTAGTGATCCAGTTTTCCTCTCTTGAATTTAAGGCAAAATCAGAGATGTAAACAAATAATTATAATACTACATGATACAAACTACAGTTTTGGAAACTAGAAGATTTCTTATTTATATTATTTCTCCATCATAAACTATCTTTCTTTCTTTCTTTCTTTCTTTCTTTCTTTCTTTCTTTCTTTCTTTCTTTCTTTCTTTCTTTCTTTCTTTCTTTCTGTTTCTTTTCTTTTCCCCCTCTCTCTCTCTCTTTCTTTCTTTTTTTGAGACGGAGTCTCGCTCTGTCACCCAGGCTGGAGTGCAGTGGCACTATCTCGGCTCACTGCAACCTCCGCCTCCTGGGCTCATGTGATTCTCCTGCCTCATCCTCCTGAGTAGCTGGGATTACAGGCGCCTGCCACCATGCCCCGCTAATTTTTGTGTTTTTAGTAGAGATGGGGTTTCGCCATGTTGGCTAGGCTGGATTACAGGCGTGAGCCATCACTCCTGGCCCTTTCTTCTTTTCTTGCATCCTCTGTTTTCTTCCTGTCTTAGGTTTACCATTCCTTCTTTTCCCGCTCTCATCTCCACTTTCCTTTCTTCCATTTATTCCGAGTCATTTAGCATCTTGACTAAAAGTTTCTCTGTGTCCTGCCTTGGTTTCTGTATTCCCTGCTCTGTTACTGTTGCTGTGTTACTTAACTCTGCAGTGCCTGTAGAAAGCTTTCCTATTGAATCAAACTGTGCGTGTGTCTGCATTGATGTATCTTGTGTTGGTTGGGTTCCCCTGAATGTCTGAAATGTAGAATTTTATATTCAGCAACACTGCCTATAGGGTTCACAATATCCTGTGTCTCAGGTGTTCAAATGACAAGGTGTTTAGGTTTCAGGGAACTGTCACTCCTTAGCAGACATGCATAGTTCATAGTGATCATCATTATCTATTGAATTTTCCAGTTCCAAGTCCTCCCAGATTCCCAGGACTCTTGCCTGTGTTCACAGTAGCCAGCCAGATGCTCATCTGTGTTGCTCTCCTGGGGAGGCAGGCTTGATACAGGCAATGGGATTGGTAAAAATGCTGCTGGAACTAATGGGCTCCTCAGCAGGCTCTCCACCTCCAGTCTTGTTACTTGAGTGGCCTCAAATGTCCCTTTCCATCCTACTCCCTCCTTGCAGCTATCCTATTCCTGTCCAGATCTACCCACATTGTCCCAGCAACTTTACATAAGGTAGTGAGAGAAGGGCTGGAATGTGAAGATACCTCAGATTCCTGGCCCTTTAGTCACTGCCAACTCTGAAATGACTAGCATGGGTGAAACACAGTGGCAGCAGCTAACGCTGTTTGTGACCTGATTGCTAAGGAGGTGCAGATTAAGTTCTTCCCTTTCTCCTCTTCTGCAGGTCATAAGGGCTTGGTTTTTCTCTTGTGGATTTGTTAAAGCAAAACTAACAACTTTACTTTCCTGCCACAGGTAGTAAACAAAAAGGAGACACTGCTTTGGACTGAGAAGATTCTTGTGACAAAGGGAATCTCCACAAGTCTTCTAACCCAGTTATGCCGGAGGTTCTTTTTTTTTTTTTTTTGCGAAAAATCAGACCTTGGCGATGACTTTGAGCAGTAAGATATAAAGAACTCCCACAAGCTTAGCGTTCCAATAATGGAACACTAGGCATAAATAGCTAGAGTCCAGCTTTGTAGATGGGCAGTTTCTGCTCCGCATGCTTCTGCCTGTTCTGATACCTCCTATGAGATCAGAATGTGGCTGAGCATGGTGGACTCAGGTATTTGGGCTGAATATAGCTCATGAAGTAGACACAACAAACAGTTTCTTTGAGTAATTTTAAAAAGTGAACACAAAGATGACATGTGGACCACCTATTCATTAATCTATCCAAGCATGTTCTATTCAGCTTTTGCTTGACCTTCAGGCAAGAATGTTGTTGATATTATTGTCAACATTAAATCGTATCACAAATGGCCAAGAAAAGCTAGGTTTTAAATTTACTGAATTGTAAAGGTGCCTAGCATATCTCTCTAATCTTTATTTTAACTCATCATTGAGACTTTAATTTCAAGGACTATATACTTTCCTATAATCTCTATTTAGCCCTTTTTCAAATATTCTTATAATGTACTCCACTAGACAAAAGATACACCAACACATCTGTTTGAGATAAGACCTTTGCTATTTTTGGCTTTCTGTAACACTGCTGTGGGAAAACATCCTTCAATTTCTTAGAAGTCCCATTGTTTAATGGAAAAGATCTCTGAGACATCATCTTAAGATTCTTGAAAGATTACTGTACACTTGAAAGGATCTATGATGCATCACCTTAGATCTTTCTAATGTCTTACTAAAGGATCTTACAGTCCCTCCTTGGACTTGATCCTTTCCCTAAGGCCCATTCTTTGAGAATCTTTTGCTGGGAGAGACTGGAATTGTAGTTTTATTTTTGAACTCCAAAAGTCTTGGCTCCTTTACAATTCTTCTAAATTCTGCTTGAAAATTGAGTAATTCACTCACTAGTTAATTTCTCTCATCTTGGATTTTTTTTTTAACTTTTATTTTAGGTTCAGGGGTACGTGTGCAGGTTTGTTACATGGGAAAACTGCATGTCTCAGGGGTTTGGCATACAGATTATTTTGTCACTCAAGTAACAAGCATAGTACCAGATACTAGTTTTTTGATCCTCACCCTCCTCCCAACCTTCACCCTCACATGGGCCCTTTGTGTCCACATGTACTTGATGTTTTAGCTCCTACTTATGAGTGGAACATGCAGTATTTGGTTTTTTGTTCATGTGTTAGTTCTCTTAGGATAATGGCTTCCAGCTTCATCCATGTCTCTGCAAAGGACATGATCTCTTTCTTTTTATGACTGTATAGTATTCCGTGGTGTATGTGTTCTACATTTTCTTCATTCAGTCCACCATCAATGGGCATTTAGGTAAATTCCATGTCTTTGCTATTGTGAATAGTACTGTGATGAACATATAAGCACATATGTCTTTATGGTAGAATGATTTATATTCCTTTGGGTATATGCCCAACAATGAGATTGCTGGGTCAAGTGACAATTCTATTTTAAGTTCTTTGAGAAATCTCCAAATTTCTTTCCACAATGGTGGGACTAATTTACATTCCCATCAGCAGTGTATAAGCATTTTCTTTTATCTGCAACCTCACCAACATCCGTTAATTTTTGGCTTTTTAATAGTAGCCACTCTCACTGGTTTGAAGTAGTATCTCATTGTGGTTTTGATTTGCATTTCTCTAATGATTAGTGGTATTGAGCATTTTTTTCATGTGCTTGTTGGCTATATGTATGTCTTCTTTAGAAAATTTTCTGTTAATGTACTTTGCCCTTTGTTAATGAGGTTGTTTGTTTCCTGCTTGTAAATTTGTTTAAGTTCCTTGTAGGTTCTGGATATTAGATTTTTGTTGGATGCATAGTTTGCAGATATTTTCTCCCATTCTGTAGGTTGTCTGTTTGCTCTGTCAACAGCTTCTTTTCCTGTGCAGAAGCTCTTTAGTTTAACTAGATCCCATTTGTCAGTTTTTGTTTTTGTTGAATTGCTTTTGGCCTCTTTACCTGAAATCTTTGCCTGGTCCTATGTCCAGAATGATATTGCCTAGGTTATCTTTCAGGGTTTTTATATTTTTAGGTTTTACATTTCAGTGTTTAATCCCTCTTGAATTGATTTTTTATGGTGTTAGGAAGGAGTCCAGTTTCAATTTTCCGCACATGGCCAGCCAGTTATCCCAGCACTATTTATTGAATAGGGAGTCCTTTCCCCATTGCTTGCTTTTCTTGACGTTGTTGAATATCAGATGGATGTGTGTGGCATTATTTTTGGGTTCTGTATTCTGTTGCATTGGTCTGTGCATCTGTTTTTCTACCAGTTCCATGCTGTTTTGGTCATTGTAGCGTTGTAGTATAGTTTGAAGTCAGGTTCCATAATGCCTCCAGCTTTGTTCTTTTTGCTTAGGATTGCCTTGGCTATTTGGACTCTTTTTTAGCTCTATATAAATTTTAAAATAGTTTTTTCTAATTCTGTGAAGAATGTCATTGGTAGTTTGATAGAAATATCATTGAATCTATAAATTACTTTGAGCAGGCAGTATGGCCATTCTGACTATATTGATTCATCCTATCCATGCACATGGAATTCTTTTTTCATTTGTTTGTGTCATCTCTAATCTATTTGAGCAGCATTTTGTAGTTCTCCCTCTAGAGCTCTTTCACCACCCTGATTAGCTATATTCCTAGGTATTTGATTCTTTTTGTGGCTATTGTGAATGGGATTGTGCTTTTGATTTGGCTCTCAGCTTGGCTGTTATTGGTGTACAGAAACGGTAGTGATTTTTATACATTGATTTTGTATTCTAAAGCTTTGCTGAAGTTGCTTATCAGATCAAGGGGCTTTTGGGCAGAGGCTATGGGGTTTTCCAGGAATAGAATTATATCGTCTGCACACAGGGATAGTTTGACTTCCTCTCTGCTTATTTGGATACCTTTTATTTCTTTCTTTTGCCTGATTGCTCTGGCCAGGACTTCTAGTACTATGTTGAAAGAAGGCATCCTTGTCTTGTTCTGGTTTTTAAGAGAAATGCTTCCAGATTTTACCAGTTCAGTATGATGTTGGCTATGGATTTGTCATAGATTGCTCTTATTTTGGATTTTATTCCTTCAGTGCCTAGTTTATTGAGGGTTTTTAACTTGAAGGGATATTGAATTTTATTGAAAGCCTTTTCTGCATCAATTGAGATGATCATATGGTTTTTGTCTTTAGTTCTGTTTATGTGATTGTCACATTGATTTGCCTATTTTGAACTAACCTTGCATCCCAGGGATAAAGCCTGCTTGATCATGGTGGATTAGCTTTTTGATGTGCTGCTGAATTCAATTTGCTAGTATTTTGTTGAGGATTTTTGCATTGATATTCATGAAGGATATGGATCTGAAGTTTTCTTTCTTTCTTTCTTTCTTTTAATTTTGTGTCTCTGCCAGATTTTCGTATCAGGATGATGTCAGCCTCATAGAATGAGACAGAGAGGAATCCCTCCTCCTCAAGTTTTTGGAATAGTTTCAGTAGGAATAGTACAACATCTTCTTTATACATCTGGTAGAATTCTGCTGTGAATCCATCTGGTCCTCGGTTTCATTTTTGGTTGGCAGGCTTTTTATTACAGATTTCACTTCGGAACTCATTATTGGTCTATTCAGGAATTCAGTTTCTTCCTGGTTCAGTCTTGAGAAGTTGTATGTGTCCAGGAATATGTCAATTTCTTCTAGGTTTTCTAGTTTGTGTGCATACAGGTGTTCAAAGTAGTCTCTGAGGGTTTCTTTTTTAATATCTGTGGGGTCAGTCATAATTTCCCCTTTATCATTTCTGATTGTGTTTATTTGGATCTTCTCTCTTTTCTTTATTAGTCTAGCTAGTGGTCTATCTTATTAATTTTTTCAAAAAACCATTTCCTGGATTTGTTGCTCTTTTTATGTTTGTTTGTTTGTTTTTGCCTCTCAGTTTCCTTCAGGTCAGCTTTCATTTTGTTTATTTCTTGTATTCTGCTAGCTTTGGGGTTGGTTTCCTCTTGTTTCTCTATTTCCTCTAGATGTGATATTAGGTTGTCAATTTGAGATTTTTCTAACTTTTTGATGTGGGTGTTTAGTGGTATAAATTTCCCTCTTAACACTGCTTTAGCTGTGGCCCAGAGATTCTGGTATGCTGTATCTTTATTCTCATTAGTGTCAAAGAATTTCTTGATTTCTGCCTGAATTTCATTATTTACCCAAGTCATTTGAGAGCAGGTCGTCCAATTTCTAGGTAATTATATGGTTTTGAATGTTTTTCTTAATATTTATTTTTATTTTTATTGTGCTGTGGCCTGAGAGCATAGTTGGCATGATTTCAGTTTTTTTTGAACTTGCTTATTGTTTTATGTCCAATAGTGTGGTTGCTTTTAGAGTATGTGCCATATTCAGTTGAGAAGAATGGGTAGAGTTCTGTAGATGTCTATCAGGTCCATTTGGTCCAGTGTTGAGTTCAGGTCCTGAATATCTTTGTTAGTTTTCTGCCTCAATCGTCTGTCTAATACTGTCAATGGGAGTGTTGAAGTCTCCCACTATTATTGTGTGGCTATCTAAGTCTCCTCATAGGTCTCAGAGAACTTGCTTTATACATGTTGGTGCTCCTGTGCTGAGTGCATATATATTTATGATAGTTAGGTCTTCTTGTTGAATTGAGCCCTTTATTATTATGTAATGTCCTTCTTTATCTTTTTTGACCTTTGTTGGTTTAAAGCCTGTTTTTGTCTGAAATTAGAATAGCAACCCCTGCTTTTTTTCTGTTTTTGATTTGCTTAGTAGATTTTTTTCCATCCCTTTACTTCGAGTCTATTGGTGTCATTGCGTGTGAGATGGTTCTCTTGAAGACAGCATACTGTTGGGTCTTGCTTCTTTATGCAACTTGCCACTCTGTGTCTTTTAATTGGGGGAATTTAGCCTATTTAGATTCAAGGTTAGTATTGACATGTGCAGGTTTGTTCTTGACAACATGTTGTTAGCTTGTTATTATGCAGACTTGTTTGTGTGGTTGCTTTATAGTGTCACTGATCTATGTACTTAAATGCGTTTTTGTAGTAGCTAGTAGTGGTCTTTCCTTTCCATGTTTAGCACCCCCTTCAAGACCTCTTATAAAGCAGGTCTGGTGGTAACAAAACCCCTTAGTATTTGCCTGTCTGAAAAGGATCTTATTTCTCCTTTGCTTATGAAGCTTAGTCTGGATGGATATGAAATTCTTAGTTGAAAGTATTTTTCTGTAAGAATGCTGAACATAGGTCCCTGATCTTTTCTGGCATATAGGGTTTCTGCCAAAAGGTCCTCTGTTAGCCTGATAGGGCTCCCTTTGTAGGTGACCTTCCCCTTTTCTCTACCTGCTGTTAATATTTTTTTCTCTCGTTTCTACCTTGGAGAATCTGATGATTATGTGTCTTGGGGATTTTCTTTTCATTCAGCATTTCATAGGGGTTCTCTGCATTTCCTGAATTTGAATGTTGGCCATTCTAGAAATGTTGGGGATATCTTCATGGACAATATCCTGAAATATGTTTTCCAAGTTTCTTGCTTTCTCTCCCTTATCTTTCAGGGATGCCAATGAGTCATAGATTTAGTCTCTTTACATAATCCCATATTCTTGGAGGTGGTCTTTGAGCTCTGAGGTGCTTTCGTCAGCTTAATTGATTATGTTGTTAATAATGCAATTGTATTCTGAAATTCTTGAAGTGAGTTTTTCAGCTCTATTAGCTCAGTTTAGTTATGTCTTAAAATGGCCAGTTTGTCTTTTATCTCCTATATTATTTTATTTTGTTCTTTAGAATCTTTGAATTGGGTTTTGAGTTTCTCCTGAATGTCAATGATCTTCATTCCTATCCATATTCTGAATTATATTTCTGTTATTTCAGCCATTTTAGCCTGGTTAAGAACCATTGCTGGGGAACTACTGTGGTCATTTGGAGGTAAAAGGACATTCTGGCGTTTTGAATGTCCAGAGTTCTTGAGCTGGTTCTTTCTCATCTATGTATTCCTTCAATCATTGAAATTGCTGTCCTTTGGATTTTTTTTTTTTTTTTGCTTTATTTTCTTTGATGTGCTTGGGGTTTTGATTGTGGTATAAGGTAGAGTCAATCAACTGGCTTTGTTTCTGGTACATTTTTTGGGGTTCAAGGCTTAGCTCAGCACTCCTGGGCTGTGTGTTCTAACTCTGGGGGGCTGGTATCAGGCCTCCAGCTTTGTTCTCTGGCCCCTCAAGGTTGGCAACCTATTGCCCTGGAGGGGCTGAAGTGTTCCCGGACTGCTGGCTACAACAGTTTGAAGGGCAATGCCAGCTAAAGTGCTTCATCAGGCAGTGGCAGTGGGATCTGTGCACATTTGCACATGTCAGCAACAGCAGCTGTGTGGCAGGGTGCATGCTTGTCAGCTAGGGTGGGGCACTGGCGGGCCTGGGACGGCTGGCCTCAGTGTGGACCTTGACAGCAGCAGCAGAGGTGGCAGTGCTAGGGATGGAGGAGGAGGGAGTGGGGCCACTGGAATTTGTGTGCATGTTCATGTGTGTGGCATTGTTGAAGTGAGGGTGGGGTGCTGGCAGGCACGGGGCTGGTGACCTCCATGCATGTGTTCATGCCAGTGGTGGTGGTGGCATGGAGCAGAGGGTGGGGCTGCTGGTTTCCCTGGGTGTGTTCATGCCAGCAATGGTGGCACAATAGCACTGTTGTGGGGGTGTGTGGGTGCTCTCATGCAGGCAGCAATGGGGAAGGGGTGAGGTCTGCCTATGCACACAGGTGCCAGCAAAGTGATGGTGGAGTGGCCATAGGTGAGTGCACACCAGTGAAGTGGTACAGGAGAGGCTGCTATGGGGGGAGGTTGTGGGTAGGCTGGTGCATGTCAGAGGGGGCCACTCTGCTGGAGCTCTCCAATTGTCAGGCATGGTCTGCCAGCACAGGAACTATGATGTGGTCCCCTGGGAAGCACTTTGATTGGGCATCTGAGGCTGCACTGCAAGCAGGCATGGTGAGAATGAGTCCCAGGGAGAGGCCGGCGAGCAGAAGGGTGCCCAGGTAAGACTGGACCCATCTCATGGACAAGATTGCCCTACTCTGTTCAGGTCTTACAGTTCCCCTAAGGTTAGAGTCTCCTACAGCAGTATGATGAGCCTTGAGGGAGGGACATCCCTGGCTGTGCTCCTCTGCAGACATTCCTGCACCAAACCCTCTGGGCTCCACACAGGCTAGAATCCTGTCCCTACCACCTCTTTAAGCAGCTCTCCCTGCCAGCTCAAGTGTCTCTTGTAGCCAGAATTCCTGAGGTCCATGGTGAGAATGGGTTGCCCCTCGCCTGCTCAACTCACCCCTTCCCCAGTTGTTAGGGCCCAGGAACAAGTCCTGGAGCATGATTGCCTCATGCAGGGTTCCCAGCTTCCTCTCACTTCAGCCCAGTGTCTGTGTTCTCTCTCCATTCACTGTCAGTGTCTTCTTTTCAAAGATCTGTTCTTCCTTGTGTCGTGGTCCCTTTGTGGCAGATATTCCTCCCAGCTATGTCTAGGATTTTTCTATAGGTAGTTAGTTGAAGCAAGTTGGTGTGTTCAGCAGCCTCTCTCACCCTTGGTTTCACCATTCTGATAATTTGCACCCACAGCTACACATGGTAATATGGCTGAATCTCACAAACATGAAGTGAAATTTTAAAAGCCAAGCATAAAAGAAAATGTGCAGTCTGGTTCCTGTTGATATAAAGCTTAAAAACAGGTGAAACTCATCTAAGTTGTTAGAAGACAGGATAGAGGTACCTATCAGAGGAACAAAGGGGCCTTCTGGGGTGCTGGTCACGTTCTGTTTCTTAGTCTTGGTGCTGGTTACAAGGTTTATTCCCTTTGAGAAAACTTTTGAAGATGTATACTCATGATGTGTGCACTTTTTTATAGATTATGCTTAAAATTTCAAAAAATATTCTCTCTCAATCTCTCTTTCTCCTTCTCTGTGCCATCTTTCCTCACAGTACTTGGTTGAGAACTGTACCCATCAGAGACCCCTTGTAGCCAACTGACGTGACCTGACCTATAGTCAGATGGATCCTGCTTTTGGTTTAAGACTCTTTTTACAAAAAAATTCTTTTTTGCTTAGATTTTACTTTTTAAAAATCATTTTTATCTTAGAACAGTTTTAGGTTCACAGCAAAATTTTTTTTTAAATACAGAGATTTCCCATGTAACTCCTGCTTCCATACATGTATAGCCTACTCCATTATCAATCCCCTCAGACTGGTGCATACCACTAGAGTGGTAACATTTGTTACAACAGATGAACCTGCATTAATGCATTATTATCACTCATTATCCATAGTTTACATTAGGGTTCACTTTTGGTTTTGTACCTTCTATTGGTTAGAACATGTATCCACCACTGTAGTATCCTATATATTTCAAATTTACTGAAAGTTTTTTTTTTTAATCATGAATGGGTGTTGGGTTTTGTCAAATGATTTTTTTGCATCTATTGATATCATCATGTGATTTTTCTTCTTTGGCCTATTGATGTGATATATTACATTAATTGATATTTGAATGTTGAATTAGGCATGCATACTTGGGATAAATCCCACTTGGTTGTGATGTATAATTCTTTTAATACATTGTTTGATTCAATTTGCTAATATTTTGCTGAAAATTTTTGTATCTATGTTCATGAGAGATCTTCATATATAGTTATTTTTCTTGTAATACATCTGTTTGATTTTGGTTTCAGGGTGATTCCAGTCTCACAGAATGAGTTGGGAAGCATCTGCTGCTTTTATCTTCTGAAAGAGATTGTAGAGAATTGGTAACTTTATTTCCTAAATGTTTGATAGAATTTATCAGTGAACCCCTCTGGGCCTGTTGCTTCTGTTTAGGAAAGTTATTAGTTATTGATTCAATTTCTTTAACATATATATGCCTATTCAGATTGTCTATTTCTTCTTGTGTTAGCTTTGGCAGATTATGTCTTTCAAGGAACTGGTCTATTTCATCCAAATTTTCAAATTTGTGTTCTTAGAATTTCTTTATTATCTTTTTAAAGTCCGTGGATCTGTAGTGATGTCTCCTCCTTCATTTCTATTAGTAATTCATGTCTTCTTCCTTTTTTACTTAGCCTGGCTAGTAAAGAACCAGCTTTTGGTTTGTTGATTTTCTCTATTGATTTCTTGTTTCCAATTTCATTGATTTATGCTGTAATACTTATTTCTTTCCTCTGTTTACTCTGAATTTAGTTTGCTCTTCTTTTTCTGGGTATAAACTTAGATGATTAATTTTGATTATTTTTTCTAATATATGCATTCAATGCTATAAATTTTTCTGTTAAGCACTGCTTTCACTGAATCTCACAAATTTTAATAAGTTGTGTTTAATAAGTTGTGTTTTAATAAATTTCTCTTGAAATTTATTCTTTAACCTGTGTGTTATTTGGAAGTGTTTTGTTTGATCTTCACATATATTGAGATTTTCCAGTTATTCTGTTATTGATTTCTAGTTTTTTTCCAGAATATGGTCTATCTTGGTGAATGTTCCATGTGAGCTTGGGAAGAATATGTATTCTACTGTTGTTGGATAAAGTAGTCTATAGATACAATTTATATCCAGTTCATTGATGGTGCTGTTGAGCTCAATTGTGTCCTTACTGATTTTCTGCATGCTGAATATGTCCCTTTTTGATAGAGGGGTGTTGAATTCATTTATTTCTCTTTGCAGGTGTGTCCATTTTTCCCTCATTTAGTTTGATGCTCTGTTGTTAGGTATATACATGTTAAAGATTGTTATGTTTTTTAGAGACTCCTGTATCGTTACATAATGCTCCTCTCTGTCCCTGGATAAATTTCCTTCCTTTTAAGTTTGCTCTGTCTGAAATTAATATAGTTATTCTTACTTTCTTTTGATTAGTGTTGGCATGGCATATCTTTCTCCATCCATTTACTTTTAATCTAAGTATGTTTTTACACTAAAGTGAATTTAAAGAGGGTTGTGTTTTTCCATCCACTCTAACAATATCTTTTAGCTAGTGCATTTAGACTATTGGTGTCTAAAGTGACTATTGATATATACTGCATATGCTATTTACAGCATATAAACTCCTGTAAATAGGTCTCTAATAATGTAGTGGTAAGGCATGGAATAAGGAGAAGCATTCTCTAGTCTCGTTATTAGGTTTCAGTCTTTTAGTAAGCCTATGTCTCTGGACTTTGAACTTTACGGGTGTGTCTTAATTTTTCTCTCCCTGCTCCCTTAGGGGGAACAGGATAACTACAATGGTCTGCAGTTGGGTAATTCTCTTTTTCCACATGGAAGGCTGGAGGGGGTTGGAGTTGGATATTTCCCTTCTTCCAAGTCAGTAAGACTTTGATAAAACCTCAGTAGGTTAAGCTCTGGTTAAATAGTTTTACTGAGGACAGATTTTGTTAAGAAAAACAAATTGCTCTTGTGTATTTTCAAATGGTTCCATTTTCCCTCCTGCAGCCAGAAGCACATGGGAATTTTTCTTTGCTATCCACTGTGAGAACTTGGTTGAGCTCCTGGAGGTAAAACTCACAATATTGTGGAGTCCTCCATGACTAGGTCTCCTTGGAGTTTTTAACCCTCAGATTTGTTCATATTGAGCCTCCAGCAATTTGTCAATTACAGTTCAGGTTTCCCTCCCTTGGCATTGGGCTTCTGCAGTGATTTTTGCTTGTGAGTCTCTGCTCCACTAAGATGCAACTCCAGTAAGCAGTGAGTCTCTGTTCCAGTATACCTGTTGGTCTCTCCAATGTTGGGGGCAGTGGTTTGCCCCATGTCCTCACCTCTCTTACATATCTAAGAAGAGTTGTTGATGTTTTAGTTCATTGAGGCTTTTACTTGTCAGGATGAAGTAATGACTTCTAAGCTCCTTACATGTTGAACTGGAAACCAGAAGTCATATGTATATACACACATATGTGTGTGTATATATATACACGTGTGTGTGTGTGTGTGTGTGTATATATATTTACCTCCTCCCCCCACATCTCCCCTGTCCACACACACAGTCCACTCTTTTGTTTTCTCATCATCTGTAAGTCAAGAATTCAGGCCGACCTCAGTTGGCAGTTCTCATGAAATTGTAGTCAGATGTTGGCATACTGGCAGGTGCTGTGGTGATTTAAAGGCTTAACTGTGCTGATGTCCAAGATTACTCACCCACACGGCTGGCAGTTGATGTGGGCTGCTGGGAACTCAGCACAGAAAACTGATCGGAATACCTATGCCGTGGCCTTTCCAAATGGTTTGAACTTCCTTACAGCATGGTGGCCTAAGGTCAGCCAGGCTTCTTAAATGGTGGCTCAAGCCCCCAACACAAGTGTTCCAACAAGCAAGGTGAAACAGTACTGTCTTTTTTTTCTTCAGATGTAGCTTCAGAAGTCACATTACTTTTCCACATTCTGTGGTTACAAATGACTCACAAGTCTGCCCAGATTCAAGAGGAGGGGACATAGACTCCACCTCTCTATGGAAGGACAAAGAGTTGTGAACCTATCTTAAAAATGCCACAATATCTAAGCTTTAAAAACATTAATTCATGATAGTTCCAATCCAACTGCAAGATACACTATTTCCCTAAAAATGGAGAGACAGTGAGCTGTGCAGAAGACAATTCTCAGCTCAGGGACCTGGAAATATCTATCCTTAATATATTCAAAGAACTAGACCAGGGTTGACAAACTTTTTATGTAAAGGGCCAGGTTGTAAATATTTTACTCTTTTCAGGACACATGGTCTCTGTCACAACTCCTTAACTGTATGCAAAAGCAGGTATAGACAATTCATAAACAAATGAGTATAGCTGTGTTTCAATAACACTTTATGCATTAAAAAAAAGCAGTGAACACATTTGCTCCCAGGTCATAGTTTGCTGACCCCTAGGCTAGTTTAAGTGATTCTCCTGCCTCCGCCTCCTGAGTAGCTGGGATTACAGCTGTGCACCACGACACCCAGATAATTTTTTGTATTTTTAGTAGAAATGGGGTTTGACCATGTTGGCCAGGCTGATGTCGAACTCCTGACCTCAAGTGATCCGCCTGCCTCGGCCTCCCAAAGTGCTGGGATTACAGGCGTGAGCCACTGCGGCCAGCCTTAGACTGCTGCTCTTTACTGAGCTCTAGGTTAGCCATGGAGGGGGCATCACTTGGTCGTGAATTTCTATAAATGTGATGCCGATACTGACAAGTTTGGACTCAGTTAGCTCCAAAGCCTTTCTCTACTGGCCTCTGATATTGGCTAATTTAGAGTCTGAAGTTACTCCTAAACTTCCCTTGTGACTAAAGCTCTGGATACTCAGTGACTGTTCAGTCTTGGCTGGTTTACAGCAAAATCAGTCCTGTCAGAAGGTCCTTGAAGAATCTTTTGGAGTCATGCTTAGTGATGAGAATGAGGCAGGTTCAAGTCCAGCACTTTAGTCCCAGGGAAAAGTCTTGGTCAGATTAGAGCAGTTTCCCAGTCTGCAGAGCTAGAATGATCAGAACAGCAACTTTCAGTGAGAACCAAATGAGAAACCCAGCATCAAGATTTAGGGCACAATAAAAGCTGATAGGAAGACTAGGCTACCTCATTATTATAGGAAGAACATCAGAGGAATCAATGATCTCTCACTCAGGGCCTAATTCATCACCTATTCCTTTCGGTCAGTGTTATTGCCAGGTCTCGCTCTTTCTGGTTAGGAATCTGTGTTAGTTCAAAGAAGAGAGAGTGACATTTGCCTTAATGTCATGGACTTGTCTGCTCTATCTGAACTCCCAAGTTAAATGAGCTCCAGTTATTTATATGATCTCTGGGGTTGTGTTTCAAGAGAAGAAGTATTCACTCTTATTTATGGTTCTAACTTAAAGGCTAAGCTGTAATGTAAAACAACTGACATGTTACCCAATAGTTGCACACTATTATTTTGGCACAGAGTTTTATTTTTATTTTTATTTTCATGATTTCTGGGCAAGCACATACGGAATGGGATTTCTGCCATGGTCTTCCTCCTACAGTCCTGTTTACCCTTCTACTCTGTTCCTTTTGTTCTCTTTAATCACAGAGGTTTGACCATGCAGGTGTTTGACCATAACTGTCATTGTCTAACATGCAGACATAGATCAACTGTTGATATAATGACACATTTTGTGGCTCACAAATATATTGAGCTTCTGAAAATAGGCAATAACATTTAGAATGAAGAGAGAAAAGATCCAGCATGGCAGAGTGTCGGTGTGCACTGGTGACCTCTTTTCAGATTTTATGCTGCCACTTACTAGTATATGTGGCATCTGTCCACTTGTTTGATCTCTCTGGGTCTCAATATTTTTACCTGTAAGATGGAGGTGATTATACATACCACATAGAATTCTCATGAAGGTTACATTTAACAATAATGAAGTGCTTGATACAGTGCCAGACACAATATTCCCTCAATTAGTGGTAGCCATGATAGACACGATTAGTGTTCCATATATGCTCACCGCCTCCTCCCACCATGACCTCCATAAGGTTATGTGCTTCTCTGCCCCACTGACACTGAATGTTTCCAGATGACTTGCTTTGGCCAGAGGGATATAGGTGGAAATGAATTCTGAGTCTAAGCTTTAAAGGCACTGCATGTTTCTGCTTGATCTTCTGAGATCTGTTTGGTCATCACCATGAGAAGACTATACCTCAGGTAGACACTATTCTTTCTCCCAGGTAACCTGGATCCCAAAATGAGAACAGAAGAACCACTTCATGTGACTTGAACCAGATCTGAAATCTGAAGTGAAGCCCAGAAGAGTGTAGCTGAAGACAAGTGAACCTACTTGACCAGCAAACGCACATGTGAGCATGCTGCTGATATTTTTGGAGTTGTTTGTTATGCAGAAACAGCTAACTGATACAGCCAAAAAGAAAAACAAGTTAAGCCCACAATGAGCTTTCAGCCCAGACACAAGGAAGACAAAGGAGTGAGGGCCAGTAAAGCTAGGTTATCATTCTCTGCCAGAAATTGGCTGTATGACCTTTGAACATCTACTTTGTCTATCTGGCTCTGATTTCTTCTAATGTGAAGAGGTTTTAGTGATTTTAGATGACCCAATATAATATCATTTTTAGACATAAACTTTTCTGTACCTATGAAAGTATTATCCTATAATAATAATCTGTAACATTAGTTTAGAAACAAGAAGGCTGAAAGGAGCTATGATTAAAGTCAATAAAACCACAAATGACATGGATAAATTGAAAATGGCATTGTTCTTAAATTCCTGGAATCTTATAAAGAAGGATCATGAGATATTTGGAAGCATTAGATTTAGGACCAATGAAAAGAGCAACTTTTATAAATGAAAGAGTCTTTTGGAACTGTCTCTCACTAAGTTATCTCAAAGTGATAACACAAGACAAATATATAAATCTTCAGCTTCAAGAAGCTTTGAAGTCCAGGGGTCACAAATGAGTTTCATTGTTTAGTATTCTTTTTTTTTTTAAATAAGTTTCTTGTCAACATGTAAAAACAGGACTTTCTTTTGCAAGAGCCAAAAATCTGGCAACACAGATCTTCTATGAAAGCATGAGAATAATCATTTGAAGTAAGAGCTTTTTTTTTGATGGTATTTAAACTTTCTAATTTACTCTAGTCCCCGCCTGACCTGCATCATCTGCCTTGCTTCAAGAGGCCTTTGAGTTTATATCTATTGAATTTGGCAAATCCCAATGACTGATCCTGACTTGATATAAAAGGAGTCTTCACCAGTTGGACTCAGATATGGTTCAACTGTCTATGTTGTGTGAAATTTGACTTTTTAAATATGTTTTAATCAGTTCAGTTTGGGGAGGTCTCTGCTATGGAGTACACTTCAGTTTCCTTGTATTATCCTCCTGATAGTCATTATAATAGTCTTGCTGGCACACTGTGTCCTCTTAAGTGTCTTAAATGTTTGCTTGTAGCTATCCATTGTTTGTTAAGCAGTGTGATTATGACTAGGACAGCAACAAGGTCAATAATCATTTGACTAATCCACCATTGTGACTTGTGAATTCCATACTGAGACCAAATGAGTGTATTATGTTAGTGACAGAGTGGTCACAATTCCCAAGGTTTTTGGTCAATCTCTCAAAATTGAGAGGGTGAACAAAAGGGAGAAATTGTTAAAAAAAAAAAAAAAAAAGAAAGAAACAGGAAGGCATTGGCCTGACACTGTCTGCATACTTTGAGTTCCTACGTAACAGCCTGCAACTGAATTTAGTACACAAACAAATCAACACTTAAGTTAGGAGTATCATTTTTGAAACAGATAACCGAGTCTCAGCAACTGAGCTTCAGCCATTTCTAGACAGCCAACTGATTAGACCATGCCCAGATAAGGCATGTACCTACCTGTAATCAATCCAGTTGTTTCTGTACTTTACTTCTGTGTTTAGACTATAAAAGCTAATGCCCATGTTAAGCAGGGATTACCTCTCTAAACTTTTGGTTCTAGGTGCTGTTTAATTCACGAATCACTTTTTGCTCAAATAAACTCTATTACATTAAAAAAAAATCCAGAAGGGGTCTTGAGCATGTGAAAATTACCATTAATAGCTTTAAGTTGCTCTCATGAAAGGTAAACAGATCCTTTCCCAAGGAGCTCTTGGTAGTCTGCCTCCTGGAGAAACTCAGAGATCTGTTTATCTATGTGCTTTTTAGAGAGCAAGTTAGTTGAGGGTCTTTCCCTTTCAATGGTTGGAAATAGGATGGTTAACTTTACATCCAGAACTGAACCCACCATTAACTCAAATTAATCAATCAAAACTCCATTAGTCCACATTTTGGCTCATGGTACCACCCATTCACTCAGGCTAGAAACCTAAAAATCATTTCTGATTTTTAACTTTATTTTCTTCACTATAGCCATGTTATCAACTTCTCTAAAATCTTCCCTGTGTTAGTCTGTCCCACTTTCTTCTATTCACATGGCCACTGCTTTAGCAAGGGTTACACCTAAATTATTGTAACAACCAACTGGTAGATCTTATTTTTATGCATTCCTCGTATACTCAAAATTCACGTTATAGCCAGGAAGATTTCTACAACACACATGAATCTGCTCGTCACCCTCCTTTTAAAAACTTTCACTACTGACATGCCACATTGTCCATCAAGTACAAAATTCTCAATATAGCATTTCCCTCCATCTTACCTTGTCAACACTATCTTCTGCTGTTCTTGGACACATACCCTACACTATAGCCACTCTGACACAACTGTCAAATCAAACCCTTCATGGGTATGACTTTATTTTTTCTGATCTCCTTGCTTAGAATGTTTCATCTTCCATGGCTGCTCAGGAAACTTTAATTCATACTTGAAGCTTCTGCTCAGTGATCATCTTTTCTTTGATGTCTTTTCTGGTACCCTTCAATCACAAGTCAGACTTAATGGTATCATTCCCTCCTCCTTGCTCCAACAGCGATTTGAAAGTTTATCTTTCTGCAGATTTACTCTGATGGACATAATTAGTCACTTATATATCTTTTCCCGCCACACTATTGACTTCTGGAAGGCAAGATTAGGTCTCATAAATCATAGCTCTGCTATCCGTCACCATGCTGGGTATGTTGTAGGTATGGGGCAAGACTGGTGTGATAGTTTGGGGCTTTTCCTAGAGCCTTAGAGAACATCAATGTCTATTTCATCCTGTCCAATTAAACAGTCTCCTGAATGTTATCTGCACATTGTCACCCTCGGTTGTTTTCCCTTTTCCTAAATCTTTAACTTCCTTAGCTTTCTATCACAGTTCACAATGCTCACCTTACAATTGCCCACTCAACCTTGTCTGCAAATTGGAAGTATTTGGGAAGCTTTAAAAATATTAAGGACTAGATTTCATGCTCAGAAATATTGCTGTCACTGGTCTAGGGACAGCTGGGACATTGGTGTCATTCTAAGATGCAACCAAGGTTCAGGCTTCCTGTTCCAAGTCTTGAATTGGTATTTTCTTCCAGCTCCATGTGGCAAAGCCACTGACAAAACATTGTCCTCACTGTGTCACTGGCGGCTCTATGTTCTAGGTTGGTCATATCAGTATTAGCCAGCATCCCACTGTGCAAGGGGAATCAGATATGGGAGTTAAAATGTTAAAACTTAAAAATGAGGCCGGGCACCAAGGCTCATGCCTCCAGCACTTTAGGAGGCCGAGGCGGGTGGACCACTTGAGGTCAGGAGTTCAAGGCCAGCCTGGCCAACATGGTGAAACCCCATCTCTACTAAAAATACAATAATTAGCTGGGTGTGGTGGTGCACACCTGTAATCCCAGCTACTGGGGAGGTTGAGGCAGGAGAATCGGTTGAACCCAGGAGGCAGAGGCTGCAGTGAGCCAAGATCACACCACCGCAGTCCAGCCTGGAGAAACAAACTTAAAAATAATTTCAGTTATTCACTATCCTTTGAGTATTCCTGTTATTTTTCTTGATTTATAAAATAAGGCTTGTCCATAGGAAAATTTAAGCATCTCTTTGTATTCTGCAGTTTTTCTATCTCTTGAACATTTTGGTTAAGGGATCTGAAAGCTATGGCTCCAGTGTCCTTTCTAGCTTTTTGCTCTACAGAATTGCTGTGTTCCATTGAAAACAAGCATCCTTCACTTAGCATCAAAATCGCATGCTAAGAGACTTTTTAGCATCCAAATTGTACGCCAGGGTGAATCTGGAAATTGGCTCTCTACTGAAATATAATCAGCGTGATCCAGGGGTCTTTCCAGCTCCAGTCCAGCTGGAAACTCCTTTTAGGACAAGCATTGTGAGTATATGCCATATGTCAGGGAGTGAGGGCAGTCATATGGATGTGGAGGAAGAAAGATGAATAGTAAGAAGGACTTTCTGGAGGAAGGGAACTCTTTCCAAGCCTAGCTGACAAATAGGACTTAAGAAGGAGGTCATTTCTCTACATTTGGCCTCAAGCCTTTTTTATAGGGAAAAAAAATATGTTGAAATCCTTCTTGAATTTCATCCTTGAGTTGAACTGATGAAGTTCTCTTCCATAGTAGATAAAAACAGTACCTCCTAAAACCAAATTCAGAGAAAGTGAAAGGAGGAATTGGCTCCTGAGGGTGGAAGGAGCAGACACAGATGCATCCTTTGCCTTCAAAATTTCTTGAAGGAATAGAGGAGCTGTGAAAAAGAATAAATTCATAATGGCATGGAAAACAAGGAGGGTTGCCATTAGTAGATAAGAAAATTTGAGGCATTGCTAATGTATAGAAAGCAGAAATGATCAGATTTATGGAGAGACAAATTTGGAGGCAACAGCTCACAACATACGGGGGAGTAGACTGTGGCCAAGTAGACGCAATTTAAGAAAAATTCAAAAGCTAGAGTCAATAAAATGGAAAGAACCTTAGGAGTACACACTGAGTATCTTCAGTTCGTATTTGCATAATACCACATTTCTCTCTCCTTTTTATTGGGGATACTTGATCAGGATCCAGAATTCTTTATCACTTGTCTACCTCTGACACAGGTGAAAACATGTACATTGTTTATTCCTACAAAGAGAGAGGTTCTCAGTTTCTAAGTTGCACAGTTACTTGTGGACATTTAAAAAATATATAGATACCTGTGCTTCAATCAAAACTTCCTGAATCAGAATCTTTGAGATTCCAAAAATCTGGATTTTCAAAAATTTCTCAAGAAGATTCTGATGCATTGAGAGTCAAAGACCACTTTTATAAGACATTTTCTCCATACTACAGTTTAGATTTGGGGTGATTAGGCCATACCAAGATGGTATGATATGTTTAACATGTGTTTCATGACAATAGATAGAATGGAGAAATGCAAATAACTAAATAGATAACATAAGAAAACTCCCCAGAGTTGAATAAAGATATTCTTTTCAGATCAAAGGGCCCCCTGGCTACTAAGGAAGATGAATGAAGAAAGGGCCCATACATGGACACCTACTTCATAGTAAAATCTGAGGACATGAAGTATAAAGAGGACATTCTGAACACTTCAAGAGACAGCACCCTTAGCTAGGCATGCAGGTGAGCACCTGTAGTCTCAGCTACCTGGGAGACTGAGGCGGGAGGATCACATGAGCCCGGAAGGCCAAGGCTGCAGTGAGCCATGACTGTGCCACTGCACTGCAGCTTGGGCAATGGAGTGAAACCATGTCTAAAAAAAAGGGGCAGTGGGGGGGTATCAACTTACCTTGGGTGTAGCTAAAGTTGTGTACTTCAGAAGAAGAGATATTGCAAAAGCTTCATGTTTAGTACTTGTGACTCTATGCCTTAGTTTCCCTTCTACTGTAAAGTAAGAAAAACAATAATTTGGAGAGTTAAATGAGTTACTACATAGAAAATTATTATAATATGAACTGGCATGTAATAACTGTTCACTCAGTGTTTAATTTTATCATTATTACTCCACAATAAGTATGCCTTTTAAGGTTATTCAATACTTTTCTTATGCAACACCTGGAAGATATTTCAGTAATTCCAGGAAGAGGGGTTCCAGTGGTAACATTGTGTTGTTACTGTTGCAGCCATGCTTCTAGAAGTGAGTTAGACACAGTGGGAGGATGCATTGGATGCTCTCCATGGTCCTGCCCAGCATAGCCATTTTGGAGATTTTAAAGATGCTTCAAGCGTACTTACATAGACAGAATAATATAGAATTATATTATTATTTACTCTAAATATAATAAACTATTTTAATTGTTAGTTCTGACCAGAAAATACAAATGTGAAAACTGAAGGCAAGAATGTGACTTATTGAGGTACCCAGTTGACACCCATGGAAGCATCTGAGACCCCAGAGAAACCTGGCTTAGTTCCATGGAATGAGCCACAGATCCTAGTCTATGGCACAGAGTCTGTAGCCAGATTGAGGCAGCACTGTGGGAGTTTGGGAACAATCCCAGGAACTTGGCAGCCTGAACATACTCAATGACCTTCTTGAAACTGACAGTTCACTCGAGCTCCTCATCCTCCTCCATTCAGCCCTGCATCCCTCTTTCACTTGCAAAGCTGAAAAGGACAGCTTGAAAATTTATTGTCTGCATCTAAGACCCTCTGTCTCGCATGCTTATAGTCCTCAACATGAATGGAGCAAATGACACAAAAACTACTGTGCGTCAAAAGTAATAAAGAAGGTCATAGGAGAAAAAGGGACTGAAAAATTCTTTAGCCATTCATTTTTCCCAAATATTTTCAAAGAAGTCAGGTTTGATAAAACCAGGGATAGCAGTCAGGGGTCAGAGCAGCATTTGTGTTCTCACAGTGTCCCAGGGCTAAAATGTAGTTATCCCTAGTGATTTTGGAATACTTCAAAGCCAGAGCAAGTAGAGAAGAAGCCAAAAGCCATTCAGCAGTGCCAGTGTCCAAAATGCAAGGTCAAGCGTTAGTTAGTAGGTTGCTGTATTCAGCAAGGAATTCAGAGGCAAGGAGATGGAAGTAAGTGCAAACAATTGAGAATCATACTAGATTCTAAGCTTCTCAAGAGCAAGATATGTATATTGTTTACCATTGCATTCCCTGACTCTCATGTAGTGCCTGGAAAATACCCACACATTTATATAATGACTGATATGACTGATATAGTGATCAAATAGATTTTTCTTGTTTGTTTTGAGATAGGGTCTCTGTCACCCAGGCTGGAGTGCAATGGAGAAATCATGGCTCACTGCAGCCTCAACCTGCTGAATTCAAGCAATCCTCACACCTCAGCCTCCCAAGTAGCTGGGACTACAGATGTGCTCCACATACCCAGCTATTTTTTTTTTCTATTTTTTGTAGACACAAGGTCTCAGTATATTGCCCAGGTTCGCCTCGAACTCCTGAGCTCAAGTGATCCTCCTGCCCTGGCTTCCCAAAATACCGGGATTATAGTTGTGAGCCACTGTGCTTGGCACTCAAATAGTTTTTTTTTTTTTTTATTATACTCTAAGTTTTAGGGTACATGTGCACATTGTGCAGGTTAGTTACATATGTATACATGTGCCATGCTGGTGCGCTGCACCCACTAATGTGTCATCTAGCATTAGGTATATCTCCCAATGCTATCCCTCCCCCCTCCCCCGACCCCACCACATTTTAAAAGGGAAAATGTTGGGAGTTAAGAGAAACAGTATCTATTGTTCATGACTTTTTAAATGTGCTCACTGGCGCTTATTCAGTGGTTGAGTTGACTGTGCTTCAAGAACTTAGAGTGAAGCACAAACGTTCAATTTTTCTTTAATCTCCTGCTGATTTCCAGGTACCATGCAAGGCAGGAGTGATGCAAAAATAATAAAGACAAGGCCTTTTCCCTTAAGAGGGTCAAAACTTCACAAAACAAATGATGTTCTTGCTCTCCATTTAATATGTAGGAGTTTTCCAGGTAAAGAGAGGGAGAAAATTTTCCAAGAAGATGGACTTTTATGTTCTAGGACCTAGCTGCAAATTTCCTAAGATAGTTTCATGTAGTTAAAGTGTGTGGGAAGTGGTGGTGGTATATTACGTTTGTAAGGTACTCGGGCTTGAGCCAATTAGTAAAAGGACCTTATCCTTCATCTTTAAGTCTTACCACATTATGTTGGGGTTGATGAATAGCCATGAAATTATTTTAGATGATCTTAGTTTTTGTTTTGTTTTGTTTTGTTTTTAGACAGGATCTCACTGTCACCCAGGCTGGAGTACAGTGGCTCGATCTTGGCTCACTGCAACCTCTGCTTCTCAGGCCCAAGCAATTCTCCCACCTCAGCCTCTCAAGTAGCTAGGACCACAGGTGTAAGCCACCATGCCCAGCTAATTTTTTTTTGTATTCTTTGTATAGATGGGGTTTCACCATGTTGCCCAGGCTGGTCTCAAACTCCTGAGCTCAAAGTGACCCCCCCACTTCGACCTCCCAAAGTGCCCAGCTCCATCTTAGGTTTTGCAGCAATCACCCTGGGTACACATATGGAGAATGGAATGAAGAGGTAAGCACTGGAGGCAGAAAGACCAGTTATGGAATCATTTGTTGTCTCTGTAAGAAATGATGAAGTCCAGAACGAATTTCCAGAACTGGTAGTGGGTAGGAAATAAGAAGACAAATTTGACAGCAATTGGGAGTTGAAATCAAGAATTGGTGAGACACTGAGGATGACTATAAAGTCTGGAAATTAGGTGGATGGTGATGCTTTCTATTCAAGATCAGAACACAGGAGGTCAGTCATTAAGGTAAGGAATTCATTTTGATATATTGGGGTTGAAACACCAGTGGACTTCCAAATAGATTTGTCCTGTACCAGTGGGAAGTGTGAACCTGGAGCTCAATAGAGAGCAGCAGATGTTGGAATTCTGCTTTTCCTAAGTGTGCAACTGCGTGAAGGAGAAAAGCACTTTTGGGCTCTCTTCAGTCAGGTTTCGGGGAAGCTGAAGTTTGCTCCCCTCCATGAATATCTTAGTTCTGAAAATTTACGTCTGCTGTGTCAAATGAGGTCTGACTGCTAGACTCAAAGCCCAGGTGCTCTTTCTCATTGGCCAAGGACGATTCAGGGTCTGTTATCTGTTTCATATCCTTCACCAAGGGGCATAACAATGTATGCTCCTCAGTAGCCATTCATTCCCCAAATTTGTTCTCTCTCCTTCCACTCTTCCTCCCTTACCTGCTCTATTCTGACTCCTTCCCCAGCTCCTAAACTGAAACCTTCCAAGATCACCAAAGAACCAATTGTTAACTGTAAGGGGAATATATTGATCCTTTTCTTAATTGACCTCTCTACAGCATCTGAGTACTCCGTTTCTTACTGAAAATTGCTTCGTAACTTTCTTAATTGACATTTTTCGTAACTTTCTTAATTGACATTTTTCTATTGTTGGTTTTTTTTGTTTTGTTTTGTTTTTCTCTTAACTCTCACTACTTCCTTTGTAGTTCTCTTAGCCAAATCCTTATTCTCTGGAAATTTATTTTTATTGCTTTTAACGTAGTGGAATTATTTTTCTGATTTTAAAGTTGACAGATAATTACTAAAACTTTAAAGCAATGCCCAGAATAGTGCAAAGTGGACTGATAAAAATTATCCTAATATGCAGCTCCTGTAGATAACTAAGGCTAACATTTCATTTTTTAAAAAAAGTTATTTTATTTTATTTTTTAAGTTCCGGGGTACATGTGCAGGACGTGCAGGTTTGTTACATAGGTAAACATGTGCCAGGGTGGTTTGCTGCACCTGTCAACCCATCACTTAGGTATTAAGCCCAGCGTGCATTTAGCTCTTTTCCCTAATGCTTTCCCAGCTCCTGCCCTCCCCTGACAGTCCCTGGTGAGTGTTGTTCCCCTCCCTTTGTCCGTGTGTTCTCATTTTTCAGCTCCCACTTATAAGTGAGAATATCTGGTGTGTGGTTTTCTGGTCCTGCATTCGTTTGCTGAGGATAATTGGCTTCCAGCTCCATCCATGTCCCTGCAAAGGACATGATATCATTCCTTTTTATGGCTTCATAGTATTCCATGGTGTATATATACCACATTTTCTTTATCCAGTCTATTATTGATGGGCATTTGAGTTGATTCCTCGTCTTTGCTATTGTAAATAGTGCTGCAATAAACATACACATGCATGTATCTTTATAATAGAATGATTTATATTCCTTTGAGTATATATCCAGTAATGGGATTCCTGGGTCAAATGGTATTTCTGCTTCTAAATCTTTAGGAAATCGCCACACTGTCTTCCACAATGGTTGAACTAATTTACATTCCCACCAACAATGTAAAAGCACTGGCGAAGTTGCAGAGAAAAGGTTAACATTTTAATAGCCATCTTTTCTCCTCCCAGCCTGTCTCTCCAACGTGGACTCAAAACTGTCTAAACAACGATTTGTCCTTGATTTTTTTGGAATTGCTCCCGTTTTGGAGGCAACTCTACCAATCATGATTACCGAAGGAACTGTTATTTTGTATACATCTTGAAAGAAGATAACAAAATCCTCCTTCCACCTAACACATGTTCACAATTAGTCGTCCCAGTAGTGGGCATCTTGTATAGAAATCTTAGCTAGCCTTCAGAAGCAAATTAAGATCAAATATGCCTTGCTGAGTGGCAGGGAATGGATTCTTTGCTATATTATAAACATAATATGGGGGTTAAGAAAATGGACTACTTGTACTAGATTGGGGATATTAGGGAAAAGGCGGGAAAAGTCAGAAAAGACGGACAGTTTTATTTCACCCCCACAAAACACTTATTACAGTATAATTCATGTTGGATGAAGGATACTGTGTAAAGCACACTTGATTGGAATAAAAACTGAAGATAGGGGCAACATTGTAGGAAGATCCTGTCCTGCCGTGAGGTTGACAAAGAGTGGCCAGGAACGTGAGACAAAACACTGGATGGGTGTTCAAAGGGCACGCCTGATAAACTCTCTGTCATAGGCTATCAGGAAAATAGGTTCTTTTTTTATTTTTATTTTTATTTTTTGAGGCAGAGTCTCATTCTGTGGCCCAGGCCAGAATTCAGTGGCGCAATCTCGGCTCACTGCAACCTCTGCCTCCAGGGCTCAAGCAATTCTCCTTCCTCAGCCTCCAGAGTAGCTGGGATTACAGGCTCGCGCCACCACGCCTGGATAATTTTTGTATTTTTAGTAGAGACAGGGTTTCACCATGTTAGCCAGGCTGGTCTCGAACTCCTGAATGATCCACCTGCCTTGGCCTCCCAAAGTGTTGGGATTACAGGAGTGAGCCACTTCTCCCAGCCGGAAAATAAGTTGTTAATAAGGAGACTGATAGGCAGCTTATTGATTCTTTTAGGGAGTTGTATATTCAGAAGAATTCCAAGCTTGGAAGACAATGACCTGGACTTGCCTCTTCTCAAGGCAGCTCCTCCTGGTCCCAAATACCTACAATAACAGGGAGTATACTGCTTAGTTGACATCATTTCCCTGATAGGAAAATCATCCCCAATTCCCTCCTCACAGAGGTGGTTCCTAACATAACTAGGCAATGGAGATGTTTTCCTTAGGAAGACTTTAGGGTAGAAACATTTCAGAACAAGACACTTATTTTCCCATTATGAGATCTTCTGCCCCTGTCGCTTAATTGTTACAAACCATCCCTGACTGTTCTAATAGACCAATAGACCTGTTCTAATAGAGTGTTCTAATAGACCACCTGGTCATGATTTTGCCCCACGGGATATTTGGCAATGTCTGTAGTCATTTTCGATTGTCATAACTGGGGAAAGTGTTCCTGGCGTCTAGCAGGTAAAGGGCTGATGTAACCAAGTCCCCACAGCAAAGCATCATCTGGCTCAAAATGTCAGTAGTGTCAAGGTTGAGAAACCCTGCAATAGAGTGTGTGCTCTGCGCCAGTGGCCAAGAAATAGTTGGTACATCACTGTCATTTTTAAATGATAGTCTTTATTGTAGTTATGCCATTTTCCTCCATTTTTTTGTATTCAGTTTTGGATTTTTCTTATAATAATGGATAGTATGGATCGGTTAGATGTGGTACTGGAGAAAAAAAGATGCATCACCCAGAGAGCTGGATCTTGACAGCACGTAGGAAGTAGCTACTCTTTCCTACTGTGTTTCCTACTGTGTTTCCTGCTTGCGTTTGCAATGTTGTAGTTTTAAAATGTATGGGGGGGCCAGGTGCAGTGGTTCATGCCTGTAATCCCAGCACTTTGGGAGGCGGAGGCGGGCAGATCACCTGAGGCCAGGAGTTCAAGACCAGCCTGGCCAACATGGCAAAACCCTGTCTCTACTAAAAATACAACAGTTAGCTGGGTGTGGTGGTGCATGCCTGTAGTCCCAGCTACTCTAGAGGCTGAGGCAGGAGAATTGCTTGAACCTAGGCGGTGGAGGTTGCAGTGAGCCCAGATTGTGTCACTGCACTCCAGCCTGGGTGACAGAGCGAGACTGTTAAAAAAAAAATTATGGGAGAAAGTGACTATTTGTGTTTTCTAGGCAGCAAATGGTACAGTATACTGAATGCCAGTTGCTTTATTTGACTAGTTCTTCCATCTTGGATTTTCTGGGAATTATCCTCATCTTATAGAAACAAGCTCCCTCATCTCCCTCTCCCACTTCATTACCACTGGGAACAATTTTAGACAGTATGACATTATTATCCAATTAACAGTTATTAAACCAGATCTGGATTGGGCCAATCAGAGTGGATTCTTGAGGACTTGGAGTTGAGGCCAAAATATTCTAGTCTAGCCTGGCTGCTTGGTTGAACTGAAGAAATGCAAATTTGGAATATGATATTAGTGACAAGTTTTCTACCATATGGACTAGAAAACAGAAGAGATTAGTAGACTGAGCCTTAAGAATATCACCTGTATGCAGGGAAGAAAAGCAGAAAGACTGAGAGTTTTGACAATATGTGCGGCTGGCTCTGGCTGTAGTTCTATTCTGAGAGGCTGTGAGAATCCCCAGTGTCTTCATGGAAAACGCCCCTTTTTGCATAAGATGATGATTTCATCTTAAACATAAAGTTGTACATTTGTGATCAGACAATAAAATACTGAAGCTTTATTTTTTATTAAATAATATGATTTAGCCAGCTTTACAACTCAATACATTTACATCTACAAGGGCTGTATTTCATTTTTAATGAATATACTATAATTTATTTAACAAGTTCTCCTTACTAATGAGCATTAAGAGTTCCAACAAGCATTTCTACAACAAATATCCTTAAACATACTTTTAATATAAAGTAGTTGCACAACTGCCTTCTTCCCATGAAGTCCTTAATGTCAGATTGGTCAGATTGCTGGATCAAAGGTATTTTCATTAAAAATTGTTAGAATATTGTCATACTTCCCTCCAGAACAATTATATTAGTTTACATGTTCATTAACAGTGATTAGGAGTATTCTTTCTTCAAAATGATTGTCAATGTTAGGTTTTGTAAATATTTTCAGTATTTGTAATCTCATGGAAAAGGCTCATGCCACATTTAAAATTTTGAATTTATTTGATCATTAGTGAAAATAAGTATTATATATTTATTGGTGATTAGTATTTTTTATTTTGTGAGTTGCCTTTTCATGTCTTTTGACCAGTTTTGATTTAGGAGTTCACATTTTATCATTGATTTGTAACCAATCTTTACATATTAGGGACATTCACTTTTATCTGTGCTGCAACCTTTATTCCCCACTTGATACTTTGTTTTCCTTTAACTTTTAACCTTGTGCACATATATATGGGAAGAATGCAGGCACTTTTAAAACCCTTGTAGTCAAATTTCTCAATTTTTATCTTTTTTTTTTTGTTTCCTACTTATAAAAAGAAAGGCAATAACTTTTACCCTTATTTTATTTTTGGATTTAAATTTTTCATTTTTAGAATATTTGATCCACCATGATTTATTTCGACTTGTGGAATGTGTTGTGATGCAGTTTTTCTCCCTTGATTTCTGACTTTTTGGATTTCCCACCTGCTACCATTTGTTCCTGAAGTTCTTTCAATTCTGTCTCCAGAATATCTTTGGAATGCATTCCCTCATTCCACCTCCAACTTCCCCACCCTGGCCAAGAATTCATTATTTTTGGCCCACATTACTGCAACAGCTTCCTATCTGGTCTCCCTGCTTCCAATCTTAGAACTGTAAAATTCAGTCCCAGATGTTGCCAGAATGGTTTTTCAAAAAGAAACTCCTGGGGGACTTCTAGGAAAGATTTTGATTTGGGCATAGTCATTTCATTTTTCTCTCCAAGATTTCCATGGAAAATACTAGCTTAAGTAGTTTGAACTACTCTACAATATTCAGAATGCCACTCTGGCCATATTTTAAACATTTCTCAAAAATTAAATAAAAATTCCACTAGGACTCCATGCTTCAAAAAGACAGGAGATTTGGTAATGCCTTGTCTTGGGTCTTCTGACTTGAGACTCAAGGAATTACTGACCTTTTAAATAGCCCTCAGAGCAAGATGCATTTCTATAATATTGATAATTTTCCCCCTGACACACCAGGGCCTGTCGGGGGGTTGGGGGCAAAGGGAGGGAGAGCATTAGGACAAATACCTAATGCATGCAGGGTTTAAAGCCTAGATGATGGTTGATAGGTGCAGCAAACCATCACGGCACATGTATACCTAGGTAACAAACCTGCATATTCTGCACATGTATCCCAGAACTTAAAGTAAAATAAAAGAAATAAATAAGATGTAAAGATATGGGCTTAATATTCAAGAACTCCCTCACATATCCAAGTCTTCTTGCAGTTAGACACAGGCCACATGACTGGTTTTTGTCAATGGATTGTGAGCAGATGTGCAGTGTGACTTGTCCAAGGAAAAGCTCCAGGAGCCAACATATGGTTACTCCATGTCGTTGTCTCCCTCTGCCACAAGCCTCATATGGTCCAGATACAAACAGTCTACTTATCCTGCTCCCATAATGAAGAAGATGTGGGCCAGAGTTGCAGTTAACTCAACTTGAAATAGGAGTAAGAAACAAATCATGGAGTTTTGGGGATCATTGCTTCTGCAGCATAACTCAACCAGACTTCCAAGAGTCTACGGTGGAAACTACTAGTTTCCACCTCTTAAAGCCTGGGCTCCGAACTGGCATAGCTTACTTCTACCATACTCTAGAGACCAGAGAAGTCACAGCCTACCCCAAATTCAAAATAGTAGGAAGGCATAGATGGGGTGAGTGTCAAAAAGTCTGTGGTCATCTTTCATTTACCACAATCTGCCCTTTGGCCACAAATATATTCTTCTCTCTTGAAAAACACATTTACTACCTTCATCTTCCAAGACTACCAAAGCCTCACATCATCATGGCATTGGCTCATATTCCAGGATATCATAATCAAAATCAGGTCTTGGCATGGATGCAGGTCTTTGGATGTGGTTCTTTGAGAATGATTCCTCTTGATCTGAAGACTTGTGGATTAAAGAGCTAAGCTCTTTATTGCCCAAATACATCCAACATGTCATAGAAATACAGATAGAATAATCACAATGGAGGAATATGGGGTCCATAGTGATTCTGAAATCCTGTTAAGAACATGTTGCTTGTCAAAGAACATGGGCTCCGTTTTTCTCCCTGAAAATGATTTGCCATGGCTCTTGGTTCCATGCTCTGAGACCACTTTCTCGCATAAGATAGATCAGGTATGCAACTGAATAGCTGTATCTCCCTTTTTCCTTCCCAGAATAAGTTGGAGAGCCATAGGCTTCTTTTATATATATATATATAATATTTTTCTCCCTTTCTGTATAAGTTGCTGGTACTTCCACCAATTTAATCATCATACAAAAATAAATAAATAAATAGCCAGTTGTGGTGGCTCCTGCCTATAATTCCAGCACTTTGGGAGGCCAAGGCAGGAGGATCACTTGAGCCTGGGAGTTCAAGATGAGCCTGGGCAACATAGCAAGACCCCATTCCTACAAAAAATAAAAATAGCCGGGCACGGTGGTGCATGCCTGTAGTCCCAGCTACTCGGGAGGCTGAGGCAGGAGGATTGCTTGAGCCTAGGAGATCGAGGCTGAAGTGAGATTTGGCACACTACTGTAACTCTAGCCTGGGAAACAGAGCAAGATTCTGTCTCAAAAAAAAATTATTGCCGGGTGGCTCAGCTCGTGCCTATAATCCCAGCACTTTGGAAGGCAAAGGTGGGCAAATTGCTTGAGCTCAGGAGTTCAATAACAGCCTGGGCAACGTGGTAAAACCCTGTCTCTACAGAAAACACAAAAATTAGCTGGGCGTGGTGGCGTGTGCCTGTAGTCCCAGCTACTTGGGAGGCTGAGGTGGAAGGATCACTTGAGCCCAGGGGATCAGGGCTGCAGTGAGCCAAGATCATGCCGCTGCACTCCAGCCTAGGTTACAGAGAGAGACTCTGTCTCAAAAAAAAAAAAAGAAAAATTATCATAAATACTATGTGAGTTTTCTGTAAATCTTATTGGGTTTCACCTCATTAGACAAAAACAATACCCACAAATCTCTTTATGACATTTCCCTCTCCAGCTTTATTTTAGAGTCAGAATATTGTGAGACAACACCCTTAAGATGCTTAGAAACCTTTTTGTCTCTTTGAGAGGGTCCATGAGGCATGCCTATAAATCTTTCTGAGGTATTAACAAAGGGTCTCAGTTTTATCCTTGAGATGATCTGTACCCTGAGGCCATTTCTTGTGTTGAGATCATTTTGCTGTCTTGAGAGTCTGGGAATGAGGAATGATTTTATTTTTAAACATACAGGTCTTTGTTCCTTTATATTTCCTCTAAATTCTTATTGAAAGCTACAGAATTCCTTTTTTTTTTTTTTTTTTTTTTTTTTTTTAGCTCATCTGTCTCTATTTGTACTTTCTTACATGTAGCTAAATAAAACTAACTGGCACTTTCCACATTCTTCCTGGGAATCTCCTTAGCCAAATCTGTAAGTTCATCACGTATATTTTCTGCTTTCCACATTACCTCAGGCAAAAATGTTGCCAAACATTTTACCATTAAGGACACTTATCCCTTTTTCTCCAGTCTTTAATAACAAATTCCTCACTGAACTTCAAGCCTTCACTAAAACTTCTTGAGGCTGCTAAATCTCTGGGCTGCAACTCAGTCCTAAAGACAATGTGACATGTCTTAGTTTATTTTTATTTCTCCTTCTAATGGCAACACCCCACTCCAAGTAGCAAATTTTTTTCTGGTCTGTTTTTGATGTATTCCACGCTCCTCCAAATCTTAGAGGCTGAAAACAACAACCATTTTATTATGGTCATAATTAGTTGAGTTAGCACATAACTCAATCTGCACCAGTCACAGAGGCCAACTGGATCTCTGACTGTGGGAAAAAGAGCTCATGAAGACCCTCACTGAATTTGTAGCAAGAACAGTAAATGACTGGTCACTTTGTTAAACCTCTGAGATACGAGAATGATGCTTAAAACACACACACACACACACACACACGCACGCACACAACTACAACATAAGCCTATTTTGATAAAAATACATCTCTTCTTTATAAGTATCAATCCTATCTTTATTTAAAATTTTGGCATTTGTTCATTGTAGATTTTTCCATTAATTTTGATTTTTTAAAATATTGCATCAAAGGCCAGGTATGGTGGCTCACACCTGTAATCCCAGCACTGTGGGAGACCAAGCGGGAGGATTCTTGTATCCAGGAGCTCCAGACCAGCCTGAGCAACATGACGTTTTTAAGTGCTCAGCAGAGTATCTGAAACAAAGAAGACCACCGATTAATCTCTACGTTTCATGAATAAGTCACGAGTGAATATAGATAAGAAAGCTGAGACACAGAGAGGTTAAGCAACTTACTCAGAGTCACGGAGACTTATCTGTAGTGCTAGGACTGGAATCATGACTGCCTGATTTAAGTAAAGCTGTTAATCAGGCAGAAATCGCCCATTCATTCTCCTGAACTAAACTCACAGAAAGATGACCATTTATTCCACTTTAGCAATGACTGGTCATATGAGAGCTGCCTATAAAAAAAATCAAAAATTAGTCTAGCGTGATGGTGTGCTCCTGTAGTCCCAGCTACTCAGGAGGCTGAAGTGGGAGGATGGCTTGGACCAGGGGGGTCAAGGCTGCAGTGAGCCATGATCGCATCATTGCACTCACCCTGGGAGACAGAGTCAGACTGTGTCTCAAAAAAAAAAAGTGCATCAAAAGATGATTTATCTTGATTACTGAGTTTTTTTGAGGGTGCCCTTAAATTTTGCATGAATGTCGAGTGTTTTACTTGCTCCACCTTACTCCTGTCTCTGCCCTAAGGTGATGCAGATGAATACAGTTTTGTTCTTGAAGGCCACATGATAACTGTATTATCTATTATAACCATAAGGCTCTGAATCCTGGGATGTCCTGGCAAGAATATGATAGTACCATCAGAAGCATAAGGTGATGGAATTTTATGGATAAAAAGGATTTTTGAGATAAAATATCCCAACCCTTTCTGTTAGAGACAAGGAGACAGAAACACAAAGGGATAAAATAATTTGGCCCAAGTCATACAGCTGATAAATTATAGATCTTGTATCCAAACTCATTATATTTTGCTGGAAGTTTAGCATTCATTTCACCACAATGAAAAGGCCAACTCTAGAATCCTTTTCCTCACAAAAAGAAATCATCTCCTTGTTAAATTTCATTTGGGTATTCTGGGGAAAATGTTGAGAAATAATAAAAATCTGGATTTCTCTTTCTTATAACTCCAGAGCACGATTTTACTTCAGTTTAGTCTATAAATTGACATGGATTATGAGGTTGTGTGGTATTTAGCTTTATGGTAATTTCCTATTTGAATAGCTGATAAGAGTTAATTTATCCTGAAGACAACTAGAAATAAAATAATAATTGGGTTATAAAATTAAAGCAATAACATCTGTAGTTTCTACTACATTGAACATATTTGATGTAGAGAATATTTCAATTAGGCTGAAAAACCTGTGAATGCTTTTTCTCCCTTATATTCTCCCTCAAAAGGAAAAAAAAAGGCCTACAACCCTAAAAATAATTAAAACTAGGAAGCGTTTTCAGCTTTTGATATTTCACATTGAACTCAAGAGGTTGAGAAAATTATGCAACCTTGACCTTGGCTGCTCTCATATGACCAGTCATTGCCAAAGTGGAATAAATGGTCAGCTTTCTGTGAGTTTAGTTCAGGAGAATGAATGGTGATTTCTGCCTGATTAACAGCTTTACTTAAATCAGGCAGTCATGATTCCAGTTCTAGCACTACAGATAACTCTCTGTGACTCTGAGTAAGTTGCTTAACCTCTCTGTGTCTCAGCTTTCTTACCTATATTCACTCGTGACTTATTCATGAAACTTACAGATTAATTGATGGTCTTCTTTGTTTCAGATACTCTGCTGAACACTTAGGAAAGTGGAAAAGATTCAGTACCTGGTCTCACATAGCTTATGATGAAATATGGACACAAATATCCTCCTCACAAGATAAAATGTGATAAGTCACATCTAAATGGCATAAAAGAGATCATAGATAAAAAGTAGAGAGTTGGCACCTCCGCCTCCACTCAGTGGCACACCAATGTGAGATTGTAGGGGGGTGCACTGGGGGCCCAGAAGTGAGCTCTGGGAGCAGGTAATTGAGGATAACTCAAAAACAACAATACAACCAACTCAAAATCGGCCTGCCCTCTCATCTCACTGTATGCTGGCATTTCTCAAAGAACTAAAACTAGAACTATCATTTGATCCAGCAATCCCGCTACTGGGTATGTACCCAAAGGAAAAGAAATTATTATATCAAAAAGATACCTGCATTCATGTGTTCATTACTGCAGTGTTCACATTGGCAGAGATATGGACTCAAACTAAGTGTCCGTAAGTGGATAATTGGATAAAGAAAATGTGGTAGACATACACAATGAAATAGTATACAGCCATAAAAAAGAGTAAAATAATGTCTTTTGCAGCATCATGGATGGAACCAGTGGCCATTATCTTAAGTGAAACAACTCAGAATCAGTCAAATACTTCATGTTCTTACTTATAAGTGGGAGTGAAACAGTGTGTACTCAAGGATATGGACTGTGGGATAATAGACTCTGGAGACTCAGAGGGTGGGAGAGTGGGAGGGGTGAGGAATGAGAAATTACTTAATGGGTACAACGTACACTATTTTTTTTTCTTTTTTGAGATGGAGTCTTGCTCTGTTGCCCAGGCTGGAGTGCAGTGGCACTATCTCCACTCACTGCAACCTCTGCCCCCCGGGTTCAAGCGATTCTCCTGCCTCAGCCTTCCCAGTAGCTGGAATTACAGGTGCATGCCATCACTCTCAGCTAATTTTTTTGTGTTTTTAGTAGAAACAGAGTTTTACCATGTTGGCCAGGCTGGTTTCAAACTCCTGACCTCAAATGTTCCACTCGCCTTGGCCTCCCAAAATGCTAGGATTACGGGCGTGAGCCCCCATGCCCGGCCACGATGTGTACATCTATAAGAAACAGAATATTTATAAAACAAGTAGTTAATATTTAGGAGTTTATTGTTAGCTTTTAAACACATGCAAATTTATCTTTCAGTGTAATTACCTGGCTAGAGAAGAAACATGTGTAAGACAAAATGCCGATATAGTGAAATGTCTTCAAGAATTGCTATGATTACTTTGTCTTGGGAGAAAAAATAAAAATTGTAAGAAAGAAGAAAACTTTTAGGTTTGAAAGTGTCCTCTTGAGTGAAGGGGCAAGTCTAAAGCTTGTATTTAATACATAGGTTTCTTTTGTTTTCTTTAAAAAGATGTTTAATCTTTAATTATTATGGGTATGTAATAGGTGTGTGTATTTATGGGGTACATGTGATATTTTGAGGCAGGTATACAATGTGTAATAATCATAGTAGAGTAATTGGGGGTCCATCACCTCAAGTATTTATCATTTCTTTATGTTAGGAACATTCCAATTCCACACTTTTAGTTATTTTAAAATATACAATAAATTATTAACTGTGGTCACCCTGTTGTGCTATCAAATACCAGATCTTATTCATTCTACCTAACTTTATTTTTACATTCATTAACCATCCCCACTTTACCCTCCCCTCCTAGCTACCCTTCCTAGCTTCTGGTCACCATCATTCTCTCTATCTCTATAGGTTCAGTGGTTTTCATTTTTATGAGTGATAACATGTGACATTTGTCTTTCTGTGCCTGGCTTTTTTCACTTAACAAAATGTCCTCCAGTTCCAGGCATGTTTTTGCAAATGACAGGCTCTCATTCTTTTTTATGGCTGAATAATATTTCATTTGGGGTATCTTTTGTTTTTTGGTCACCATAATTTCCTTCATTAATCAAGATAAAAGTGTTGAGCCAGCTAGAAATAGAGTCCTATCTATGGAGTCTATTTCTCATTTAATGTGTTTAACTTAAGAGTTAACAAGACCACTAGAAAGTTAGGAGGTAACTTTCGATTCTGATATATTGATCCTGGGGCAGTTGGACCAAGGATGGATAACAGATGGAGAATCGAGAGATGGTAGAAGGCAGAGTTGTGATCTCAGGGATTATTTATTAGGGGTGCACATTAAACCTGTTTAGCTATTACTTCAGTTCTAACTCTGATTTTTTGGTTTTCCTCTTGAAAAGCTTCTGGAGTCAGTAACCCAGCCATGGCATAGCCATGGCACAAGAGGGATCAGTAGCTAACATCTCCTCTTTTTTTTTTTTTTTTTTTTGAGATGGAGTCTCGCTCTGTCACCAGGCTGGAATGCAGTGGCATGATCTTGGCTCACTGCAACCTCCTCCTCCAGGGTTCAAACGATTCTCCTGCCTCAGCCTCCTGAGTAGCTGGGAGTACAGGCATGCGCCAGCAAGCCCAGCTAATTTTTTTTTGTATTTTTTGTAGAGACGGGGTTTCACCATGTTGGCCAGGATAGTCTTGATCTCTTGACCTCGTGATCTGCCTGCCTCGGCCTCCCAAAGTGCTGGGATTACAGGCATGAGCCACCTCGCCGAGCCGCTAACATCTTGTCTAATGTCAGCTACCACCACCTCAATGGGGCACACCTTTGGCATTTAGACAAGAGTTGGGTGGAACTACAACTTTCTTCTTTAATCACCACCACCTTCCATCACCATTTCAAGAGCCTAAAAGTAATGATCACTTAATTCATCTGTCCGTGGAAGTGGGTTAGGAAGGACTGGGTGAGTCTTTCCATACTCCCTTATTCCTTAAGCTAATTTAGGGACCAACCTGGAACGGAGGTCAAGGAAGAATGGCATATCCTGAAAACCATGAGTGGCTCGGTAAGGCTGAAACACAGAATGAATGTTCCTAGTGCAGTGGAGAACCTGAGTCCAGTGAGTAAGGGAGGAAGGATGTATGATGTAGGAGAAAGCCAAGAGGAGCTATATTTGTTACTCTAAGGAGTTTTGTTGGAATCTGAAGATAATAGCGACCTTTGGAGGATATACTCCAGGAGACGGTGGAGAATCTTAGGAATGTAAACTTATTGAAGTCTTTCCCAACCGTGAGCTAGATTCAAAAAACAGTAGGCAGAGTTGACACTTTTGAAAAGTACAGTCGTTCCTTTTATGAGGTTTCATTGTGGTACTCCCTAAGTCAAGGTGGAGTGTTGGGTAATCTCTTCATGTCCCTCGGGAGTGCAAGGAAAAATGTCCTATTGACAAAGATCATGGCATCTTGGGAAAGACCATCACAATGGTTGGCCTATCTGTCCTCATGTTTGTAGATGTAATTAGGATGTGCTTAGATTTCAAGGATTGGATTGGATACCTGTCAAGTAATCAAATGGTTTACTTCATAAAAAATATGCTACCATTGGCCAGGCACAGTGGCTCACACCTGTAATCCCAACACTTTGGGAGGCCAAGGCAAGAGGATGGCTTGAGGCCAGGAGTTTGAAACCAGCCTGGGTAACACAGCAAGACCTCACCTCTACAAAAAACAAAAAAATTAGCTGGGTGTGGCAGCACGTGCCTGAGGTCCCAGCTACTCAGGAAGCTGAGGCAGGAGGGTCGCTTGAGCCTGGGAAGTAGAGGTTGAGGCTGCAGTGATCCCCCATCATGCCACTGCACTCCAGCTTGGGTAACAGAGAAAGGACTTGTCTCAAAAAAAAATTTAAAAATCCTGTCATTAAATTTCTTGCCATTCAACTCCAAAGACTGAATTTATAATTTTCAAAGATATAGAACCCAATGGTTTCACTGGACAAAAATAAGCACTTCAATTTTCCAACCATTTCCAATATCAAAACTCCTCTGGTCTTCATGTCCTCTTTCAGAATCCTCTGTGTATCCCTGCAAAGCTGCACCTATGATTGTACTGGTGTGTTTGCTACATTGTGTGCCTTACCATGTATTTTTTCTCCAGCATGAAATCAAACTGGCAAGACAGTTTTATGTGTTTTGTGATGAAGGATCTCTGGTGTGAGATTCCTAATATTGCATTTATCTTCAGAAGACCTATGTGTGGGCTAACTCCTGAGAGCATGGTATAGCCACTGCTAGCATCTTGCCTTCTATGTATGCAAAACTTTTGTAAAAGGATCCATAAACACACAAACTATCTCTGTACACAATGCAATCTCCCCTAGCTTTTCCTGCTCCCCAGAGTCTGTGCATGAAGGAGAATACTGCTTTAAAATGCAATAACTTTCTGTGACACTGTGTCATTCTAATAGCCATAAAATTACCAAAATATGGCATCTTCTATTGTTCTACATGGTCGCTAGGGAAACAAATTCATATGCACATCCTTTTTCAGAAAGCAAAACGGACTAAAGGGCAGGGGTTTTCCTTTTTATTTCAGTTTGTTGCTATTTTTATTTGGAACTTATCCTGTTTTCACTCTCTCCTTTTCTATCTCATATTGTCAAAATATAAGATGGTCAGTAGCTAGGACTGGAAAAATTCAGATGAATTTATAGTGTGCAGAAAACGGTTGACATCTTTTAAACACCTCCACAGAGTTAAAACTCTCCAGCTATTTTCCCTGTAAGGAGATATTCAGGGTTCACACATTCTACACCTTCATTTTTTCAGAAACAGGGTCTTACTCTGTCGCCCAGGCTGGAGTGCGGTAGTGCCCAGGCTGGAGGGCAGCGGTGTGATTATAGCTCACTGTAGCCTCAAACTCCTAGGCTCAAGGGATCCTCCTGCCTCAGCCTCCTGAGTAACTGGTACTACATGTGCATGCCACCATGCCCAACTAATTTTTAAATTACAAGAAAATAAAAGTCTTTTTAGAGATAGGGTCTCACTATGTTGCCCAGACTGGTCTCTATCTCCTGGCCTCAAGCAAGCCTCTGCCTTGGCCACTCAAAGTGCTGAGATTATAGGTATGAGCCACGGTGCTGGGGTGCTGGACCTACATTCTTGTTTTTTTGTTGTTTTTGAGGCAGGGTTTCGCTTTGTCACTCAGCCTGGTGTGCAATGTTGTGATCATAGCTCATTACAGCCTAGACCTCCCAGGCTCAGGCAATCCTCCCATTTCAGCCTCCCTAGTAGCTAGGACTACAAGTGCATGCCAATAATCCCGGCTAGTTCATTTTTCTTTTTTTTTTTTTGTATAGATGGGGTCCCACTATGTAGCCAAAGCTGGTCTTGGTCTCCTGACCTCAAGGAATCCTACCTCAGCCTCCCAAAGTGCTGGGATTACAGATGTGAGCCATCATGCCTTGCCTACATTCTCATTTTTAACAAATTACATTAATATCAAACTGAAATTACCAAGATTCAACTCTGGTTAATCGCTCCTCAAAGCCCTTAACGGATCCCCATTGCCTGGGAAGCACATCCTGGGCTCATTCTTTTCAGTTTCAGCTCCTTTAACCACGAGCTATTTGGCCTAATTCCTCACGACTTATTCTTGTAACACCCCATGCGCTCACCTGCCCATATATCTTTGTACCCTCAGTTCTTTCTGCCTGGGGTACTCTTCGGTCTAGTTCTTCAGAGGCAGACTATAAACTCCATAGGGGCAAGGATCATGGACCTCTAGTGTCTAGTCCAGTGTCTGATGTACAGTAACCATTCAATAAATGTTTGTTTACTGACTGCCTCAGCCAGCTCAAAAGTTGTCTCTTTCAGGCCTTATGCGGTGGCTTATGTCTATAATAACAGCACTGTGGGAGGCCGAGGCAGGCAGATCACTGAGGCAAGGAGTTCAAGACCAGCCTGGCCAACGTGGTGAAACCCCGTCTCTACTAAAAATACAAAAATTAGCTGGGCATGGTGGCATGCGCCTGTAGTCCCAGCTACTCGAGAGGCTGAGACAGGAGAATCACTTGAACCCGGGAGGCAGAGGTTGCAGTGAGCCAAGATCGTGCCACTGCACTCCAGCCTGGGTGACAGAGCGAGACTCTGTCTCTCACATACACACACAAAAATTATCTCTTTCTGAATTACGTCTTTGCATAGTGCCTTCAGTGAGTATCCAGGAGGGGCTGGAGGCAGTATATTCTTTTAATCTTTGTGTATTTGAAAATGCCTTTATTTTGCCTTCACATGCAAGGACAATCTAGTCAGATATGAAATTTTAGGTTATTCTTATTTTCTCTCTGCACTGTGATGATATAATGTTACTCCATTGCCTTCTGGCATCAATTGTTTGTTGATGAGAAGTTTGCTGACAGTGTAATTGTCATTCCTTTGTGGATAATCTGCATTCTCTTTTGTAGCTTTTAATATTATCTATTTTTTCTTGATATACTAAAATTTCTATAGGATGTGTATGGATGTGCATTTGTTTTCCTTTATACACCTGCATTTGGTGCATCTTTAAAAAAATCTGGATCATTCTCAACCATTATCTTTTTAAATATTGTTATTCTACCACTTGTGATATTCTCTTTTACATCTCCTATTGGACATATTTTGCAGTCTGTCAATTTATTTTCCATGTCCCTTAATTGTCTAATGAAAAAAAATTGTTCTCTCTCTATGCAGCATTATGGTTGAATTCTCAGTATTATCTTCCAATTGACCAATTATTGCTAACAATATCCAGTTTAGTGTTGATATCATCTATTGATTTAAAAACTTTTAATGACCATAGTTTTCATTTCCAACATTTCTTTTTCTTTTCTTTTCTTTTTTCTTTTTTTTTTTTTTTTGAGATGGAGTCTCGCACTGTCGCCCAGGCTGGAATGCAGTGACGCGATCTTGGCTCACTGCAAGCTCCGCCTCCTGGGTTCACGCCATTCTCCCGCCTCAGCCTCCTGAGTAGCTGGGACTACAGGGGCCTGCGACCACGCCCGGCTAATTTTTCATATTTTTAGTAGAGACGGGGTTTCACCGTGTTAGCCAGGATGGTCTCGATCTCCTGATCTCGTGATCCGCCCACCTAGGCCTCCCAAAGTGCTGGGATTACAGGCTTGAGCCACCGCGCCTGGCCCATTTCCAACATTTCTAAGTGACATTTTAAAATAGGCATTTTGTCCAGGTGCAGTAGCTCATGCCTTTAATCCCAGCACTTTGGGAGGCTCATTTGAAGCCATTGGTTTGAGACCACCTTGGTCAACATAGTGAGACCTCATCTCTACAAAAAAATTTTTTAAAAAGTAGCCAGGCATGATGAGGCACTACGACTGAGTCCCAACTACTCAGGAGGCTGATGTGGGAGGACTGTGTAAGCCCTGGAGTTTGAGGCTGCAGTGAGCTATGATCACGACACTGCACTGCAGCCTGGGTGACAGCCTGTCTCCAAAAAAAGAAAAGAAAAGAAAACAAAACAAAAAAACCTCAAAAAACAACAACCAAAAAAACCCATACACATACACACACACACACACATACACATACACATACACATACATTTTATTATGATTAGTGGCTGGGCACAGTGGCTCACACCTGCAATCCCAGCACTTTGGGAGTCTGAGGTGGGAACATCATTTGAGGCCAGGAGTTTGGGACTAGCCTCGCCAACATGGAGGAAACCCATCTCTGTTAAAAACACTAAAATTAGAGAGGTGTGGTGGCGGGGACCTGTAATCCCAGCTAGTCAGGAGGCTGAGGTAGGAACATCGCTTGAACCTGAGAGGCAGAGGTTGCAGTGAGCCAAGATCACACCACTGCACTCCAGCCTGGGTGACAGAGCGAGACTGTATCAAAAAAACAAAACAAAACAACAACAACAAAAAGTAATATTATCCCTTTATTTCTTTCAAGGATATAAAACATAAATATTTTAATGTTAACTTCAGATTAGTCTATTATTTTCATTGTTGTTATTTTCATTTATAATCACCTAATTGTTGATGATATAGAATTCCTTACTTAACATTAGATCTCGCGTATCTTATTATTTTGTACTCCAGGTTCATCTTTGGTGAAAACATTTTTTTCTCTCCTTTTTCCTCTGTGCTCATTCCTCCCTATTGACAATTGTGCAGCTGGCCCTTCAGGGGCCCCCAGTCCAGAACCCCACTTTCTCTTGTTGGGTGAAGGCTACTGTTGGTGATGTTGAGTGAACACAGATGCAGTTACTGAGCCATCTGTGTTGGCTGCTTGGCTGTGTTTAGTGGGGCGCTGTGTCTGATCCCTCCTGCCTGTCTCACTACCCCTTTGGTTAACTCTTAGCTTTTCCAGCTTTCTTTCAGAGGTGGTTACCTCTGTTACCAAGCAGTAACTGAGGCTCTTGTCCCCTTCCCATTGTGGGGAATGTTTGATTTTCATTGTATTGTAGAAGGCCAAACTCCTGGCTTCCTTTTGCTTGGTCCAGCAGCCCCATGGCCACCTTGGGTTACTGATGCACATACCTGTTATCTGTGGATGTTTTGTGGCTGGCGTGATGCAAGACTGGAGGGAGGGACTTTGTGGTTAAAGGGGATGTTAATTTTCCCACTCACTCTCATAGCATATGAATAAGGAAACCTGTTGCACTAATTGCCACAGGAAGTTCTCTTTTATCACTGTAAGAAAGTTACTATTGCCTGGGCGCGGTGGTTTATGCCTGTAATCCCAACACTTTACGAGGCTGAGGCGGGTGGATCACGAGGCCAGGAGATCAAGACCATCCTGGGTAACACGGTGAAACCCCGTCTCTACTAAACATACAAAAAATTAGCCGGGCGTAGTGGTGGGCGCCTGTAGTCCCAGCTACACGGGAGGCTGAGGCAGGAGAATAGCTTGAACCGGAGAGGCGGAGGTTGCAGTGAGCTGAGATCGCACCACTGCACTCCAGCCCGGGCAACACAGAGAGACTCCGTCTCAAAAAAAAAAAAAGTAACTATTAGGGCAATATGCCAAGTACACGAACACTCCTTCCTAATTTTAATTTTTTATATTTTATATGAATGTGCATTTTTGCTTATGACTTTTTATCATTTATCTTTTATTGCCATGTGTTTGGAGTAGCAGTAGGGGCTTCAAAACATGTACATCATAATTCACCCCTCTTTGACCAGAAGTCAATTTGATACTTTTTTTCCCGTTTCTTTTTGTACTTTTATTGATATATCATAGTTGTACATATTTTCATGGTACGTGTGATATTTTGATACATGTGTACAACGTGTAATGATCAAATCACGGTTTTGGGATTTCCATCAACTCAAACATTTATCTTTTCCTCTTGTTGGGAACATTACAAATCTTCTTTTCTAGCTTTTTTGAAATATACAATAAATTATTGTTAACTATAATTTCCCTGCTTTACCATCAAATACTAGAACATATTCCTTTTATCTAATTTTTTTTTGTTTTTTTAAGATGGAGTTTCTCTCTTGTTGCCCAGGCTGGAGTGCAATGGTGCAATCTTGGCTCACTGCAACCCCCACCTCCTGGGTTCAAGCGATTCTCCTGCCTCAGCTTCCCAAGTAACTGAGATTACAGGCACGCACCACCATGCCCAGTTAACTTTGTATTTTTAGTAGAGTAGGGGTTTCACTATGTTGGTCTGGCTGGTCTTGAACTCCTGACCTCAGGTGATCCACCAGCTTTGGTCTCCCGAAGTGCTGGGATTACAGGTGTGAGCCACCGCACCGGGCCTACCTAATTGTATTTTGTACCCATTAACCAGTTTCTCTTCATTTCTCCCCTTCCCTTCCTAGCCTCTGGTAACCATTCTACTCTCCACCTCCATAAAATCCACTTTTTTTGATCCCACATATGAGTAAGAACATGCGATATTTGTCTTTCTGTGCCTGGCTTATTTCACTTAAGATAATGAACTCCAGTTCCATCCATGCTGCTGCAAATGACAGGATTTGATTTGTTTTTATGGCTGAGTAATATTCTATTGTGCATATATACCATATTTTCTTTATCCATTAATCCCTTGATGGACATTTAGGTTGATTCCATATCTTGGCTCTTGTGAATAGTGCTGCAATAAACAGGGGAGTGCAGATATCTCTTTGAAATACTGATTTCTTTCTTCTGGATATATACCCAGCAGTGGGATTGCTGGGTCATATGCTAGTCCTATTTTTAGTTTTTTCAAGGAGCCTCCATCTCCATACTGTTTTCCATAGTGGCTATACTAATTTATGTTCCCACCAACAGTGTTTTCTCTGCATCCTCACCAACATTTGTTATTTTTTGTCCTGATATGTTTTTAAGTCTGAGACCTGTAGTTGATGCTCTGGTGAACTGCCTGGATTCCCTCCAAGACAAGCACTCCTTGTCAGCTGTCAATGCACTGAGAAGGCATTGCTCGCAGCTGAACTTCCGTCCAGGAATTTTCTTCAGCTGAAGGGAGCTGCCATGCTTAAGATCATGACCGTTCCTCAGAAGCTGCTGTATTCTAGTGACTGGTCAAGTGGGGGTACCGAGAACTGACCTCCTTGTGTCAATTCAGGACAGTGATAAAGGGCCAGCCTGCATCTAGCGCTTTCCATGGAGTGGCCTCAGGCCTCTGTTTCAACTGCATTGCAGTTCAACCTCTTACATTTATGAATCTTGCTTCACTTACTACCTCATAGGCATTAACTCCAAAAGCGCCTCCCATAAGCCTCCTGCTCACAAACTTCCATCTTAGCATCTGCATCCCGAGGAGATGAATTTTAAGATACCACCCTATAGGTGGAGAACATCTAGGTTTCCCTAAGGGCTTCTTCCAGCTGTTTCCCCAAAGTAGATACTCAGAAACATCTGTGGGGCCGGGCACGGTGTCTCACACCTGTAATCCCAGCACTTTGGGAGGCCAAGACAGGTGGATTGCTTGAGGCCAGGAGTTTGAGACCCGCCTGGGCAACATGGCGAAACCCTGTCTCTACTAAAAATACAAAAATTAGCTGGGCATAGCGGTGCGTGCTTGTAGTCCCAGCTACTCAGGAGGCTGAGGCAGGATGAACCACTTGAACCCAGGAGGCGGAGGTTGCAGTGAGCCAGGATTACGCCATGGCACTCTAGCCTGGGTGACAGAACCAGACTCACTCTCAAAAAAAAAAAAAAAAAAAAAGAAAGAAAGAAAGAAACATCTGTGGAATGAATACATGAATGAAAACAAAGCTGCCTGAATTTAACCTGCTCAGATTTCCCAAGCTACATAATTTTTCTTATTTTATTCTTTTTTACTAACAAAACTAGGACTTCCAAAGTCTGAGAAATTAATCTTGGGTCTAGGTAAGATAACACTCCCTCACTTTGCAAGTTTCTATTTTAATTGAACTTTAATGCTACTTGGATGAACTTAGCATGGTTGTCGCTTTTGTGATGCATTTGAAGATGAATTACTTGAGCACAAAGTATTAATGTGGAAGGTGAAGGCAGATAGCAGCATGATCAGGAACAGAGCTTGGGCTGTAAATTGAAGTTTGGCATCAGAGAGGAATGGCAGTGTTGGAGAATGACAATAAAAGTAATTCCTTTTCAAACATCACTGATGGTGGGACAGCATGGTAGCTTTACCTCCCACAAAGCTGTCTTGAAACCTTTGCTGGACACTATTTCTTTCCTCAGGATTGACAATTAAGATCTCCCAGGCAACTTTCATCTCAGAGGGCACAGTAAACTGAGCCTGCTCTCTGTAGGGAGGGTAGTGAGGTAGATTGATGGGGAAGCTCACATTTGGAGAAACAGTATAATGTGGTCAGGTGCAGTGTTTCATCAACATGTGGTCAGGTTCTGGACAGTTCTCTGTGAGAATATTTAAATGATACATTGCCATGTTTGCATTAATAATAATTAAAACATTAGCGTATTCTGTGTCATTGAGATGACTACTAATGGTGCACACTGTGGTTTACCTGCCCTGCATCGTATTTCACATATTTCACATTCATCTTTTTTCAAAGCTCCATATTTTCAGGTATTCTCACCTCTTACATAGCCCATGTTCTGAGGGCAGATTCTGGTTTCTTTATGCAAATCATGGCAATCTTAGTTCCTTTGTGTCTTCGTCCATTTAGTGTTGCAACAGATTACCTGAGACCAGGTAATTTATAAAGAAAAGAGCTTTATTTAGCTCATGGGTCTGCAGGCTGGGAAGTGCAAGAAGCATGGCATCAGCATCTGCTGGGTTCCCCGGGAGGGACATAAAACACAGTGGAGAAGGGAAAGGGATGTGTGCAAAGAGGGGAAAACCTGAGGGGCACCCTGACTTTATAACAACCCATGTTCGAGGGAACTAATCCATTCCCTTGAGAAATAATCCAGTCTTGAGAGAGCAAGAACTCACTACTTCAAAATGGCACCAAGCTTTTTATGAGGAATCAACCCCCATAGCCCAACCACCTCCCACTAGGCCCACCTCCCAATCCTGCCACAGTGGGGATCATATTTCCACATGAGTTTTGGTGGGACAAACAAACCATAGCACCTTGCAAGTAACTGTTTCAGAAACCTAGAACCTAGACTTAAATACATGAGACTTCTCTAGTGACTGTTAAAGGTGTGGGGCAGACACAAGGTTGCTAGGATGACCTTTAGTTTTGTGGCTGAGAATTTTTTTCCTTTCTTACAGGATATAAAAATGAAAAACCAGTTGCCCTAGTTGCCTCTAGTGATGATACAGGAAATTGTCTTGTTACCACGATGGAAGCTAATGTGAGTCTGCATGCAGAGAAAAGCAGAGTGAACCGAACCTCAGAGAACTTGAGACAGAGCCCTGATTTTACTAACCCAGGATCCTACCTACCTCTGACCTAATGATTTATGAAATAATAAGTGTCCTTATTGTTTAAACATATTGTGTCAAGGTTTCCTCTTACTTACAGGTGAAAACATCTTATTTGGCACATATCCCTATGCTCAAGTACTGTCTATGTAAATAGTTTATAATTATATTGGCACCAGGTAATTATTGGCACCAATTAAAGGCAGAATTTACCTTTAAAGATGTAGGTAAACAGGTCGGCCTCCCAGCAGATTGGTATTTTCAGTGCTAGATTGATAATAATGACTTCTGGTTAGAGTTGACTGGTTGATCACATAAATTCATTTCCTTTCTGTACCAACACTCTCCATAAAATGATAATAAATAAACAGGAACAAAGTCTAAATACTCAATGACAGGAAAATGGGAAGACAGTCTTCAGAAAAAAAGATTTCATCACATTTCTGGAAGATGGATAAAATAGAGGGGATCAAAAACTGGTGAAGCAGGATCAAGGAAGTCACTGTGCAGAGTATGTGCAGAAGGAGGTTCGGGTGAAATGCAGCAGAAGGAGGTTCAAGTGAAAGGCAGGCGGTATGCCCTTCATGCATCGAAGGGCCTCAGCAACATGAAGTACCAGCTCCAAGAGAGGGTAAGATGCTGATATGGAGCAGAAAACCAGGTGATATGGTTTGGCTGTGTCCCCATCCAAATCTCATCTTGAATTGTAGATCCCATAATCCCCAGGTGTCATGGGAGGGATCCAGTGGGAGGTAATTGAATCATGGGGGCAGTTGCCCCCATGCTGCTGTTCCCATGATAGTGAGTGAGATCTCATGAGAGCTGATGGTTGTATAAGGGGCTTTCCCCTCTTTGCTCGGCACTTTTCCTTCCTGCCATTATGTGAAGAAGGATGTGTTTGCTTCCCCTTCTGCCATGATTGTATGTTTCCTGAGGCCTTCCAAGCCATGTGGAACTGTGAGTCAATTAAATCTCTTTCCTTTATAAATTACCCAGTCTCAAGTACATCTTCATAGCAGCATGAGAACAGACTAATACACCAGGCGATTAATCAAAGTCTATATGCGAAACAGTCAAACTTACTTTACCCGGAGAACATAATGCCTAGAAGCCAGGCTTCGATTCCCAGACTTTGAAAAAAGGAGTATTCTCTTCCAGAGAAACTGGCAGCCTCCAGGGGAATGCTCTTTACCTTCTACCATTTAGAGACTATCTTAGTTTTTTCAGGCTGTTAAAACAAAATACCATAGATGGGGTAAATGATAAACAACAGACATTTATTTCTCACAGCTGTGGAGGCTGGGAAGTCCAAGATCAAGACATGTCAGATTTTGTTTCTGGCGAGGGCCCACTTCCTGGTTCACAGGGGGCACATTATTGCTGTGTCCTCATATGGTGCAGGGGGAAGGGAGCTCTCGGGGGCTTCTTTTATAAGGGCACTAATCCTACTCATGTTGGCTCCACCCTCAAGACCTAATCAGCTCCCAATAACTCTACCTCCCAATACCATCTCATTGATGATTAAGCTTCAACATACGAATTTTGGGAGAACACAAACATTTAAACCATAGCTGGGTTTACCAGGTAGTGGTTCACTTGCTTCTTAAAACTGGTCTCACTTGGAGCAAATTGGCAAAATCAGCAAGTTCTGTCCAGGCTACAGGGCTCTCACCAGATTTACTCGTCTTGTTCCTCAGCATGAATAAACTTCTCCAAATGGGAACCTCCAACATGGAAGAGAGGTGTCAAAACAAACAGGCACAGAAAACAATTCTGGAGGAGGCAGATGTTGTGCCAGGAACAGAAGAGAACATGAAATAAATCCTAAAATGTGTTCTCAGAGAGACTGGAGATGTTGCAATATTAAAACAAGCATAGGACACAGTGAAAATGTGTCCTAACCCTGTGCTAGGAAATACCTTCTAGATAGTAAAGACATGTTTGTCAGAACAGAGAATAATTCAATGGAAAAGTTGGAAGATTAGACTTAAGAAATCTCTCAGAAGTAGAGCAAGAAAACAAGGAGGTGATGGCTATGAGAAAGAACCCCAGAAAATCAATGCAGGAACATCAACATCTGATGAAAAGACAAATCAATGATGGGGAAAGGTATCAAATAAGTAATGGGGGAATTTTTCCAGAGTGGAAGGACCTAATACTCAAATTGAAAATGTACACCTAGTGCCCAGCATAATGAATACAAAAAAAAACAAACACTCACCTAGCACACATTATCACCAAATGTCAGATGGTCAGGGATAAGAAGAAACCTGAAAAGCAAAAAAAGAGAAAAATCCAAAATGAAAAAGTCAGCATCAGACAATTCATCCACAGCTCTAGATATTGAGAGGCTTTGACTTTATGAGGGAAAATCATACCAATTTAAAATTCTGTACATAAAGTATCAATAAACAGAATGGCAGAATAAAGACATTATCAGATACGTAGGCCCAGGAGGAACTCTCCAGGGAAACCAGAGGGTTCGACAGAATACTAAATTTGTGCAAGAGGTTGAACAAAATAAAAAACAAGTCCAAAGTAATTAGTTCCAAAAAATTTGAACTCCAGGCAAAAAGTCATACAGGAAAGAACATTTAATCATGGAGAGTAATAGCTGTGTGGTGAACCGCAGTTACACAGTCATAATAATGAAATCACCATTGATTTTCAATTTTTAGAATCAACGTATGATAAAGCTCAGAAGATTTAATTAACATTGTAGAACAAAATATAAATATTGTAAATTTGACATTGTGAAGGTAAAAATTCAGAAGACACTGGAAAGTGGAAACAGGGATAGAACTGAAGAGGGTACTTATATTATTATGTTAGAAAGTAGTGAGTACAAAAATACACTGTTTTAATGGAAGAAAAATAAAGGCTTATTATTATTTGAAATCAACAAACAAAATGGCACAACTTTACATCTTCTGCCTCTTACATTCATTTAGAATTCTGTTGGCAGGAATGAAAACAAAGATTGTCTTTTGCAATTGAAAGATATTTTTATGAAAGAAGATGTCAGCTTATGTTGTTATTAAATAAAGATTTCGATTGATGTTACCAAACAGTAACATATGACTTCAATTTTGACAGGTGGATGCAAAAATAAGAGAGGTGGCCATAATAGATCAAGGATGCTTTTGAATAAAGCAAGGGCCAAATCACATCATAGTGAGCTGTATAAAAATAGGTTTTGCAGGCTGGGCACGGTGGCTCACTCCTGTAATCCTAGCACTTTGGGAGGCTGAGGTGGGTGGATCACAACGTCAGAAGTTCAAGACCAGACTGGCCAACATGGTGAAACTCCATCCCTACTAAAAATAAAAATAATAATAATAAAAAAAATAGCCGGGCATGGTGGAGCGCGCCTGTAGTCCCAGGTACTCAAGAGGCTGAGGCAGGAGAATCGCTTGAACCCAGGAGGCAGAAGTTGTAGTGAGCCGAGTTCGCACCACTGCATTCCAGCCTGGCGACAGAGCGAGACACCGTCTCAAAGAAAAAAAAAAAAGGTTTTGCAGTAATTTATGTTAGGAACAGTTCACTTGCTAAAATGAAAAGAACCCTGTCTATAGTAATTTATGTCACACTCACTTAATGCGTGTTGTTTTACCAGGATATTAAATATATTACCATCATATTAATTTAACGTTAAACATTTTATTTGATGAGTTTTATGGTTTTGCTTACATTTAATTTGCTTTTTTTTTTTTAGTTATATGATAGCTAAATGCACTTTAAATTCTTATGGTGAGGCCAGGCATAGTGGTTCATGCCTGTAATTTTAGCACTTTGGAAGGCTGAGGTGGGAGGGTTGCTGCAGCTTAGGAGTTTGAGACAAACCTAGGCAACAAAGCAAGACCCTGTCTCTATATGAAAAATAAATGTAGATGAGTGTGGTAGTGTGTGCCTGTAGTCCTGGCTACTCAGGAGGCTGAGGTAGGAGGACGGCTTGAGCCCAGGAGGTCGAGGCTGCAGTGAGCCATGATTGTGCCACTGCACTCCAGCCTGGGTGACGGAGTGAGACCCTGCCTCAAAAAAAAAAAAAAAAAAAAAAAAAATCAAATGGAGAACTAAGGAGAGACCCAAGTGGACAGCACTTTTTCTTTGCTCATTTTCTCTCTACTGTCCCCATTGCTGATCTAGCAGGAATTTGGCTCAGCAGGTTGGAGTAAGCTCAGTGGTAGGACTGAGACCAGAGCCAAGCTGCTCCTCCCGACACTTCGCTAAGCAAAAGCACCATTGTTGTGCACTTGCGTAGGTCCTTGCTACTTATAGTGTGATCTGTGATCTGTGGGCCAGCAGCCTTGGCCTCCCCTGGAGAATTTTAAGAAATGCAGCCTCTTGGACCTCACCCCAGTCCTACTGAATCAGAATCTGCATCTTTAACAAGGTCTCCAGGTGATTTCCCATGCAAATTAAACTGAGAGACTGGCCCTCCTTTTTCCCTACAACTGTGGACCCAATGCAGGGAAAAGCACCTGTCTTAATAGACTTCTCATCCATGGCACCTCCATCCTAGCTCAGCTCAGACTATGCACTCCTTCTCTGGGGATCATATGTGATCTGTCACTTCTCTACTTGTGTTTCTTGATAAACTCTCTCATGGCTGAGGCCCCTTTCTCCAATATGTGGTGGATGTTTGTTGTTTTCTTCTGTCCAGATTCCTTATCTGTAAATCAGAAGAATAATATTGCTTTTCTCCTAGAGCTGTTGTGAAACTTACACATAATCATCTCTAGAAAGCACTCAGCATAGAGTAACATCTCAATAAATGTGCTTGTAATGATTGGCTGTTATCAAAGAGTCCCAAGTGAGAACACTCAGCAGGAAAAGCCTCAGATGTTAATGGTCTCCAGCCCTAGCTGTCATCAGCTTCATTTCCCTCGTCAATAGCTCATTACTTGATTGTCGAGTCACAGACGCTATAAGCTCCACACCATCACACCGAATAATAACAATTATTGCAGGTCTCATGTGTAAAGCATTGCAGAGCTGATATCTCTTTAATCCTGAGAGGGTTCTGTCTGTTGGAGATGGTGGTGGTAGGGAACAAGGCTGTGTTAGGGGGAAGATGGTCCGTCTTACCCTCATAGAACAGTGTAGTTTGTCTCATGAGCATCTAAACCATCTTGCCCTGTGTCCTGATGTTTTATAAAGCTCAAACAACTCTTTTCCTTTTTTTGCCTTCAACCCATTTATTTTTAAAATTTTTAAATTTTTTTTGCAGAGATGGGGTCTGTGTTGCCCAGGCTACACTCCAAATCCCAGCACCAAGTGATCTTCCTGCCTCGGACTCCCAAAGCACTGGGATAATAGACTTGAGCCACTTCACCTGGCCCTTTCCCCCATTTCTTAATGCACTGCCTTCTCCTTAGAGACTCAGGCATGTAATCATATGAGCTGCCGCACAAATCTCATATGCTGCACTAAGGAAGACCCTTTTCCCTATGCCCCCCTCCCACCCACAAATTGAAGCATCGTAAGTGAACAAAACCCTTTTCCCTTGGGACCGTCTTCCTAAGATGGCCACTCTCTCAGGTTGATCCGTAGTTCCTTGAACAGACTTCCAGAAGCCCGTCTCTATCAAAACTGCAAACATAACTTACCATGCCTGGCATCCCGGGAGTGGCAGGGCTTAATGTCCATACAGGACCCATATATACTTGAAATGACTAGTTCTATTGAATCTGGAAAAGAGAAGACATGGGAGGATATGAGTGTGATCTCTTAATCTTGAAAGACCGTAACGAAAGAGAGATTCAACATATTCTGGATGGTTTTGGAAAGCATTCCCAGGAAAAATGGACAGGGAAGTAATAAAAAGAAGGGAAACTACCACTGTGACCCTCTTACTTACCCTGTGGCAGGTACAATACACTGACCCATGTTACCACATTTAGTTCTCTAAACAAGACTTTGTTTAACAGATGAGAAAACCATGGCTTACACAGGCAGAGCGACCAAGCTGGAATCTAAACTCATTTGTTTTACTTTGAAATCCCCATCCTTTCCACTATGTTATATGGCTCCTTATTATGAAGGCATCTGATGGGTGATAGAAAATTCCCTGTCATGGAAAGCATTCAAACAGAGGTTGGAGGCTGGGAGATCTGCAGTGAGGTCAAGGACACATGACGATTGGAACCTGGGGGTAGTTCCTAGAGCAACACCATAAAGCAGTGCTACCCAACCTTTTGGGCACCAGGGACCAGTTCCATGGAAGACAATTTTTTCATGGATCAAATCGTTGGGGGATGGTTTCAAGATGATTCAAGTGCATTACATTTATTATGTGCTTTATTTCTATTATGATTACATTGTAATATATAATGAAATAATTATACAACTCACAATAGTGTAGAATCAGTGGGAGCCCTGAGCTTGTTTTCCTGCAACTAGATGGTCCCATCTGGGGTTGATGAGAGGCAGTGACAACTCATCAGGCATTAGATTATCATAAGGAGAGCACAACCTAGATCCCTCGTATGTGCAGTTCACAATAGGATTCACACTCCTTTAAGAATCTAATGCTGCCTCTGTTCTGAAGGGAGGTGGAGCTCAGGAGGTAATGTGAGCAGTGGGGAATGGCTGTAAATACAGACGAAGCTTTGCTTGCTCACCACCCACTCACCTGCTGTGCAGCCTGGTTCCTAACATGCCATGGACCGGTACTGGTACCATGGCCCCGGGGTTGGGAACCCCTCCCATAAAGCAAGTGGACTAGGAGGTTATCAATTCCCAACAAGGCAAGAGAATAAGGATGAACTGGCCGGGCACAGTGGCTCACGCCTGTAATCCCAGCACTTCGGGGGGCTGAGGCGGGTGGATCACTTGAGGTCAGGAGTTGGAGACCGGCCTGACTAACATGGTGAAACCCCGTCTCCACTAAAAATACAAAAAATTAGCTGGGCATAGTGGCAGGTGCCTGTAATCCCAGCTATTCAGGAGGCTGAGGCAGGAGAATTGCTTGAACCAGGGAGGCAGAGGTTTCAGTTAGCCAAGGTCATGCCATTGCACTCCAGCCTGGGCAATAGGAGCGAAACTCCATCTCAAAAAAAAAAAAAAAAAAAAAGAATAAGGATGAACCAAAACATAAAGCTCAAAGTATGCAGAAGCACAGCAGGCTGATTCGTAGTGAGATGCATTGGAGAAAAGGTGAAGGAAGAAGACCCAGAGTTGAAAACCGACAGTCCACAGGCCAAAACCTTCCCAAAACAGTGTTGATTCCTTTGTAGTTAATTGCCAACATCTAAAAAGTGGTAGCTTTCACCTACAAATCCAGATTTCAAAACTTGTCTTGAAAAAATAGAAAGATCTGGCAGTCGTGGGCCAGCATTCTGCATGGAACAGCCGATTGGTGGCTGGGTCTACGGGAAGGGTACAGAGGCTCCTGGTCATAGGCTTCTGACACCTTAGACATCTTACACCAAGCCATCTTTCCTTGTTTGCATTATCTGCCTGGACTCTAAAAATAACCAGAACAATTTATGTTTTCTGCTGCCATGTAGGAGCTTAGCTTAGAAAGAGCCAGACTGCTTTTGAGGTGCATCTAACATTCCCTATGGGAGAATAGGACTGGAAGCTACAATACACAGAGAGTCTGAAAGACAAGTTGTTAGGATATTTGCACTGCTGCAAAGCAATTACTAGATAGAATGTAGGAGCTTGTTCCCAACAGTGGGCTATGTTTACACAGTGGGTGAGTTTAAACAAGGAAGAAACCAAAATAGGTGAGAACTAGGGCCACAGCTGCCTATTTTCCTAGCCACTGCTGCCTGAGAACTACATCAATATTATCCTAATGAGAAGACATTGATAGTTATCATTAAAATTGTACTTTAGATATTACAATTTCAGTGGGAAGCATTGAGAGAGAAGTGAGAGAGAAAGAGGCAAACTGCATGAAATGTATTCTATAGCATGGGTTTAGTTATTTCCACCTGGTTGTTTTTGTAAAACTCTGACTTTAAAAAGAGCACTCTAGGTTTTGATAAGATGAGTGATAAAGTTTGGGTATTTGTCCCCTCCGAATCTCATGTTGAGATGTGATCCCCAGTGTTGGAGGTGGGGCCTGGTGGGAGGTGTTTGGGTCTTGGGGGTGGATCCTTAATGAATGTCTTGGTGTCATCATCCTCGTGGTGATGAGTGAGTTCTTACTCTGAGTTCAGCGAGATCGAGTTATTTAAAAGAGGCTGGCACCTCCCACCTCTCATTCTTGCTCCTGCTCTTGCCATGTGACACACCAACTCCCCTTCCTTTCCACCATGAGTGGAAGAGGACTGAGGCCTTCACCAGAAGCAGATGCTGGTGCCATGCTTCCTGCACAGCCTGCAGAACGGTGGGCCAAATATACTTCTTTTCTTTATAAATTACCCAGCTTTAGGTATTTCTTTATAGTAACACAAGAATGGACTAACATGGAAAATTGATATCGAGGAGTGGGGCATTGCTATAAAGATACTTTAAAATGTGGAAGCAGCTTTGGAACTGGGTAATGGGTAGAGGTTGGAAGAGTTTGGAGGGCTCAGAAGGAGACAGGAAGGTAAAGGAAAGTTTGGAACTTCTTACAGACTTAAGGACTTAAGTAACTGTGACCAAAATGCTTAAAGGAATATGGACAGTGAAGGCCATGCTGATGAGGTCTCAGATGGAAATGAGGAACTTATTGGGTACTGGAGCAAACGTCACCATAACAAAGAGCTTGGCTAAATTGTTCATGTCCTGGGGATCTGTGGAAGTTTGAACTTAAGAGTGATGACCTGGGGTATCTGGCAGAAGAAATTTCTAAGCAGCAAAGTGTTCAAGAGGTGGCCTGGCTGCTTCTAACAGCCTATGATTGGTGCCCAGACAGGAAGGCTGGAGGCATCTTCCAAAACAGTAGTGGCTCTTTGCTTCCAAGCAATAAAAACTAACACCAGCAAACAAAAACCAAAAGGTTTATTGGAAGTATATTGAGTACTTGTGGATGGATGGGAAGGCTGGAAAATGGGAAATAGAATTATGGGTAAGCACCCAGGAATCCCTGCGGATAAAAATGTAAGCAATTCTGAAGGGTCCAAGAACCAGGGACTTCCACAAAGTCCCCCAAAGAGTGCCAAGCTGGAATAGATGAGTTCAAACATTTTGAGCTATTGTGTTCTCCTAATTCCAGAGAGGGAGTTTACTAATTAGCCTAACCTAGGTCAAGGGAAACTGGATTGTACGTTCGCATGTAAGCTTTATGAAGTCAGAAGTGAGAAGACAACAACTATTATCAATCAATGTTTTCAACAGCCAGGTCAGTGTCTGAAACAAAGATCTTCAATAAATATTTGTGGAATGAACCAACGAAGGAGTGACAGCACGTTTCCACCCTTTGACCAGGGTAAAATAAAGCATCTGGAAAAAAAATCCCCCATATCCAAAGCCCAAAGGAAATCAGGGTAATATCACAAGAGTAGTGAATTGAATGGGCAGCCAATAGAGGGGGGTACATAGAGAAGTACTTTTGATTTCCCAGCGAGGTTTAGATGACAAATGTGGAAAACTTCAAATCTCTCCCAGTGTTTTTCACATTTCAACATAGCAATGAGGAATCAAGGTCATATGGTATCTAAATCCTTTCTTGCTTTCTTGCCTACACAATGGTGACCAGATTTGGGGTGCTGTTGACTGTTAACCCAAGGACCCATATCTATCCACCTGTTCTTGTTCTGATGAAAAAGGTCATATGCTGGTGGCAACCATGCCCTGAGTGAGTTCCCTGAGATGCAAGCACATCTCCAAGAACATGCCATATGTACAAGAGGCTGTTCCAAGGAGAAGCAAATTTGCACATCCCACTCAAAGGGGGGATGGCAAGGATGGGTGTGAGAAGCCCCCAGGTTTTCTGCTTCTTCTCTGAGGTGCTTTAGGAAGGAGCACATGTCTCATTTCAAAGGATCAAGGAAAGAACATCACCTGGGAAATGGGAAATGGTCAAGAAGGCTCGATTATGAAGCAGCTTCAGTGTTGATTATGAAGCAACGCAGCTTTCCTAAGTGGATCCAACTGCTCGTTGCTTTTACAGTGCAAGCCATTCATTTTGCCAGTTGGTCTTTACCATGGTAGCTCTTAAATATCTTGTCTTGTGAGGTCCTTAACACACTTAATGTGTGAGTCTCCTACCCTCAGTTGGAGCACAGGCTAGGACTGGCCTTTCGAACGTTCCTTATAACAAAAGCAGGTCTAACGTTTCACCTCTACGTTCGCTGTAAGTTGGAGCCCTTTGTAGTGTTTCTATTACTTGGGGTTGGAAGCATTGATGCTGAGTGTTTGGGATGAACCTGTCTGGAGAGGAAAGGGGAACAAAATGTCTAGGATAGACCTAGAGCAGAGGTCAGAGGGCCCTTGGTCCTAATCTGACTATATGCATTTTCTTTTTTCATCCCATATAGAATTAACTTTATTTATTTATTTATTTTGAGACAGATTCTTGCTCTGTTGCCCAGGCTGGAGTGCAGTGGCGTGATCTCGGCTCACTGCAACCTCCATCTCCCAGGTTCAAGCGAGTCTCCTGCCTCAGCCTCCCGAGTACTGGGATTATAGGCACGTGACACCACGCCTGGCTAATTTTTTGTATTTTTAGTAGAGACGGGGTTTCATTGTGTTAGCCAAGATGGTCTCGATCTCTTGACCTTGTGATCCGCCCGCCTTGGCTTCCCAAAGTGCTGGGATTACAGGCATGAGCCACCTCGCCTGGCCAGGATTAACTTTTTACAATGTTATTTTTGGAGTCTTCAAAATTGGGAGGCTTTACGTACAAATCTGGATTTCCAATTTGTCTTGAAGCTGTGCAAAGTCTTATGATACTAGGCTTTCCCATAAGACAGTAGAGCTGAGCTGAGCAGTGGCTGCCCGCTTTGGGCAGGGCCTGAGCTGCCGAGTGGAGGCTCCAACAGCTTTGATCACAACGTAAAGTTTGTATTTGTAGGCAGTATCCTGTAGGTGTATGAGTTTGCAACCCTGAATCTACCTTTATTTCTCATCGGGAATGCCTGAGGTCTTAAATCTCTAGACTTTTCTTTGCCCTTTTGGATGTGGCTAGAGACTATTATGGGATATGAATGGGAGGCCGTTAGTGACTTGTGGGCAGACTAGGAAGATGTAACATGGGGCTTGGTGTCTGCATGCTTTAGGGAAAGTTAATCATAATTTGAGTTCATCTTGGTGACTCTTATTGTCTGCTCTCAAGTTTTTGAGCAGAGGTTTGGTTTGTAGATAGAGCCTAAATCACCTTACTATGTGAAAGGTCAGATTGTAAAAGGCCTTGAATGCTACACTAAGGGTTTGTATATAGACAATAGGTTTGAAAACACCAAAATATCCCAAGCTCTGCTGCCCTGCATGTAGTGCCAGGCTACGTGATGCCAATCCTTGTGTTGGGAGCTGGCTGCTCCCCACTGGAGCCCAACAGGGCCATGGGGAATGAATCACAAAGCCAGGGATCAACCGTCCACAGAAAGACCTTAAAAAAAAGTAGACCATTTTTTTAAAAGTTTATACTTTCATAACATTTTGTAGAGACAGAAACCCACTCTGCCACCCAGGCTGGAGTGCAGTGGCACAATCATAGCTCACTGTAGTCTTGAACTTCTGGGTTCAAGTGATCCTCCAGCCTCATGCTCCAGAGTAGCTGGGACTACAGGTGCATGCCACCACACCTGGCTAATTTTTTATTTCTTATTTTTTGTGTAGATGGGGTCTCTCTACGTTGCCCAAGTTGGTCTCAAACTCCTGGCCTCATGCAATCCTCCTGCCACAGCCTCCCAAAGCACTGGGATTACAGGAGTGAGCCATCACACCTGAACTCTTTTGTAAATTTTGACCCAGAGTCTTTTCTTTTGTGAACGTATGTCACAGATACTGATATATGTGCACAATGACACATGTGTGACCTGTTTGTGGCAACAATTTTAATACCAAAGACTGAAAACAAAATAAGCCCCTATTGATAGGGAAGCTGATCTAATTATGACACAGCCACACAACTGAATACTGTGCCATTATAAAGGACTAAGATGTCTATGGGCTTATGTGGAACGATCTTCAAAGTATATCTTAAGTATAATTTAAAAATTGCAAGGTGCTGGCCAGGCACGGTGGCTCATGCCTGTAATCTCAGCACTTTGGGAGGCCGACGAGGGCGGATCACTTGAGGTCAGGAGTTGGAGAGCAGCCTAGACAATATGGTGAAACCCCGTCTCTACTAAAAATACAAAAATCAGCCAGGCATGGTGGTGGGCGCCTGTAATCCCGGTAACTCGGGAGGCTCAGGCAGGAGAATCGCTTGAACCCAGGAGGCGGAAGTTGCAGTGAGCCGAGATTGCGTCATTGCACTCCAGCCTGGGCATTGCAGCAAGAATCTGTCTTAAAAAAAAAAAAAAAACTGCAAGGTGTTGATTAGTATTTTTACTGTGTTTCCATTTATTTAAAAAACGTGCAGATGCTTATTTTTGTATAAGGTAAACACTTACTTTGTATTTTTGTATCTTGAGGAGGTCCACAGCAAGTGCTAGGGCACCGGAGTTGAGAGATAGACGTTCTTTTCATTGTACATCTTTATGTATTGTTTGCTTATTAGACCATGTTGATATATGTTATTCTTTTTCGATAATAAAAATCGAGTTGTGTGCATGTAATTTTGAGTTTCATTTCTCCTGGAGGCTCCTAAGTTCTTTTTTCTATGAGCTGCAGTAGTTTTGAAGGAAGAATCCCTAGTCCTGTTTTCCTAGCAGGACAGAGCAGGTTGTCCTGGGCCCCTGATGAGAGCTGGGATTCATTTCCTGGAATTCTGGGTGAGAACAGTGGCCAGCTGCTACGTGGGGCTTTGGGGAGCTGCTTAGCAAGTGGGCAGGAAGGATACAGGGCCAGAAAGCAATTCTGTGCTGCTTTTTGCATCTCACCTTGTATAATATTTTCAGCCTGACATGTCCCCTTTCACTACTTCACATATTGAATGCACACAGTGTTATTTGTCCTTTCCTCTCTGGGGACCTTTCAAAAAATAAATAGCAGAGATAAAACTCTATCTTGGAGGACTGCGTCCTCTCTTGCAGCTCCCAAAACACAGGCCATGATGGGTCTCTTGCCTCAGTACTGAGGATATAGATGGGGTGAGTTAGGGCAAGGGGGACCCAGTTCGAGACCCACGAAGGACTGTCAAGGGGGTCATAGGAGATAAATTGCTCTGTCAAAAAGAAGGAAAAGGATTCTGGAAAAAGGGAGGCAAGAGCATGAAATCATCTTGGGAACACGACGCATTCATTCTGAAATCAGAGAGATGCTCAGCGTGGCTGGGATGTCAGTTAAAAATGGCAGAAGTAGAAGTGGATGAGACTGGAAAATTCTGTAGGGGCTTTAAAATTTATTTTGAAAAAAATTAGATTCCTAGGAGGTTTTTTAAAAATAAGAGAGTAAAGACTCACTTTATTTGACAAAGCTAATTAGTAGTATAGAATATGGTTACCAGACCAAATCCCTCCTAGCTAAAACCAGAAGAGAGACAGTTATACTTCCTAGCCCGAGGTGATAAACCCTAAAAAAAGGCAGTGACAGTAGCAATATAAGGTTGAGGGCAGATCTGAGAGAGATTTGTGAAATAAAATCAAATAGCTTGATTTAGGGACTAACCGAAGAAGCAGATGGAATGTCATCAATCACCGAGTGTCTGGCTTGGAGTGAATGGTGACTAGGTTGGGGAGGTAATTTTTTTTTTTTTTTTTTAAGGCAGGATCTTGCTCTGTCGCCCAGGCTGGAGTGCAGTGGCGTGATCATAGCTCACTGCAGCCTTGAACTCCTGGGCTCAAGTGATCCTCCTGCCTCAGCCTCCCAAGTAGCTGGGACTGCAGGCACACACCATCATGCCTGGCTAATTTTTTAACGTTTTTTAGAAATGGGATCTTGCTATGTTCCTCAGGATGGTCTTGATCTTCTGGGCTCAAGCAATCCTCCCACCTTGGCCTCCCAAAGTGCAGGATTACTGGCATGAGCGACCGTGTCCTGCCCCAGGCAGTAACTTTACCTCTTACAGCTGGAGGAGTAGTTTTTGACCTTGAAGTTTTTATCTTTGTATTTCATCCACAATAATAAGAGTTGTTTGTCAGTGAATGTCCTCTAATTGCATGAATTTACTTGACTAAATATATATGACGTCCTCACGCCGGGGCTAGCACAAGGGACCTTGTAAGGTACAAAGGTCACATTAATTTTTGGAGTAGGATATTTTAGATCTCTCTCCCTCTCCTCCAAGAGAACCAGCAAAGGTTCTTCCTCCTATCTAAAGAACAGTGAAAGCATCAATAAAAATTAGAAATAAATAACACTATTGTCTTTTGAAGATCAATTTCAAGTCCTGCCACTTCAGTAATTTTCCCGGTATACCAGTACAATGTTTTTTTCTACATAAACAGCAATAACTTGGGGGTTACTCAGGGAAGACAGTAAGGAGATGACTAAATTATGAACAAAATCATTAATCAAAGACTGCACAAGACTAGCAAGTATCATAGCTGCTGAGTGTGACAATACTTTTGTTTTGTTGTGAGCAGCTCAGACCCAAGGGGAATGGATGAGCCTTTGGAATTGCTTGGAGGGAGGAACAATGGAGGATCAATACTCACTGGCAGTATGGCTTCTCTGGCCACCGCAAAGCCTGCTCAATGACAACCTGGCTAGGTCTCTTGGCCCTGTTGGGATGAGGCTGTTGTGCTGTCTTGGGGAGGGCAATCCTTCCTCTTGACAGTTGCCTGGAATTTGCTGGGCTTAGAGGCTGCTTTCCTTTGCCTCAAGCAGGATTTAACAAGCTGTGGAGGTTTTCGGTTCTGCTGCTTTTTCTGCAACTCTTTTCTTGTTCAGTTGCCAGCAGGCCTTCGTCCTTCTAGGATTCCAAGCTGTGGCTTCTCTGAAGGCTGATGTAATGGTTCTAAGCCTCAGAATAGAAGACCCACTTTTTGATATGATCTCTCTGTTGTCAGCCTGTATGTTCACCTCACTGACTCCTCTTTTCCCTCTTAGCAGCCCTTCTAAATGTCCTACCAGCATCTTTAAATGTCTTTCCCCATGAGGATCTCTCCTTGGTTCTCCTTTGATCTCTATTTACTCTCTTCTTAGGCTACTCCATTAAATTGCATGGTTTCAGCTAATGAATCTATATAAAAAGACTCCAAAGCATTCATCTTTAGGTTCAACTTCTTGCTTGAATTCTGGTCCAGCATTCATTCATTTATTTGTTGATCAATTCATTCAGAAAACATTTATTGCCCATCTGTGCTATGCCAGACCCTGCCCTAAGCAGTGGGCATAGAGATGAGACAGACACAACCCCAGCCCTCATGAAACCTCCATTCTAGCTCTTCCAGTTTTCTGTTAGACATTTAGACTTACATGTGTCTCAAACCTGTCCCAGTCTGGATATATAACCTGTGCCATCCAACCTGCTCCCTCAGCCTGGCAGACTTCTGTTAAGGGCCTCACAGTCTCTGGGGCCATCCAGTTACACACATCTCCTCTCTGTCTTATCCCCAACACTCACTCTCCACTGTGTCCCTACCACCAAGGTTCTGTGCCATTCATGTTTGTTTCCAGGTCCCCTTAAAGGCAGGAAATGAAGAGTAGAGAGAAGACACAGCGAGTTTCAAGACCTCATATTTTATTTGGGATGCAAGCAACAATTCTTCATTTTTCTTTTCTTTTTCTTAGAGTTGGAGATGAGGTCTGGAGATGTTTCCCAGGCTGGATTCGAACTTCTGGGCTCATGTCATCCTCCTGTCTCGGCCTCCAGAGTAGCTGGGACCACAGGCACATGCCACCATGCCTGGCTGGTTACTGTACACATTTAAAGATTAAAAAAAAAATCAAGGGTGTTTGAAAAAAAAAATACTACCCTGTCTGTGTGTTCATTTACATACCCCTATAGGCACTGGAGTTTTTGATATCTAGGTAGGTCAACAGAACAAAAAGACTCCTTTCTCACCTACCCCAAAGCCCAGATCAACAAAACAGTTAAAAAAAAGAAAGAAAAAAAAAAAAAAAAGAAAAAAACCTCAGCTGCGCAGACAAACACAGAAACTGAGGATGGGGAGAAGAAAGTTGTGGATTCTATTCCAGATGCAATTTCCAATCTCCTATGCATAGTAACAGACAACTCCTTCCTAATGTAAATTGCCAGCCATCAAGTATTCTTAGGTGGTATTTGAATTTAAGTAAAATGACTCCTTGGGCAACTACCTGACGGCCAACAGCTTTTACAACATGTTTTCTGATATAAACTGTTTTACAAAGAGCTTGTATCTTTTTACTACCAAGCATTACATTCTGAACAGAAACTTAATAAGATTTTTCAGCAGAGATTTTTAAGAGTTTCCATCATAGGACCTAACAACAACTGTGTTCTATTATTTTTAGTGCAAGAGTAAAGACCCAAGAGAAACAGCATTTTCAATTTGACTTTATGGCCCCCCAAGTTGTGCTCAAGGTAAATCAGAGTTAAAAACTGGTACTGGGAAAAGAGCAAAGACTTTCGACTCCAACTTGGGTTTGAAATCCACTACTACTTATGAGCTATTGCACTTTGGGCAAGTTGCTTAAGTCATTTGTGTCTCAGTTTTCTCATCTATTAACAAAAGTAATTCTACTCTATAGAATTGATGCAGCAAAGGTTTATAGTATGGAGCCTCATACATAGTAGGGTATCCCAAATGCTTTAGTTCTATGTAACTCAACTCAAACCGGCTTAAGAAAAAATGAAAATTTCTTGGCCTGCCTAACTGAAAAGTTCAGCGTAAGGTGGCTTCAGGCATAGCTGGATCCAGGAGCTCAAACAATGTCATCAGGATACAATCACCCCCAACTTTAGGCTTCATTCTTCATTGAGCCCAGTGGACTAGCTAGCTTATTTCTGGAGCAAGCAAAACAGAAAACTCTGAAAGAACAGAGGCTGAGATGCAGGAAGGCCTGGATGAACCCTTTCCGGACAGGAAAAAACAGGTTTGGACACCATAGCCCATGTGATGTGTCCTAGTGGGAATGGCATTCAGGCCAGCGTAAGGACACATTTCATCTTTGAGGGCAGCAAAGATCCCCTGGTGGCCATCAAGCAGACCACCCGGAGGCAAAACTCCTTAGCTGTGGAATTCAGAAGTAATTAGACTTTTCTATTATCTGAAACAGACATCTGGTACCAGGCTTCTTTTCTAAAATGTGTAAGAAACTAGAATTTCTATACATCTCTGCATAGCATGCATGTCAGAACTCATTGTGCAAACCTTGCTGACATCAAGGCACCAAAATGTCTACAAATGTAATCATTTATCATGACCAACATGGATGATAGGGCCCAAATTACCCTTAGGCTCTGTATTAGTTCATGCTCATGCTGCTAATAAAGACCTACCTGAGACTGGGTAATTTATAAAGGCTAGAGGTTTAATAGACTCACAGTTCCACATGCTTGGAGAGGCCTCACAATCATGGCTGAAGGTGAAGGAGAAGCAAAGTCACGTCTTACATGGTGGCAGCCAAGAAAGCATGTGCGGGGAACTCCCCTTTATAAAACCATCAGATCTTGTGAGACTTATTCACTATCATGAGAATAGCATGGGAAAGATCCACCCCCATGATTCAGTTACCTCCCACTGGGTCCCTCCCATGACATGTGGGAATTATGGGAGCTACAATTCCAGATGAGATTTGGGTGGGGACACAGACAAACCATATTAAAGTAAAAATCCACACCATGGCACCCTCAGTCCTCTCTTCCTGGGGCACCTTGATGCCCTCTTCTGCAGGGTTCTTTCTTTTTAACAAAACCTATACTGTTGTTGGGAAATTCTTCTTACTACCGGTGAGCCAATCACTTTCCATTGCCAGGGCTCTGATGCCTCTCCTGGTAATCATCATCAAAGTCCCATGGAACAGGCAGGTCCAAGATTATAATTTCCATTTGGCAGATAAGGAAACTGAGGCTCCGTCTGAGTTTTCTTTTGCTGCTATAACACATTACCATAAACTCAGTGACTTGAAACAATACAGGTTTATTATCTTGCAGTTCTAGAGGGCAAGAGTCTGGAATAAACCTTACTGAGCTAAAATCAAGGTGTCACAGGCCTGTGTTTCCTCTGGAGGTTGTGAAAGAGGATCTGTTTCCTTTCCATTTCCAGCTTCCAAAGGCCACCTGTATTCTTTGGCTGATGGCCCCCTTCCATTTTTTTTTTTGAGACAGAGTCTTGCTCTGTCGCCCAGGCTGGAGTGCAGTGGCATGATCTCAGCTCACTACAACCTCCACCTCCTGGGCTCAAGCAATCCTCTTACCTCAGCCTCCCAAGTAGCTGGGACTACAGGCACATGCCACCGTGCCTGGCTATTTATTGTATTTTTTTTATAGAGATGGGGGTCTCACTATACTGCCCAGGCTGGTCTTGAACTCCTGAGCTCATGTGATCCTCCTGCCTGGGCCTCCCAAAGGTCTGGGATTACAAGCATGAGCCACCGTGCCTGGCCTCCCCTTCCATCTTTAAAGCCAGCAGCATAGCATCGTCAACTTTCTCTCTGACTCTGACCCTCCTGCCTACTTCTTTCCTTTATAAGGACACTGGTGATTGTATTAGGTGCACCCTGATAAAGCAGGATAATCTCCCATCTCACATCTGAAAAGTATTTTTTGCCGTGTAAAGTAATATATTTACAGGTTCCGAAGATTAGAACATGGGCATCTTCATCCACTGTGCAGCCAATCACAGGCTTATAAGGTAGAAGCCCTGCAACCACTCCTTCACAGCTCAGCTGGGATTTTAACTGAGGTTAATGGTTCTGAATTAAGAGACTTCAGATAAGAATGCTGGCTGTCCTGCAGAGTTGCTGTGTGACCTCAGTTAGGCCTCTCTGACCTTCTCTCCTTTTCTGTAAAATGGGGGTGTGGTTTTTTTGTTTTTGTTTTTTTACAGACAAGGTCTTGCTCTGTTGCCCAGGCTGGAGTGCAGTGGCACAATCATGGCTCACTGGAACCTTGAACTCCTGGGTTCAAGCAATTCTCCAACCTCAGCATCTCCAGTAGCTGAGACAACAGGCATGTGCCACCATACCTGGCTAATTTTTAATTTTTTTGTAGAGTTGGGGGTCTCATTATATTGCCCAACTGTTCTCGAACTCCTGGCCTCAAGTGATTCTCCTGCCTCAGCTTCCCAAAGTGCTGGGGATATTGTTTTAATGATTCAGTGAGACACTGGCTTTAAGTGTCTAGCACAGTGGCTGGCATGGAAAATGAGTGATGACAGGCATTTCCGGTGTTTTTAACAGCCTTGAACTTGCCCTTTTGAACATTTGGCTCAGGAAAAACAGGGGAAGAGCCAATGGCATATTGGAGTAGAACGAGCTTGGGCTTTGACTTAGCCATATGATGATAAAGAACTTGAACTTTCTCTGAGTTTCAGTTTCTTTATTCATAAATGAATGCAGGAGGCCCTTCTGGCACAGAATTAAGCAGAAAACGTCTGCCTCATAGTTGGTACCCTCAAGAAATACAAACTTTTTCTCTCACTGCCTTCCATTCATCCTCCTTTCTAATTGATTTCCTTCACTTTTTCTTTTCTCCGTCTCTTCCTTTCTTCCTCCCTCCATCTGGCCCTTCTTTCTTTCCTTCCTCCCTACTTCCCCTCCTTTCCTCTCTCCCTCTCTTCCATTTCCCATATGTGAGACCCCTATTTAAGAGCAATTGGCCTATCTCAGGGACTTCTGGTGTCTGCTCTTGGTCTCCCCTCTTATGTGTCACGGCAGCCTGTACTTTGCATTCATCAGTTTCTTAGTCGTACAATCTAAATGCTAATGACCCCTGCCCAACCTTCCCTCTTATCCTCCTCCACTAACGCGTGTCAACACACCCTAGAATAACTGTACAGACGCAAACAGGATCCACTCTCCCCACCCCATCCCGTGTGCAGGAAGTGGACTCAAAACCGTGCCATCGTTGGAAACCTCTAACGGTCCAGAAAGGGGAGGCACAGTCTTTTGTAAGGAGCCCCCAGAGCTCCTTTCCTCCCTAGCAGGGCCCTATCTATTGAGCTGGCTGATGCCCACGCTGATGCCCTCATTCCCTTTCATGCACTGGTGGTTTTCAGTCTGATATTGAAAGTGCAATATGCTTGCCAGTAATGATGTCTTATTGGAGTGTAAAGATTTTCCCATTTTGCTGCTTTATCCTGAATTTAAAGTATTTTGAAATTCACTTACATCAGAGAGGACCAGAGGCCCGACGTTTGCTGTAAATAAACTCATGCCTTCAAAGGTGTTATCTATGAAATGCGAGATGGGATAGGTTACTGTTTTTGTGGCTCATGCACCAGCTAGCAGAATTGGTCACAGAGCTTTTCCATCATGAGAACTGGCAGCCTCTTTTCTTCCAGGTGTTGGTCACGGGTGTGAGGACACTCTGACCTTGTGTTGTGAATCTATTCAATTGAAGTTTGTCCAACATGTGGAGTTGGAGGATCATTTAGCTCTTCAGTCTCTGCTTGGAAAATCTGAAAACCCTGAAGCTACAGCAGAGACTAACAATATAAGGGATTCAAGCAGGGTTTGGTGGGGTGGCTGTTATTAGTGGAGTGGCTCCTGTGCACACAGCACTCTGCCAAGGGCTTTTTGCAAGTTATCTTAACTAAACCTCTCAACAACCCTGCTAGATTGTTGCAAGACCACCCAGACAGTTAGATGTTCCTGAAACTTTCTTGCCATCTACCATCATGATATTCATAAAAAATAAATCAGGAAAACTTCTCACATAAGTTGCAGTAGGTGTCTAGATTTACTAATGTGTTACAGTGACCCAGTCATGACCAGAGATTCCTTGGACCCAAAGGCAGTGTTCTCTATAGTCACAGTTGTTAAGAGCCTGCACAGGCTGGGTGCGGTGGCTCACGCCTGTAATCCCAGGACTTTGGGAGGCCAAGGTGGGCAGATCACCAAGCTCAGGAGTTCAAGACCAGCCTGGTCAACATGGTGAAACCCCGTCTCCACTAAAAATACAAAAAATTAGCTGGGCATGGTGGCGTGCATCTGTAGTCCCAGCTACTCGGTAGCCTGAGGCACGAGAGTCACTTGAACCCAGGAGGCAGAGGTTACAGTAGCTGAGATCGCACCATTGCACTCCCGCCTGGGTGACACAGTAAGAGTCCATCTCACTCAAAAAAAAAAAAAAAAAAAAAAAGAGCCTGCACACTGGGGTGCATCTTGGCTCAGCTACTTCCTAGCTGTGTGACATTGGACCAGTTATTTAAACTCTCTGGGCCTTAGTCCCCACATTTGTAAAACGTGGATACTAATGGTACCCTCCTCATAGGGTCGTGTGAGAATTACATGAGTTCTTGTATGTGAAGCACTTAGAAGAGTAGCCACCAATGGTAAATGCTGTATAAATATCCACCAACTAAAACCTTTAAAAACGGCTTTACCTCCCCTGTGACGAAGTTCTGAGCTGTCTCCCACAGGTCTGGGTCACTGGTATGCCTCAGATGACAAGCAGTAGAAAATGGAGCTCAGGTTCAGAAGGATGGGAGGGTGGAAAAAGATGAGAGATTCCTTAATGGGTAATGTACTTTATTCTGGGAATGAATATGCTGAAAACTCTAACTTCATCACTACACAATATATCCCTGTAGCAAAATTTCACCTTCTACTGCATACATTTACACACACACACACACACACACACACACACACACACACAAAATCATGTTTAAACCTAATCTTTACTGTGGCGGTAGTAAGGGGTAGGGCTTTAGGAGGTGATTGTTTCATGGAACTCCACCCTCATGGATGGGATTAGTGCTCTTTTTGTTTTGTTTTGTTTTTTCTTGTTTGAGATGGAGTCTCTCCCTGTCACCCAGGCTGGAGTGCAATGGTGCAATCTCGGCCCACTGCAACCTCTGCCTCCCTGGTTTAAATGATTCTCCTGCCTCAGCCTCCCTAGTAGCTGCGATTACAGGTGCCCGCCACCATGCCCAACTACTTTTTGTATTTTTAGTAGAGATGGGGTTTCACCATGTTGGCCAGGCTGGTCTCGATCTGACCTCATGATCTGCCCATCTCAGCCTCCCAAAGTGCTGGGATTACAGGCATGAGTGACTGCGCCTGGCAGGATTAGTGCTCTTATAAAAGAAGCCAGAGGGAGCTGGCTCACCCCTTCCACCATGTTGGGGTGTGGCAAGAAGGCACCATCTCTGAGGCAGAGAGAGAGACCTCACCAGACACCAAATCTGCTGGCATCCTCATCTTGGACTTCACAGCCTCTAGAGCCATCAGCAATAAGTTTCTGTTGCTTATATATTACCCAGCCTAAGGTATTTTGCTATAGAAGCCTGAATAGACTAAGACAGGACTCTATCCCCCAACATCATTACATGGCTGTCTCATTATTCAGAACTTGAACCAATGCCATTTCCTCACTTCCTCAGAGAGGCCTTCCTTAGTGTTCTGGTCACCTCACACACTCATCACATTAAACTTCTGCCACTTTTAGAGGGTGGGAGAGATTAGATGGGTCAATCCGTCTGTTAACTATTTATCGAAATCTTCACTATGTACTAGGCAATGGGGATTCAGTGATTAGCAAGATATATTCCCTTCTTCCCAAAAGAATTTATGTTTTGGAGTGGGAAGGCAGGAAATAAACAGATAAATATAAACATCTGAATACAGTAATTTCTGGTTTAGTTGAATACTTTAAAAAGGAGCCTTGTAACATATGAAAAAAAGCTCAACATCGCCGATCATTCGAGAAATGTAAATCAAAACCACAATGAGATACCATCTCACACCAGTCAGAATGGTGATTATTAAAAAGTCAAGAAAAAACAGATGCTGATGAGGTTATGGAGAAATAGGAATGTTTCTACACTGTTGTTGGGAATGTAAATTAATTTAATCAATGTGGAAGACAGTATGGCAATTCCTCAAAGGTCTAGAACCAGAAATACCATTTGACACAGCAATTCCATTAATGGGTATATACCCAAAGGAATATGAATTATTCTCTTACAAAGATACATGCATATGTATGTTCTTTGCAGCACTATTCACAATAACAGAGACATGTAATCAATGCAAATGCCCATCAGTGATAGACTGGATGAAGAAAATGTGGTACATATACACCATGGAATACTATGCATCCATGAAAAGGAATGAGATCATGTCAATTGCAGGGACATGGATGGAGCTGGGAGCTATTATCCTTAGCAAAGTAACACAGGAACAGAAAATCAAACACCACATGTTCTCACTTATAAGTGGGAGCTGAACAATGGGAACATATGGACACAGGGAAGGGAACAACACACACTGAGGCCTGTCGGGGTTGAGGGAGGGAGAGCATTAGAAAAAATAGCTAATGCATGGTGGGCTTAATACCTAGGTGATGGGTTGATAGGTGTAGCAAACCACCATGGCACACGTTTACCTGTGTAACAAACCTGAGCATCCTGCATATGTACCCTGGAATTTAAAATAAAAATAAAAATTTAAGTTTAAAAAAAGAGGCTTGTACAACTATTAGTCTTTCTGGAAAATTTCTGGACTGTCTTATATGGCCTCAATATCTATTTCTAAAGTCTCACTGGAGTGCATAAGTAGTATGTTACTCTTGAGTTGGTTTTTTAAATGGGAGTCATTGGGCAGAATACTTTCGTTCTTGTCAGAAGTCTCAAGCTAATTTCATTGAGAAGGGGTCTTGGGCTGTCAGGCCATTTCTTGATCTAATATTCAAGCACAGTGCTATTGGTGGTGGAGGGAGGAGGAGGATGGCCTAACAAGTCTCTCTCTATATAGCTTTCCTGGAATCAAGGCATGGAGCATACCTCAATAACGATCAGAAAGAGAGAGATCTGATCTCAGCAAGGGGAAATAAATAAATAAATAAAGTGTTAGGTTCGTGCAAACGTAACTGTCGTTTTTGTCATTAAAAGTAATGGCAAAAATTAAGCAATGTTATTACTTTTAATGACAAAAATCACAATTACCGTTGCACCAACCTAATATTTTTGCAGAGAAATAGTGCCCATCTGAGAGTCCAGCAGTATGGGAACATCCTGAATATAAATTCAGGATGGCTTGCATCATTGATAAGAATCTCTTGAGTTTACACAGAACTTTTCACATATGCACCTGAGTCTGGCTTAGGTTTGTGCACTTGTTTCTTTTGAGCTTGTGTAGTTATATTTTATACTGCCCTGGAGAAGGCAGAAGAGTTTGTATGTACACAGAGGAAAGCACAGTGTTTTTAACAATAACAGTCTGCTCAGCCTGTATCTTCCCCCCACTTTGGAGACAGGGTCTCACTCTGTCGTCCAGGCTAGAGTGCAGTAGTACAATCACAGTTCACTGCAACCTCCACCTCCCAGGCTCAAGCCATCCTCCTGCCTCCTACTCAGGAGGTTTAATAACCTCCTAAGTAGCTGGAACTACAGGCATGACACCACCGCACCCAGCTAATTTTTGTAGTTTTGGTAGAGACAGGATTTCACCATGTTGCACAGGCTGGTCTCAAACTCCTGGTCTCAAGCAATCCACCTGCCTTGGCCTCCCAAAGTGTTGGGATTACAAGTGGGAGCCATTGTGTCCACTCAGCCTATATCTTAATGATGAGGATGGATCCCTTGACACGTGGAGCCCATTTTCTAACAGGTGTCAGGGGACTCCTCTTTGCAGGACTCCTGGCTCTCAATTGGATATAAGCTTGCTATGGACTGAATTATGTCCCTTAGAATCTGTATGTTGAAACTCTAACCCCCAATGTAGTAGTACATAGAGATGGAATGGGGCCTTTGGGAGATAATTAGGTGTAGATGAGGTCGTGAGGCTGGGATCCTCATGGTGGGATTAGTGACCTTATAAGAAGAGATACCAAAGAGCCATCTCTCTTTCTCTCTCTCTACCATGTGAGGAGCAGCTGTCTGCAAGCCAAGAGGAGAACCTTTGCCAGATCCCGACCATGCTGGTTCACTGATCTCAGACTCTAGCCACCAGAACTATGAGAAAATACATTTATGTTGTCAGCCACCCAGTTTATGGGATTTTGTTATGGCAGCTGGAGCTAAGAATTCAGGCCGGGTGTGTTGGCTCACGCCTATAATCCCAACACTTTTGGAGGCTGAGGTAGAGGTTGCTTGAGCCCAGGAGTTCAAGACCAGCCTGGGCAACATAACAAGACCCTGTCTCCACAAAAAGTAAAAAATTAGCTGGGTGTCATGGTGTGTGCCTGTAGTCCCAGCTACTTGGAAAGCGGAGGTGGGAGGATCACTTGAGCCTGGAAGTTTTAGGCTATAGTGAGCCATGTTTGAGCCACTACTTCTCTGGAACAGGACCTGTATCAAAAAAAAAAAAAAAAAAAAGGCAGAACTCAAGTCAGCTAACATTTACAGTGTGTCTTTCATGCACCAGGCAATATGCTAAGCCCTGGAGACATGAAGAAAAAGAAGATTTAATCTTTGCCTTAAGGGAAATCATAGTTTAATAGGAAAGACTGCAAGTTAGATTACGTTATCACATAGAATTGTTATTTGAGTACTTAATTCCAATAGTAACTGAATCCAAAAGCCTCTTCATATAAAGCCCAGGTGGTAAATTTCCAGATTTTTTCCATATAAGCAAGAGTTATTCCTTGAGAGCGCATAAAGGAGGCAGTCCCCATGAACCCCCTAGATTTTTTTGTCTCACAAATAGACCTAAGATAGCAAATACGGCAAAAGTTTCTTAAGAATGAGACCCTTTTAAGACAAAGTTCCCCTTAAAGCTTGACATGTTCAGAATGACAAGTGTGCTGCTTAAAATCTTACCTCTCAGATTCCCAATCTTTTCAGACTGGCCACCTGATGTTGTTACAGTCTTGCCAGTGCACCACAATAAAGCAGTCTCTCTTTGGAAAGTTTCACTCAGAGTTAATTGTCTCAGGACCAAGAGAATTAAGGAGCATGGACACAAAAGGTGAGGTTGAAGTGAAAGTTTAGTAAGTGAAAGAAGTATGTTCTTTGCCACAGAGAGGGGACATGGAAGAAGGCTGCCATTTTTACAGTTGAATACAAAGGCTTTTATAAGAAACCAAGGAGGGCTGGGTGTCTCATTTGCATAATGCATGAATTTCTGGTAGCTCCACCCCATCCTTCTAGTGCGCATGTGGGCCCTTAGCTCAAATTACTCCATATTGCTTTGCTCCTCTTACTGCACATGTGTCAGGGAATGGAATTTTCCATTGCAGGGCATGTCTGGGCAAGTCACCTGTGTAGCCTTTCTTATCTGTGCAGCTGTGGACATGTCTTAGGCAAGCCCCCCTGTGCAAGTTTCTTTATCTGTGTCTGCAGGCAGTTCTTTTGCTTGAACTGAGGAACCACCCTAGCTGCCCCCCGACCAGCTTCTTCCTTTCTCCTCTCTCAGTGTAACCCCAAAAATCATGCCCTCCAGATAGCAGAGATTAAGAAGAAGTATCTGCACTTAATTACAAGTCAAGATCTCAAGGACATAAAACAAGAAGAGTGGAAAATGTCATCTGGTTTTCATTTCAGGGACCCATCGCAAAGTTTATCTTAACAGACACAGGTCTAGTCAGAACTGCAAAACTGACTTATCTGCAGAGCCAGCTCAAACTGCAGGCTTATAGGCTTTCCAGGTCCATGTTCTACTCCATGCCCCTCTTTACAACAGAACAACACAGAAGGACAAGGACAAAGAAAAATGGCAACAACAAAAAAAGGCTGTTTCTGAGGGGAAAGGGATCAAACGATATGAATATTCATACCACAAAGTACCAAAAGTACACCAGAGACATCACACCCCAAGACTAGCCACACAGATCCTTTTTTTGCCGTTAATCAAACCTTGCAGAGGAGACAGATAGTGATTTTTACTGTTTGCTCAACTGGATTGCCCAGAGAACCAGGCCAGGAGCCTGGCTGGTAAGAAATTCTTACACTTTTGCCACGGTGTCAGTTTCCTGGGTTCCCCTTGCTGTGGCTTCCTGAAAAAAAAGAACAATTTTGATGATCTTGCTCACAGTGCCATAACTGTGGGGCCCAGGGCCCTTTGCCCCCTAAAGTTTTGCTGAAAGTTACTGAGGCAGATTGATGAATAGAAGAGTGGCATACAAATTTATTTCACGTGTATACACAGACGCCTTCAGAATGAAGACTCAACTTCCCAAATAGGCTGTAAAAGGAAGATAAATCTCGAGACCCCAAACTCACTAAGCCAAAAGGAAAAGTCAAGCTGGGAACTGGGTGACACAAACCTGCTTCCCATTTGGTTCCTAAATAAGATGGCTACAAAGATAAAAAGCTACATACCTCCCTCACATTTTGCCCATAAGGAAATTCCTTGTAGGCTCCAAGATCTTTACCTTAAATCATTTCTGTTGAATTTCACCTTGGCAATGTAAATTAATAATTTGTCTGCCCAAGCAAGGACCATAAGACAGAACTCAAAGTCATCCCTCCACTCACCTGAGACAAATGCATATCTGATTACTTCCCCTGACCTACTGTCTATGTTACTGTATGTAAAACTGCAGATTCATTGAGCCAGAGGAAGGCAGGAATGACTATTTTCTCTACCCCCTCTCACATGAAAATTGTATATTCCCTCAATATCTGCCCTTTCTCCTTGAAGCCCTCAAAATCGTCTTTGGAGAAAGACATAGACCTGTCTCCTGGTGCACATCAAGAGCAATTTTGGCAAATCTTTGCCAAAAGTGGGCAACTCTGGCAAATCTAAAAGGATTGAGACTTGCCTCAATCAGTTTTTTCAATTTACAAGGTACAGAAGCTTATACATCATCTTGAGATTACAGAAAACAGGTTATGGGAGTAGGGAGAAGAGGAATTCTATTGAGGGGCAATATGATGACCAGGGAACAGAAATTAACAGGTGAATAGTTCTGTTTGGAATTTACGTGGTCCTGGGAAACTGTTTATCTTCAAAGGGGGTCTGTTCAGATGTGGTTACATTTTTGGTCTTCTTTTTGCAATGGAGAATAAGAGGCAGGGGAACTAGAACACTTGTCCTCAGCGGGTCAGTCCTGTCTCTGCATAGATAAGGAAAATTCTCTTCCAGTACTTGATGGTCTCTAAGAGTTTTTAGTTTAAAACACTCATTATACCAGGGAGCCATATTTTGGGGTAGAATATTTTGATATCCTTCCAGGTGGCTGGCAAGATGGTCAAATAGGAATAGCTCCGGTCAGCAGCTCCCAGTGAGATCAACACAGAAGGCGGGAGATTTCTGCATTTCCAAGTGAGGTACCTGGCTTATCTCATTGGGACTGGTTAGACAGTGGGTGCAGCCCACGGAGGGCGAGCCAAAGCAGGGTGGGACGTTGCCTCACCTGGGAAGCACAAGGGGTCGGGGAACTCCCTCCCCTAGCCAAGGGAAGCCCTGAGGTACTGTGCCATGAGGAACAGTGCTATCCAGCCCAGATTCTATGCTTTTCCCATGGTCTTTGCAACCCGCAGACCAGGAGATTCCCTCAGGTGCCTACACCACCAGGGCTCTGGGTTTCAAGCACAAATCTGGGTGGCTGTTTGGGCAGACACTGAGCTAGCTGTAGGAGTTTTTTTTATACCCCAGTGGCACCTGAAATGTCAGTGAGACAGAACAGTTCACTCCCCTGGAAAGTGGGCTGAAGCCAGGGAGCTGAGTGGTCAAGCTCAGCAGATCCTACCTGTACAGAACCCAGCAAGCTGAGATCTACTGGCTTGAAATTCTCGCTGCCAGCACAGCAGTCTGAAGTTGACTTGGGGTGCTGGAGCTTGGTCGGGGGAGGGGTGTCCGCCATTGCTGAGGCTTGAGTAGGCGGTTTTCCCCTCACAGTGTAAACAAAGCCGCGTGGAAGTTTGAACTGGGTGGAGCCTACCACAGCTCAGCAAAGCTGCTGTAGCCAGACTGCCTCTCTAGATTCCTCCTCTCTGGGCAGGGCATCTCTAAAAGAAAGTCAGCAGCCCCAGTCAGGGGCTTATAGATAAAACTCCCATCTCCCTGGGACAGAGCACCTGGGGGACAGGGCGCCTGTGGACGCAGCTTCAGCGGACTTAAACTTTCCCACCTGCTGGCTCTGAAGAGAGCAGGGGATCTCCCAGCATAGCACTCAAGCTCTGCTAAGGGACAGACTGCCTCCTCAAGTGGGTCCCTGACCCTTGCGCCTCCTGACTGGGAGACGGCTCCCAGCAGCGGTCGACAGAAACCTCATACAGGAGAGCTTCAGTTGGCATCAGGCGGGTGCCCCTCTGGGACGAAGCTTCCAGAAGAAGGAACAGGCAGCAGTCTTTGTTGTTCTGTAGATTCCGCTGGTGATATCTAGGCAAACAGGGCTGGAGTGGACCTCCAGCAAATTCCAGCATATCTGCAGCAGAGGGGCCTGACTGTTAGAAGGAAAATTAACAAACAGAAAGGAATAGCATTGACCTCAACAAAAAGGATGTCCACACAAAACCGCTATCCAAAGGTCACCAACATCAAAGACCAAAGGTAGATAAATGCACGAAGATGAGGAAAAGCCAGAGCAAAAGGCTGAAAATTCCAAAAACCAGAACACCTCTTCTCCTCCAAAGGATCACAACTCCTAACCAGCAAGGGAACAAAACTGGACAGAGAATAAGTTTCACGAATTGACAGAAGTAGGCTTCAGAAGGTGATAATAACAAACTCCTCTGAGCTAAAGGAGCATGTTCTAACCCAAAGCAAGGAAGCTAAGAACCTTGAAAAAAGGTTAGAGGAATTGCTAACTAGAAGTACCAGTTTAGAGAAGAACATAAATGACCTGATGGAGCTGAAAAACACAGCATCAGAAATTTGAGAAGCATACACAAGTATCAATAGCCGAATCAATCAAACAGAAGAAGAAAGGATATAAGGGATTGAAGAACAACTTAATGAAATAAAGTGTGAAGACAAGAATAGAGAAAAAAGAATGAAAAGGAAGGAACAAAACCTCCAAGAAATATGGGACTATGTGAAAAGACCAAACCTACGTTTGATTGTTGTACCTGAAAGTGAGGGGGAGAATGGGACCAGGTTGGAGAATACTCTTCAGGATATTATCCAGGAGTACTTCCCCAACCTAGCAAGACAGGCCAACATTCAAATTCAGGAAATACAGAGAACACCACAAAGATAATCCTTGAAAAGAGCAACCCCAAGACACATAATCGTCAGATTCACCACGGTTGAAATGAAGGAAAAAATGTTAAGGGCAGCCAGAAAGAAAGGTCAGGATACCCACAAAGGGAAGCCCATCAGACTAACAGTGGATCTCTTTGCAGAAACCCTACAAGCCAGAAGAGAGTGGGGGCCAATATTCAACATCCTTAAAGAAATGAATTTTCAACCCAGAATTTCATATCCAGCTAAACCAAGCTTCATAAGTGAAAAAGAAATAAAATCCTTTACAGACAAGCAAATGCTGAGATTTTGTCACCACCAGGCCTGCCTTACAAGAGCTCTTGAAGGAAGCACTAAATATGGAAAGGAAAAACCAGTACCAGCCACTGCAAAGACATACCAAATTGTAAAGGCTATCAACACTATGAAGAAACTGCATCAACTAACAGGCAAAATAACCAGCTAACATCATAATGACAGGATCAAATTCACACATAACAATATTAACCTTAAATGTAAATAGGCTAAATGCCCCAATTAAAAGACACAGACTGGCAAATTGGATAAAGAGTCAAGACCCATTGGTGTGCTGTATTCAGGAGACCCATCTCATGTGCAAAGACACACATAGGCTCAAAATAAAGGGAAGGAGGAATATTTACAAAGCAAATGGAAAGCAAAAAAAAAAAAAAGCAGGGTTTGCAACCATAGTCTCTGATAAAAAAGACTTTAAATGAACAAAGATCAAAAAAGACAAAGAAGGGCATTACATAATGGTAAAGGGATCAATGCAACAAGAAGAGCTAACTATCTTAAATATATATGCACCCAATACAGGAGCACCCAGATTCATAAAGCAAGTTCTTAAAGACCTACAAAGAAATTTTGACTCCCACAGAATAATAGTGGGAGACTTTAACACCCTACTGTCAATATTAGGCAGATCAATGTGACAGAAAATTAACAAGGATATTCAGGACTTGAACTCAGATCTGGACCAAGCAGACCTAATAGACATCTACAGAACTCTCCACCCCAAATCAACAGAATATACATTCTTCTCAGCACCACATTGCACTTATTCTAAAATTGACCACATAAGTGGAAGTAAAACACTCCTCAGCCAATGCAAAAGAATGGAAATCATAATAAATAGTCTTTCAGACCACAGTGCAATCAAATTAGAACTCAGGATTAAGAAATTCACTCAAAACCGCACAACTACATGGAAACTGCACAACCTGCTCCTGAATGACTACTGGGTAAATAATGAAATTAAGGCAGAAATAAATAAGTTGTTTGAAACCAATGAGAACAAAGACACAATGTACCAGGATCTCTGGGACACAGCTAAAGCAGTGTTTAGAGGGAAATTTATAGCACTAAATGCCCACAGGAGAAAGTGGGAAAGATCTAAAATCGACACCCTAACATCACAATTAAAAGAACTAGAGATGCAAGAGCAAACAAATTCAAAAGCTAGCAGAGGGCAAGAAATAACTAAGATCAGAACGGAACAGAAGGAGATAGAGACACAAAAAACCCTTCAAAAAATCAGTGAATCCAGGAGCTGTTTATTTTAAAAAGAATAACAAAATACATAGACTGCTAGCCAGATTAATAAAGAAGAAAAGAGAGAATAATCAAATAAGCATAATAAAAAATGATAAAGGAGATATCACCACTGATCCCACAGAAATACAAACTACCATCAGAGAATACTATAAATACCTCTACCCAAATAAACTAGAAAATCTAGAAGAAATAGATAAATTTCTGGACACATATACCCTCTCAAGACTAAGCCAGGAAGAAGTTGAGTCACTGAATAGACCAATAACAGGTTCTGAAATTGACGCAGTAATTAATAGCCTACCAACTAAAAAAAGCCCAGGACCAAACGCATTCATAGCTGAATTCTACCAGAGGTACAAAAAGAGCTGGTACCATTTCTTTGGAAACTATTGCAAACAATAGAAAAAGAGGGACCTCTCCGTAACTCATTTTATGAGGCCAGCATCATCCTGATACCAAAACCTGGCAGAGATGCAGCAAAAAAAGAAAATTCCAGGCCAATATCCTTGATGAACATCAATGTGAAAATCCTCAATAAAATACTGGCAAACCGAATCCAGCAGCACATCAAAAAGCTTATCCACCATGATCAAGTCAGCTTCATCCCTGGGATGCAAGGCTGGCTCAACATATGCAAATCAGTAAATGCAATCCATCATATAAAGAGAACCAATGACAAAAACAACATGATTACCTCAATAGATGGAGAAAAGGCCTTCAATAAAAGTTAACATCCCTTCCTGCTGAAAACTCTCAATATACTAGGTATTGATGGAACTTTATCTCAAAATAATAAGAACTATTTATGATAAACCCACAGCCAATATCATACTGAATGAGCAAAAGCTGGAAGTATTCCATTTGAAAACTGGCACACAGCAAGGATGCCCTCTCTCACCACTCCTATTCAACATAGTATTGGAAGATCTGGCCACGGCAATCAGACAAGAGAAAGAAATAAAGCGTATTCAAATAGGAAGAGAGGAAGTCAAATTATCTCTGTTTGCAGATGACATAATTGCGTATTTAGAAAACCCCATCGTCTCAGCCCAAAATCTCCTTAAGCTGATAAGCAACTTCAGCAAAGTCTCAGGATACAAAATCAATGTGCAAAAATCACAAGCATTTCTATACACCAATAATGGACAAATGGAGAGCCAAATCATGAGTGAACTCCCATTTACAATTGCTACGAAGAGAATAAAATACCTAGGAATCCAACTTACAAGGGATGTGAAGGATCTCTTCAAGGAGAACTACAAACCAATGCTCAAGGAAATAAGAGAGGGCACAAACAAATGGAAGAACATTCCATGCTCATGGATAGGAAGAATCAATATCATGAAAATGGCCATACTGCCCAAAGTAATTTATAGATTCAATGCTATCCCCATCAAGCTACCATTGACTTTCTTCACAGAATTGGAAAATACTACTTTAAAGTTCATTCATATGGAACCAAAAAAGAGCCCATATAGCCAAGACAGTCCTAAGCAAAAAGAACAAAACTGGACGCATCACGCTACCTGACTTCAAACTATACTACAAGGCTACAGTAACCAAAACAGCATGGCACTGGTACCAAAACAGATATATAGACCAATGGAACAGAACAGAGGCATCAGAAATAATGCCACACATCTATAATCATCTGATCTTTGACAAACCTGACGAAAACAAGCAATGAGAAAAGGTTTCCCTATCTAACAAATGGTGTTGAGAAAACTGGCTAGCCATATGCAGAAAACTGAAACTGGACCCCTTCCTTAAACCTTATATAAAAATTAACACAAGATGGATTAAAGACTTAAATGTAAGACCTAAAACCGTAAAAACCCTAGAAGAAAACCTAGGCAATACCATTCAGGACATAGGCATGGGCAAAGACTTCATGACTAAAACACCAAAAGCAAGGACAACAAAAGCCAAAATTGACAAATTGGATCTAATTAAGAAACTATCATCAGAATGAACAGGCAACCTACAGCATGGGAGAAAATTTTTACACTCTATCCACCTGACAAAGGGCTAATATCCAGAATCTACAAGGAACTTAAGCAAATTTACAAGAAAAAAACAAACAACCCCATAAAAAGTGGGCAAAAGATATGAACAGACACTCCTCAAAATAAGACATTTATGTGGCCAACAAACATATTTAAAAAAGCTCATCATCATTGGTCATTAGAGAAATGCAAATCAAAACTACAATGAGATACCATCTAATGCCAAGTAGAATGGCAATCATTAAAAGTCAGGAAACAACAGATGCTGGAGAGGATGTGGAGAAATAGGAATGCATTTACACTGTTGGTGGGAGTGTAAATTAGTTTAACCATTGTGGAAGACAGTGTGGCAATTCCTCAAGGAAGTAGAACCAGAAATACCATTTGATCCAGCAATGCCATTACTGGGTATATACCCAAAGGATTATAAATCAGTCTACTGTAAAGATACATGCACACGTATGTTTATTGCAGCACTGTTCACAATAGTAAAGACTTGTATCCAACCCAAATGCGCATCAAAGATAGACTAGATAAAGAAAATGTGGCACATATACACCATGGAATACTATGCAGCCATAAAAAAGGATGAGTTCATGTCCTTTGCAGGGACATGGATGAAGCTGGAAACCATCATTCTCAGCAAGCTAACACAGGAACAGAAAACCAGACACCACATGTTCTCACTCATAAGTGGAAGTGAACAATGAGAACATATGGACACAGGGAGGGGAACATCACACACCGGGGCCTGTTGTGGGGTGGGTGGCTAGGGGAGTGGTAGCATTAGGAGAAATACCTAATGTAGATGACAGGTTGATGGGTGCAGCAAACCACCATAGCACGTATATACTTATGTAACAAACCAGCACATTCTGCACATGTATCCCAGGACCTAAAAAATGTATAATTAAAAAATATATATATTTTGATATCCTTCCACTACATTCCAAAGTCTTCCCTAGCTGACCTTTAACTGAAGCAAAATTTTGACATTCATAATGACCCAAGGTATCAAAAAGAATAGAACTTTTTTAAAAATCAAATATTTATAAACACATTTATTATATTTTCAGAAAAGATAGAAAATTCCTGAAAAGCAGAAAGAAAAATTTAAAAATAATCCATAATTTTACCATCTATGGATAATGACTATTTACATTTTAATGTCTCTTTTCTTCAGGGCAGTATTTTATGCACAGTTTTATTTACATAATTATACCCATTGTCTATATGTAATTTTTATTTTTTTCTAGTTACTATTATATCATAAGCATTTTCTGCATTATACAGTCATTGTGAACACTGCCGTTTATGATTTCATAATGTTCCACACAAGGACTGTGGCCTGGATTATTTAACCAAACATTCATAATTTAAAATGCTTATCTCACTGTTACTTATGCTGTTATGATGTTGATCTTGATGAATAAACTCACACGTCCCCTACCCCCACCCACCATCAAAATTTTGGGTTATTTCATTAAGTGATACATTTCAGTGTGTAATTACTGCTCAATGGATGTGACCATTTTAAGACATTCAATACACATTTACAAATTACTCTCTTAAAAAAAGCCTATGCCAATTTACACTGAGCTGCAGTGTAAGAAAATTACTGCATTTTGCTACATTTTTGCTAATATGCCTATTATCATTTAGAAAGACTAGCTAATTTGAAAGGCACGAAATGTTGTTTTTATTTGCATGGCTTTGATCAGCAGATATTTTGAAAAAAAAAAACTGTCCACGTTTGTTAAACAGTGGCATTTCCTCTTTGGGAGAAATATCTGTGGTGTCTGTTCTTTACTCATTTGTTGGCCTATTATTATTATCTTTTACAGATTTGAATTAACTGAAAATTATAAATACATGATTCTTTTTTGTATTACTTCAAATGTATCTCCCTGCTTGTTGTTCTCCTTTTAAGTTTGATTAAGCTTTTTATGTACAGAAGATTAAAATTTTTTGTAATCACATCTGCCCATCTTTTCCTTTGTGAATTTTAAATCTCTTTTAATTCTAGACACTCCCTCTCTTTCCAGAAGCTTGACAATATTCATTTCTATTTTTTTACAGTTTATTTATTCTTTGATTTAAAAGAAGTCTTTGATCTGTTTGGAAATTGTTTCGGTACATAACATTGAAGGGAGTTTTCACATGGCTAGTCAAAGGTTCCAGTATAATTTATTCAACAATTTTGTTTTTTCTCTTATCATAGGTTAAATTTTCACATGTAATGAAGTATAATCTAGGCTATCTGTTATGTTTGGTTGGATCAATATACCACACTGTTTCAATCACTATATTTTCAAAGTCTGTTTAATTATCTGTTCATGTGAGTTTTGGGGTATGTATGGTTTGCCTCTGTGTCCCCACTCAAATCTCATCTCGAATTGTAATTCCCATGTGTTGAGGGAGGGACTTTGTGGGAGGTGATTGGTTCATGGGGGTGGTTTCCCCCATGCTGTTCTCGTGACAGTGAATGAGTTTTCATGAGAGCTAATGGTTTGAAAGTGTGGCACTTCCTTATTCTCTTGGTCTATTTCCTGCCGCCTTGTGAAGAAAGTCCTTGCTTCTCCTTTGCTTATGCCATGATTGTAAGTTTCCTGAGGCTTCCCAAGCCATGTGTAACTGTGAGTCAAGCAAACCTGTTTCCTTTCTAAATTACCTAGTCTAGGGTGTTTATTTATAGCAGTGTGAAAATGGAATAATACAGCGTGGTTCAAGTTTAAGGAGGGAAAACTGTTTTGAATCAGTTACGCTTCATTTTACTCTTTTTGCTTGACTCATAGTAAGAAACTATTCAAAGACAGCACCCATGACAATGAGATCCTTAACTGAGTGTCCTGTTTTTATTTTTGTTTATTTACTTATTTATTTTTCAGACAGGGTCTCACTGTATCACCCAGGCTGGAGTGCAGTGGTGCAATCATAGCTCACTGCAGCCTCTACATCCAGGGCTCAAGCAAACTTCCCACCTCAGCCTCCCATGTAGCTGGGTCCACAGGTATGTGCCACTATGCCCGGCTAGACTTTTGATTATTTTGTAGAGATGGGGCCTTGCTATGTTGCCCAGGCTGGTCAACATAAACAGACCCCAGGCTCTACAAAATCTCCTGGGCTCAAGTGACCCTCCTGCCTTAGCCTCCCAAAGTGCTGAGATTATAGGTGTCAGCCACTGTCCCAAGCCCCAATTTTTAAATATATATTTTCTCTTTTTTCCCTTTTTCTCCTTGCTTACTTTATGTTTAGTTTCTTGAAAATAAAATGGTAACCTTTGCTCTCTTTCCTTCCACCAGGTGCTCCCTTGCACAATGTCATTTTATCTAATTATATGTTTGTTTAGATGTTCCAGGGACTGAGTCTTAAAATAATCCAGGCCCGAGGTATGGAATTATTCCCCACCAGGCAATTACCTCAAGGCTGCAGTTAATTTACAACTTGATTGTGCCTAACATGGTGCCAGCCCATTCATCATGTGGGGCAATAACTCAAGATAAGTCATCAGAGCAAGTCATGTAGACCAGCACCTCCTCAGGCCTCCTGCATGTCCCCCATACCCAGCTCCCCTTTTTAAGTTCTTGCATTCTGTCCAAAATTCTAAATGATTTCTTTAAGGCATGAAGACTTGGCCATTTCCCTACTGCTAGTTCTGTATTAAAGTCACTTTCCTCTCACCACATTTCATCCTTGTTATTTGACTTTGCAAGAGGTGAGCAGCCAAACCTGTGTTTGGTTACACTCAGCACAAAGATAAAGAAGGAAGCCAATCCCAACGAGCCTCATATCCTTCTAATCTGATCTCTGACTCTTGAAGAGGATTTTGTGTCTAGATTTTCTTCTGCAGGCCACCTTGACTTGTGGGAGCTTAGTAGAAAGGATGACCTTCCTAGAGGTGGGTTTTATTCCTACCCCTATGATGGGCAGTCACTGTAGATCCCTTAGGCAACCAGAGGTTGTCCCTTTACTAACCATCCTTTTATTTACCTCTAGCTGAACTTTCTGCTTTCCTCTCCAGCCAGCAAACACTTCACCATTGGGGGTACTCACTGATATACTTTATTTTCCAGAGGATTTCATTTCTTCTCCATTTGAGGCTGATGCCCCTCCCAAGGGGCATCCAAAACCTTATACTTTAATCCTTTGAATACATTCTTATCTACTTTCTTCCAGACCTGATGATTTTCAGCTTTTTGTTACTTCTAATCTTGCTCATGCAATCTCAGGTCCTTTGCTACATACAGTGGGGCTTGGAAGAGCTATACTGGGAGGATACAGAATCCCTGATAGGGAGAGGAACCAAAGAGGTATTACAAAAGAATTCCTCCCTCCCCAGGCCATCTGAATGCAACTCCAGGTGTCCCAGAAGTTAAAGGAGCAATGTTCAATATACACACGGTCCACAATACTCAGGCAGGAGCCTCCTGCCGACAGGGCAAACAAACTGTGGGAAATTAATACTCCACACTATCTGCAGGCCAGCTCAGACATGTCATCCTCTCATTTAGCTATAGAACCTGCTCTTCTCTGTTTATTGTTTTGAAAGTTTAGGGTTCAGATTCTAAGAAGATATGCCTTTAAAAATTCTTCAGAACAGGTCCATGAAAAATCTGAGCAGATCGTATCACTGAGGATCAGGGTCGGCAAAGATACCATGTGCAGTAAATGTCCTGGGTAGGATTCATTCATTCACTTCTTCACTCATTCATTGGTTCGTTCGTTTATGTGGCAAATACTCCCCAAGCCCCTGCTGTATGGCAGGCATCATTCTCATTCTAGGAACTTGTGATCTAGTGGTAAAATTATTTATTACCTGGTGTAATGCCTCATGACATAGCTGAATTTCTACCCTGCCCTAATTCTGTTTAAGAAACAGGATACCTGTGATTAAAAAGTTCCCTTTGTAACCAGACCAACTGAGACTGATTAGTTGACTGAATGACCTGAAAAAGACCTCAGACTTCATTATAATCTCATTTCCATGCTAAGTGACACTCCCACCAGCGCCATGACAGTGGATAATTGCCATGATGACTGGAAGAAGCCGTAAAAGGAGAAAAAAGAAGGCAGCACCCCAGTTTCAGGAAGTTCACCACCCATTTCCAGAAAAGACATGAATATTCCTTCCCTCACTTTTAAGTCCAACGTCTTCATCAGAAAAACTGTATATTCTGAGTCCCTCACTCCTCACTAGTCAAGAAGTTGATTTGTGAACCAAGTTCCTCCTTCTTTTATTTTTATTTTTTATTTTTGAGACGGAGTCTCACTCTGTCACCAGGCTGGAGTGCAGTGGCGCAATCTTGGCTCACTGCAAGCTCTGCCTCCTGGGTTCAGGTGATTCTCCGGCCTCAGCCTCCCAAGTAGCTGGGACTACAGGCACCTGCCACCACACCCAGCTAATTTTTGTATTTTTAGTAGAGACGGAGTTTTACCATGTTAGCCAGGATGGTCTCCATCTCTTGACCTCGTGATCCACCCATGTTGGCCTCCCAAAGTGCTGGGATTACAGGCGTGAGCCACCGCGCCGGGCCCAAGCTCCTGCGTCTTAATTCCATGGCCATTGAGTAACGCCTGCACTGCTTGACGCTCACTTTCAGTTTTGTATATTGTCTTCATGGCGCCAAACAGGGAAAGACCCAATTTTGGGGGAAAGAATGGCTTTGTCAGTAACAAAATCAGGCTAGTCTAGTCTCTAGTCAAATCAAATGGAGGAGACAGGTAATACAATATGCTGTTTCTCCTTTTATTTTTTACTTTTCAATGATCTACGTACTTATAAAAATATGGAAATAAATTATTGTGGTTTATTGATAACCAGTGGGGATACCTTCCACACAGGCAACACTGTGGGGAGCTGCGTGGTGCCTATGTCTAGTGACTCTTCTATAAATGATTCTGCTCATCACTGCCTTTTGAGAAGGAATGGTTTCACACCCACTGGGAATCTGTAGCTGGAGTACTTTGCTAATAAAACAACCAAATAACAGATAATTGTCCAGCAGTTTTCCCCAAATGAATCAGAGAAACTGGAAGCTTTCAAAGCAATGGCAGAATCTTTGCTTGTAGATCCACCCAATGTGTCAGCTTGTTTGAAAGCAAAGAAAATATCTTATTTATTTCCCCTAAGGTGCTAAAAAAAAAAAGGGAAAAAATTGCTTGAACATTTAAACAAGGAACTTTCGAGATGAGTTATAAATGCTTTATGAGCTTTTATAGTTTGGAAATTCTTAATAATAAGCTACAATCTCTTGACTTCTTTATTTGATTCAAAAAATCTTTACTTAGCTGGGTGTGGTGGCTCATGCCTGTAATCCCAGCACTTTGAGAGGCTGAGGTGGGTGGATCGCTTGAGCCCAAAAGTTTGAGACCATTCTGGGCAACATCGTAAGACCTCATCTTTACTAAAAATTTTTAAAAAGTAGCCAGATGTGATGGTGCGCACCTGTGATCTCAGCTACTTGGGAGGCTAAAGTGGGAGGATCACTTGAGTCTGGGAGGTCGAGGCTGCAGTGCACTGTGATTGTACCACTGCAGTTCAGCCTGGGCAACAGAGAGAGACCTTATCTCAAGAAAAAAAAAATCTATTTAGTCATAGCTTATTATTAGCCTTGCATAGTGTTGGGCATATAGTAGGCCCTAAGTAAATTTTTTTTGAATAGGTCACTGTGACAGATTCTGAAGCTGTAAGACACTGCCATCAGCCTTAAGGAAATAATAACTTCGGATGGAAGATAGTCATGGAACAGCTAACTCTAATGCAATAATGGCTGATATTTATTGAGCTCAGACTGTATTCCAGGCACCATGCTAAATGCTTTATGCATAGTACCTCATTTACTTTTCACAAAAATCTTATGAAGTAGGGACTAGTGTTTTAGGAATGAGGACACAAATGCTGAGAGAGGTTTAAACAGCCACGATGTGGCTGTAAAATTAACCCAGACCTTTATGATTCAAATGTCCACGTGCTGGGTACCCAGTTGTATGGGCTCTCCTGTTGCACCTGTCACCTCCCAGCTATGAATGGCATCTTCAGGGAGTAGGACAGAGAGGGTAGTTTGTTGTCTTGGCACACGGGTTTAGAAAGCATTCATAGGAAAAGTGCAATTTCACTTGGCTGCTTGAAAATTCCCAGAGGGGGGTGAGCTGGGTAATTCAGCAAGCCATGTATTGAGATTTTTAAAACATGGGAAAGTGGACACCGTATTACATGATTTTGCTGCTAGTCTGGTTTTGACCTGGTGATCCCATCCTGGTAACTGTAAGTTCATCCATCTAACTGGGCTTCCTCAATCTCTGGGTTCAGAGGATAATTTGTCACCCTTTCAGCCCCTCTTCCCTGATTAGTGGCCAAGACTGTGTCCCTGACATCAAAATTTCTTACTTATCTAGATGTTGGGGTGTGTCCTTGTTACGGTCTCACCAATGCACCACAATGTAGCAGTCTCTCATTGTGAGGTATCACCCGGAGTTCTTTGTCTCACAACCAAGAGAATTAAGGAGCATGGACACAAAGGGCAAGGTTGGGGTGAAAGTTTAATAAGTGAAAGAAGAAAGCTCTCCACTGTGGAGAGGGGACCTGGAAGAGGGTTGCATTTTTACAGTTGAATGCAAAGGCTTTTATAAGAAACCAATGAGGGCTGGGCATCTCATTTGTATAAGGTGCAAATTTCTGGTAGCTCCACCCTGTCCCCCTAGTGTGCATGCGGGTCCTTAGCTTGAGTTACTCCATATTGCTTTGTTCTCCTTACTGCATATGTGTAAGGGAATGGAATTTTCCATTGTGGGCATGTATGGGCAAGTCACCTGTGTAGCCTTTCTTACCTGTGCAGCTGTGGGCATGTCTTAGGCAAACCCTTCTGTGCAAGTTCCCTTATCTGTGCCTGCAGGTTGTTCTTTTGTTTGGAAGAATTCAACCAAGGACCCATCCTAACTGCCCGCCTGACCAGTTTCTTTCTTTCTCCTCTCTCACCCTGCTCTGACCCTCCCTAGTCCATTTCTACCAGCAGGGAAAGGATGCTCCCTGCTCTGGTCATTTTGACCTTCCTATATCCATTTTTACTTCATGCTGGGCATGGATGGCTTTGGACAAAACTCCCATTTCAGTCACTGATATACCCATACTGGAAGACATGCCCAGTCAACTAGGCTTCCTCTCAGAGTCTGCAGCTGACTCCACTCTGCAATCCCATCACTGTGGACACCGGCCCAGTGGCTCCATCAAGTCCCAGCTAATGGTCTTTTCATTTCCTCTCTATCATGCACACAACATCGCTTCAAGCACTAATAGCTACAGCACTGCCCTTGGACCTGAGCAAGAAGGATTGTGGTGGTTCGAGGGCCCCGTCATGGTTCTCTGGCTGCATATCATCCTCCCTTTTCCAGGATGAAGAGTTGTAATGCCAAGGGAACATACATACCTGGGGACTCTTCTAGACCATAATCTGCTCATGAGAATTCTGCAATTTCTTATCCACATAGCCCCACGATCAATCAGTTTCAGCCCTGCAAAAACTTCTTCCTGTGTCTGACTTCTGGAGAGCGGACTATGCTGGTGTGTTCCTTCCTAGGCCTGATGGCTGGTAAAAGGTGCAGTTGTTTGAAGGGTGAGTGCGGGTGGAGCTTGGACATGCAAGCCAGGGTATCCACATGCTTCTATGTGAGGCTGTTGTGTGGGACAGAGCTGGAGGTGGGCCAAGGGCTGAGAGTTGGCTTTCCCCATGCACAAATCAAGTCTGATAATTCTACCTGAGGACCGGGCCTTCTAGGCTGTTATGAAGGTATATGTTGAGAGGAAAACATTTCCTCTACCAACTTAGGTTTAATGATCGAGGACCTGCCAATTAACTCACAGTAGACAAATTAACAGGAGAGAAGAAAAATTTTTTTTCACATGTGCAGGCAGGAGTACTTAGTGATGAGTAATTCACTGAATAGCCAGAGGTAAACGTTTTATACCAACTTAACAAAAGAAGGGAAAGAGTGTGGCTTGGGGCTTAGGTAGGAAAGTATAAAGGGTTCTATTGGGATTTTTGTTGCTAATGGCAGCTGAATTTGCACTTCCCAGTGCTAATGATTAGTCTTCTCCCAAACAGGAAACTCCCTTGGAGGTGGGTAAAGAGCAGTTTTATTTTTGGGAGGCTCTGCTCAAGTTCAGATAATTTTTCTGTGGCTGCTTTTTATTCAGATGTTTTCAGCTTAAGGTAATTTTTTTTACTACTTTGGTGGGCTGTTAATTCTTTCATATATTTATCAAGGAAGGAGACTAGAATATATTTTATTTAATAGTCAATAGCTTGATTTTCATTTTATAACTATTTGGACACATAGTATATGGGCCTCTATTTTTATTCTTGCTCTATGTCTTGAAAATGTTAGAGGTGGGCTTGGTGATTACATGGTTATCTTTCATGAATGGAATCCAAGTCTTGCTAATTTTATTTTCTACCAGGGAGGAGCATTTCATGGTGTGTGTCTTGACAACATGACAATGCTAGTCCTGGGCACTGCCACAAGAAGCCAGGTGGTACCAAGGCACCAGTTGTTAGATATTGGTGCATTCTGTCATTTGAAGATTGAAAAATCCTGGATGATTTTCTGTGTACATCCAGGAGCTACCGTTTGGTAGCTCATGGGACAGGGAAAAGATTTACTGCCTTGTGTATACAGAAAGGACCACATATCAAATGAGCAGGGACATCTCCCTCTCAAAGATCATCCCCTCCCACACAATACCACAAATCCCTACCATATATTAGGCATTACAGTAAGCTAAGCACCTTCCTACATAAATCATATCTCATGTTTATGGAATATTATTGGGCAACATATCATTCTCTCTTTTGAGTTAGGAATTCAGCAAGACTTGTTTCACAAGATACAGATCACAAAGACCCCACTGATAAAACAGGATGAGGTAAAGAAGCTGGCCAAACCTGTCTCACATGTCCATGTGAGGAGACCACCAAACAGGCTTTGTGTGAGCAACATGGCTGTTTATTTCACCTGGGTGCAGGTGAGCTGAGTCCAAAAAGAGAGTCAGCAAAGGGTGGTGGATTATCATTAGTTCCTATAGATTTTGGGATAGGCGGTGGAGTTAGGAGCAATGTTTTGCGGGCAGCGGGTGGATCTCACAAAGTACATTCTCAATGGTGGGGAGAACTACAAAGAACCTTCTTAAGGGTGGGGGAGATTACAAAGTACATTGATCAGTTAGGGTGGTGCAGAAACAAATCACAATGGTGGAATATCATCAGTTAAGGCTATTTTCACTTCTTTTGTGGATCTGCAGTTGCTTCAGGCCATCTGGATGTATATGTGCAGGTCACAGGGGATATGATCACTTAGCTTGGGCTCAGAGGCCTGACAAAACCCACCAAAAACCAAGATGGTGACAGAAACAACCTCTGATCATCTTCACTTCTGATTATATGCTAATGATAATGGATTAGCATGTTAAAAGGCACTCCCACCAGCACCAAGATAGTTTACAAATGCCATAGCAATGTCTGGAAGTTACCTTACATGGTCTGAAATGGGGAGGAACCCTCAGTCCTGGGAACTCCCTGCTCCTTTCCTGGAAAACTCATGAATAGTCCACTCCTTGTGTAGCATACAATCAATAAATAACCATAAGGAGAGTCAGTTAAGCCGCCCATGCTGCTACTCTGCCTATGGGTTAGCCGCCCTTTTATTCCTTTACTTTTTAATAAGTGTGCTCACTTTACTCTGTGGTTCACTCTTGAATTCTTTCCTGAATGAAGCCAAGAACCCTTAATGGTCTCCTGGACTGGGCCCCAATTTTGGGGTTTGTCCTGCCAACATTTTCTCCCTCAACCTCTTGGAAATAGCTTATATATAGGTCATATACTCTTATCACTTTGCTTTTGCTAAAAGATATTGTATTAGTTATATGTTGCTATATAACAAATTACCCCAAACCTAGTAGTTTTGAACAAGAGTATTTGTTATTTTATTTTATTTTTTAGAGATAGGGTCTCATTCTGTCACCCAGGCTGGAGTGCAGTGGCATAATCATAGCTCACTGCAGCCTGGAACTCCTGAGCTCAGGAAATCCTCCTGCTTGAGCTTCCCTAGTAGTTAGGGCTACAGGTGTACACCACCATGCCTGGCTAATTAAAAAAGACTTTTTTTTGTTTTGTGGAGATAGGATCTCACTATGTTGACCAGGCTGGTCTTGAATTCCTGCCCTCAAGTGATCCTCTTGCCTCAGCCTCGCAAAGCATTGGAATTACAGGTGTGACCCACTGCATCCAGCCACATCAGCATTTGGAATAGAGAAAATGTGGTATATATACACAGTGGAATACTATACAGCCTTAAAAAACAAGGAAATCCTATCATTTGTGACAACACAGTTTAACATAAAGGATATTATGTTAAGTGAAATCATCAGACACAGAAAGACAAATACTGGCTGGGTGCAGTGGCTCATGCCTATAATCCCAGCACTTTGGGAGGCTGAGGTGGGCAGATCACTTGAGGCCAGGAGTTCAAGACCAGCCTGGCCAACATGGTGAAACCTCATCTCTACAAAAATACAAAAATTAGCTGGGCATGGAAGCACATGCCCGTAATCCCAGCTACTCAGGAGGTTGAGGCAGGAGAATCGCTTGAACCTGGAAGGTGGAGGTTGCAGTGAGCCAAGATGGCACCACTGCACTCCAGCCTGGGTGACAGGGCGAGTCTCCATCTCAAAAAAAAAAAAAAAAAAAAAAAAAGAAGACAAATACTGCATGATGTCACTTATATGTCAAACCCCACAGAAGCAGAGAGTGAAATAATGGTTACTAGAGGCTGGGGTGAGGGGAAATTAGAGAGATGTTCGTTGAAGGACATAAAATTTCAATTAGATAGGTGGAATACGTTCAAAAGATATACATCATAGTGACTATAGCTAATAACAATATATTGTATACTTGAAAATGGCTGAGAGAGTAGATTTTAAGTGTTCTCACTACAAAACTGGTAAGTATATGAAATAATGCATATTTAAAATTGTTTGATTTAGCCAATCCACATGGTGTATATATATATATATATCAAAATGTCATGTTGTATACTCTAAATATATACAATTTTAACCTGCGAATTTAAAAAATCATAAAAAACAGGCTGGGCATAGTGGCTCACGCCTGTAATCCCAGCACTTTGGGAGGCCGAGGCGGGTGGATCACAAGGTCAGGAGAAAAGAGACCATCCTGGCTAACACAGTGAAACCCCGTCTCTACTAAAAATACAACAAAATTAGCCGGGCGTGGTGGTGGGCGCCTGTAGTCCCAGCTACTCGGGAAGCTGAGTCAGGAGAATGGCGTGAGCCTGAGAAGCGGAGCTTGCAGTGAGTCGAGATGACGCAAATGCACTCCAGCCTGGGCGGCAGAGCAAGACTCCGTCTCAAAAAAAACAAAAAAAAAACACAAAAAAAACATAAAAAACAAAAATCATAACAAAAAACACAATAGCGTTTATGATCTTACAATTTCTGCGGATAAAGAATCTGGGAGTGACTCAGCTGGGTCCTTTCACCAGGAGACAATGAAGGTGTGAGCCAGGGCTGCAGTTCCCACAGGGTTTGGCTGGCGGAGGGTCCTCTTCTGAGCCCACCCACACTGTTGCTGGTGGGATTCACTTCATTTCTTCATTGGCTATTGGACCGAGGGCCTCTGCTCTTCATGGGCTGTTGGCTGGAAACTGCCCTCAGTTATCATTTAAACTCTAAACTAAATTTATCCCAAAATTAGCTTCTCCCAAACCCAGGAATAAGTAAGGGCAGTTTGGAGGTTAAGGGCAGGATGGGAGTTGGTTAGACCAGATCTCTTTCACTGTCATCATTTTCTCACTGTTTTAATTTTTTATTTATTTTATTTATTTATTTATTTAGAGATGGAGTCTTGCTCTGTCGCCCAGGCTGGAGTGCAGTGGCGCGATCTCGGCTCACTGCAATCTCCGCCTCCCGGGTTCAAGCGATTCTCCTGCCTCAACCTCTGGAGTAGCTGGGACTACCGACGCCCGCCACTACGCCTGGCTAATTTTTGTATTTTTAGTAGAGACGGGGTTTCACTACGTTGGCCAGGTTGGTCTTGAACTCCTGACCTCAGGTGATCTGCCTACCTCAGCCTTCTAAAGTGCTGGGATTACAGGCATGAGCCACCACACCCAGGATCACTGTTATAATTTTTGCAAAGGTGGTTTCACTCTTACCAGGTATATGGCCCTGAGCAAATGATTTGTCTATTCTGAGCCTTTGTTTTCTTGTGTGTAAAATGATCATAAGACAAATCCTTTACTCACAGCATTGTTAAGAGGAATACATGGGTTCATGTATGCAAAGATGGAAGCACGGTGCCTAACATGTAATAAATGGTTCACCAATATTAGCTGTTATCATCATGACTATCAAGAAGTTCTCCCTGATTACCTAAAATGCCACAGATATATATTGATAGCTGCTATTCATTGGAGTAAACAGTTCACCTTATTCATATATTTTATTTTATTTTTAGGTGTTTAATATCCCTAACTTACAAATAACACAACTCTCTAAGCCCTAGGGAGGCTAAGAATTTGCATAATATCATATCACCATTCAGCAACAAAGCCAGGATTCAAACCCAGGTTTCTGGTTCTAGCTCTCATTGCTTTCAGCTTCACGGACCTGCCTTCACCGCTTTCTATGGGTGTGGAGTAGCTCAAGCCTTCAGCACCACCGGCCTGATACCCGCTTATATAAAACATCTCATTTTCTTAACTTGGGGAGCATGGTTAGCCCAAGCAGAGGTTTCTCTTCATCCAGGATTCCCAGGACACCAAGACAACTGAAACTTTTAAAATTTGTACTATTCCTTAATTTTCCTTTTTAAATTCTAACACTGCAGACTGAAAAAGCCAGGCCTCTCTTTGGAGGTCCACATAACTCTCAGTGAGAGCATGTGAGAGATTGGAAGCATGGGTTTGCAGTCAAATTCTCTGGGTCTCCCGCAGCCTGGCCAGCGTTTCATCACCTACAGCCTTGGGACTGCATGTCTGAGGCTGAATCATGGGAGAGGGAGAGGGCTGGGTATAAATTCCCCCACTCCCTGTCAGTGATGCTGGGCCTCCGGGGGCACTGTAGAGATGTAGTTCATTAAGGAATTACCTCGGTGGTAATGTCTTCCACTGAGAAGTGCTATTCTGCCGGGGCCTCCTAAGGGGTAGCTGAAAGTGTTTCATTTCTATTCATTCTATTCTCTGGATGCCTCCATTTAATGAGGTCTTTACTTTTGCCTTTAAAGACTGCTCTCACCCCTGTGGAGTCTAGCTGTTAGCTGGAATTTGAATACAGAAGGGAGTCAGGACAGAACAAGGAAAAAGCCCTGAAGGTCAACCCCCAACACACTTAGAAGGAGCTGGCTGTCTCTGGCTCCCCATCTCTGGCCAGTCCCACTTCTGCCTTTCATGACAATCCAAATTTGGTGTCTCAGAGGCTTCCCACTTACTGGTTGTACCTGTCCCAGTTCCAGGGCAGACTTCCTCCGGGGCCAGGAGTTTATTAATAGTCTCCACCCTATGGGACCAGTGGAGATCAGATGCATTCACATTTTCAGAAAATAGAGCCCACATGACAGCTGGGCCTCTGGCTGCCTCCCTTGTCCCTGCAACTTCCCCAGCTCTCTTGCTGGCAGTCAGACACCAGTTACTGAACTCAGAGCTGCGGGAGACCCCTGGATGCTCACATAATCTCAAAGGCAGCACTTTTGACATGTGGGGCTGTATGGCAGGTGCACCTGACAACAATAACTTAAGCATACCCTGAGAATGACCCTATGGTCTAAGAAAATGTGTGTTTGGGGTCCCAAGCTAAGGAATCCAGGAGTGGTCAATCTGGAGAATCACTCTTTATGCATGAAGGACATCGGAACCCCCTGGTCCATTCCTTGCAATGCAGGTCGTGCAGGGGACAAAGGCCCTGTGTTTTCCGTTAAATGGAGGTTGCTAGGTGGAGGGTACTAGGGGGAGGGTGCTAAGTGAAGATTGCTGTAATCACCCAGTGGGTTCACCTTGCCCGCTGCATCGACAGAACCAATTTATGAAGACAGGGGAATTGCGATGGAGAAAGAGTAATTCATGCAGAGCCGGCTGTGTGGGAGACTGGAGTTTTATTATTACTCAAATCGGTCTCCCTGAGGATTCAGGAATCAGAGTTTTTAAAGATAATTTGGTGGGTAGGGGCTCGGGAAGTGAGAGTGCAGATTGGTCAGATTGGAGATGGAATCATAGGGGGTTGAAGTGAGGTTTTCTTGCTGTCTTCCGTTCCTGGGTGGGATGGCAGAACTGGTTGAGCCAGATTACTGGTCTGGAAGGTGTCAGTGGATCCATCGAGTGCAGGGTCTGCAAAACATCTCAAACACTGACCTTAGGTTTTACAATAGTGATGTTATCCCCAGGAGCAATTTGGGGAGGTTCAGACTCTTGGAGCCACAGGCTGCGCGACCCCTAAACTGTAATTTCTAATCTTGTAACGAATTTGTTAGTCCTGCATAGGCAGACTGGTCCCCAGGCAAGGAGGCCTTTTTGGGAAAGGGCTGTTATCAATTTTGTTTCAGAGTCAAACCATGAACGGAGTTCCTTCCCAAAGTTTGTTCAGCCTATGCCCAGGAATGAACAAGGACAGCTTAAAGGTTATAAGCAAAATGGAGTTGGTTAGGTCTGATTTCTTTCACTGTTAGAATTTCCTTAGTTATAATTTTGCAAAGGCAGTTTCATGGCTAAATAAACTGAATGCTTTTTACAAACGGCAGTGGTTTTCCTGTCCAGCCCGCTGTTCCTGGACTGCCCTGTCTGTAACTCTCTAATAAACTCTATGTCTCTGTCTCCTTTGCACGTTTTAGGTCTCTTCTTCAGTTTCTTGGACACAGTGTTGGAGTCAACAGGGATGTGGCACAACAGGGACTTCACCCAATGCAGATTCCTTTCGAGAAACTGGGCCTCCAGCTTGTTCTACCAGTCATGTGCTGGTCCTCCCAGGGGCCTGCTCTGTGCCCCGAACCCAGCTCTAGCCTCAAACTCCACTTGGGCCTAACTGTCTAGAGTGCTAGGATACCCTTCAATCCTCAGCAACTGGGTCAACAGGGAGGAGAAGGAAGTGAAGAGCAGGCATGATGGAAGACGGAACACTACCATGAAGTTAGGCTGACCCCTTGTCCATCTACAAAAGAGTGACAAACTCAGGTGTGGGCAAACCTATCAGGAGCCGTTTAGGAGTTAATGCAGAAAGCCAGGCAGGCGTTGGCATCAGAGGTCTTGGAGAGACTTTTTCTTTTAACATCACTTTTTTTTTTTTTTTTTTTGATACAGAGTCTTGCTCTGTTGCCTAGGCTGGAGTGCAATGGCGTGATCTTGGCTCACTGCAACCTCTGCCTCACTGGCTCAAGTGATTCTCCTGCCTCAGCCTCCCAAGTAGCTGGGACTACAGGCACATGCCAGCATGCCTGACTAATTTTTTTTTTGTATTTTTAGTAGAAACAGGGTTTCACCACGTTGATCAGGCTGGTCTCGAACTCCTGACCTCAAATGATCCTGCCTGCCTCAGGATCCCAAAGTTAATGCTACTTCTTAATGCCGCTATCATCTGATGCTAAATACATGGCTCTTCATTCTATCTTGATTCTGGCATTACCCAGGAAGCTTTTGAGATTTCAGAAGTCTGGTCCCCACACCCAGAGACTGGGAATTAATTGGTCTGGAGTAGGGCCTGGGCACTAGCATTTTTGAAAAAGTCCCCAGGTAATTCTTTTTTGTTTTTGTTTTTGAGACAGAGTCTTACTATATTGCCCAGGCTGGAGTGCAGTGGCATAATCTCAGCCCACTGCAGCCTTGACCTCCCGGGCTCAAGCAATCCTCTCACCTGTTTGAAATGCTTGTTCCCTGGTGCCATAAAGAAATAGCACTTGCACATAAATTTAATTTATTTAGTAAGGCCATTTTTACTTCCTGCAGAAAGGGTACACTCGCCAGCAGTTTCGCCACGAGAGTACACCGAACAAAGGAGACAGGGTCATTTACAACCTGACGCGTCCACCCTACTGCTATGTCTGGTTTCCGTTGGCTGGAATGGGACCTTACATTCTGTATCTGTCCGACTGGCTAGCAACTTAGAACTTTTTAAAAGAGGCAAAGGTAGAGGAGAACAAAGGAAGGAGGAGGTAACTTGTGGAATGCTGAGAAAGGTAAAAACACTTTTAAATAAGGAAGAGGAGCAGGCTATGACCTAATGCTTGCTTGGACCAGTATAAGCATGCTAGGGCAAATATTTAGGTGCCCAGGTTTTTGAATAAATTTTGCTTCTAAGAGAAGTTACCATTTATTCCTAATTAGACGGGGAGGGAAGTCTTTGAAGAGGAACCTCTACTTTACTTTTTACACACCTCAGCCTCCTGAGTGGCTGGGACTATACATGTGCACCACCACACTCAGTTAATTTTTAAATATTTTTGTAGACATGAGATTTCACCATGTTGCCCAGGCTGGTCTCGAACTCCTGGGCTCAAGTGATCTGCCCTCCTGGGCCTCCCAAAGTGCTGGAATTTCAGGTGTGAGCCACCGCGCCCAGCTCCCCAGGTAATTCTAATGGATAAGTACTGACGGTCGTGGAAACTACTGGCCTAATGAAAGTAGGATTTAGGGTCAGCAGGACTGGGGGCTCTAGCTCTGGCAGAAAACTAGAATATGAGACAGGAAAAGAAAACACAAACCTCATCCCAGTAACTAGGCCATCCTAGATAAGTTTGGTGATTTCTTCCAGACCCATGGGTTATAGTCCATTTCAGATTTTCTTTTCCCACCAAGTGATAAGGCTGAGGTTCCTAGTGGATCTCTAGATAAGGGCACTGCTGATTTTCAAATGTTCCTCCTGCCTCAGCCTCCTGAGTAGCTGGGACTACAGGTGCGTGCCACAATGCTGGGCTAATTTTTTATTTTATTTCTTGTAGTGATGGAGTCTTACTATGTTGCCCAGGCTGCTCTTGAACTTGTGGGCTCAGGTGATTCTCCCCCTTCAGCCTCCCAAAATGCTAGGATTACAGGCGTGAGCCACCGTGTCAGAGGCGTGTGAACCAGAGCAACTCCATCTTAAATAGGAGCTGGGTAAAATGAAGCTGTTGGAGTAGCCATTCTTTTACTCCTTTACTTTCTTAATAAACTTGCTTTCACTTTGTCCTGTGGACTCACCCTGAATTCTTTCTTGCGTGAGATCCAAGAACCCTCTCTCTGGGTCTGGATGAGGACCCTTTCCTGTAATAGTCGTGCCCGGTCCCTGGTAAGTTTTTGTTAAAGGGACTGGACTAACCTAAATTTAGGATTGAGAGATCCACTTGTCACACACGGATGAGTCAGGGCCTGGCATTTTGGTAACATCACTATTCCCAGTACAATTACATCCTTAATATTTTTCCCTGATATGAAACCCTTTCTGAAGTCTCTTTTAAATTGTTACAATAAGAGGAGGCTATAGACCTGGGATTCAGGGAAGATAAAATGAAGCATTTAAGAGCCTCCTTCTTTTGAGGGAAATGGGCCAAGTACATTCTTTTTACAAAGTTAACCAGGAAAGAAAAGCATCTGAAGATAAACCCTGCAAACGATGGTGATGCGAAGAGAGGGGATTGAGCCTGGAACGTGGCGTAGGAGGTAAGCCATGCTAATGGCCAAACAATGATCAATTAGTTTGCGGAGTTGAGCGACTATTGGGTTTGCTACCAACCGTATCCGAGTGAGAGCTCTTCAGGGACACCGAATGGCTGTCAGTCCTCAGAATGAAGCTGTGTGAGGCCGCCGATGCCTTTGGCCGGTTTCGATGAGCAGATGTCGCCTGACTGTAGCTCAGCCTCATTTCCATACCAGCAGCTCGTGCTCTGCCCCAGGCAATCTCTGAGCAAAGGCCTCTGCTTCCCCAGAGCTCACCAAGCCTTGGTTCCAGGTGAGAATGGATGGAGGCTGCAGGGGATGCTTCTAAAACTATTTTTTTTGGGGGAAAGGAATAAACAAACTGCCGAATCCTACACTTTTCTCATTGGTGACATGTTTTCCCTTACGGGCTTGCTTTTTGCTGGGACGGTATAAAGAATTGTATATTCATTCATGTAAAATACTTATCAAGTGCCTAATTTGGGTTTAGGATGTTTCTTTGGCACAACACACATGCTTCTTGCCTTCAGAGTGTGTGTAGTCTAGTGGGAGACAGAATGTAATCAAGTATGGCAATAAATAAATAAATCCAGTTTCAGATAACCATAAGAGCTACAATAATAATAATAATAATAATACATGGTGACCCAGGTACCAAGAAGAAGTCAGCACAAGCAACCAAAGAAAAATAGTTACATTGGACTTCATCAAAATTAGAATTTTCTGGCACAGTACAGTGGCTCACACCTGTAATCCCAGCACTCTGGGAGGCTGAGGTGGGAGGATCGGTTGAGGCCAGGAGTTTGAGACCAGCCTGGGTAACACAGTGAGACCCCCATCTTTTTTAAAAAAAAAATTATAATTTTTTTTTTGTCTTGCCATAAAAGTGATGCAGTGGAAAAGACAATTTTTTTTTAAAGTCCAGGAGTCTGGCTAGCTCTCCAAAGGAAATATACAAATGACCAATTAGCACATGAAAAGTTGTTCAACATCTTTAGCCATCAGTAAAACATGATTTAAAACCAAAATAAGCTACCACTTCACACTTTCTAGCATAGCTATAATTAAAAAGACAGACGATAACAAGTGTGGACAAGGATGTGGAGAAATTGGACCCTTCATATTCCACTGGCAAGAATATAAAATGATGCAGCTTGATACGATTTGGCTCTGTGTCCCCACCCAAATCTCACCTTGAATTGTAATAATCCCCATGGGTCCCTGGGAGGGACCTGGTGGGAGGTAATTGAATCATGGGGGTGGGATTTTTCCCCATGCTGTTCTGTGATAGTGATTAAGTCTCACAAGATCTGATGGTTTTGCAAAAGAGCAGTTCTCCTGCATGCACTCTCTTGCCTGCTGCCATGTAGGATGTCCCTTTGCTCTTCCATCATCTTCTGCCATCATTGTGAGGCCTCTCCAGCCATGTGGAACTCTGGGTTCATTAAACCTCCTTATTAATTAGCCAGTCCCAGGTATGTCTTTATTAGCAGCATGAGACTGGGCTAATACACAGCTACTTTGGAAAACAGTCTGGTGGTCACCAAAACTTAAACAAAGCACTCCTGGGGCTGGGTGTGGTGGCTCATGCTGGTAATTCCAGCACTTTGGGAGGCTGAGGCAGGCAGATCACTTGAGGTCAGGAGTTGGAGATTAGCCTAGCTAACATGGTGAAACCCTGTCTCTACTGAAAACACAAAAATTAGCCAGGCATGGCAGTGGGTGCCTGTAATCCCAGCTACTCAGGAGGCTGAGGCAGGCGAATCGCTTTAACCCGGGAGGCGGAAGTTGCAGTGAGCCGAGATCATGCTACTGCACTCTAGCCTGGGCGACAGATCAAGGCTCCGTCTCAAGAAAAAAAAAAAAAGCACTCCCACATGACCCAGTAGGTCCACTCCCAGGTGTATACTCAAGAAAAATGAAAACACACGTCTGTACAAAAATTGTGTGTGAATATTCATAGCAGCACTGCTCATAGTAGTCAAAAATGGAAACAACGTGGATGTTCATCAACTGGTGAATGGATCAGTAAAATGTGATCTATCCATACAATGGAACATTATTTAAATGGCAATAAAAAGTAATGAAGTGCTGATGTGTGCTATGCCATGGATGAATCTTGAAAACATATACCAAATGAAACAGTCCACTTACAAAATATCACATATTGTATGACTCTCTTTATATGGAATGTCCAGAACAGGCAAAACTATAGAGACAGAAAGTAGATTAGGGGGTTGGGTGCAGTGGCTCACACCTGTAATCCCAGCACTTTGGGAGGCTGAGGCGGGCGAATCACCTGAGGTCGGGAGCTTGAGACCAGCCTGGCCAACATGGTAAAACCCTGTCTCTAGTAAAAATACAAATAAATAAATAAATAAATAAATAAATAAATAAATAAAAATTAGCCAGACATGGTGGCATGCACCTGTAGTCCCAGCCTGTAGTCCCAGTTTGAACCAAGGAGGTGGAGGTTGCAGTGAGCTGAGATCAGACCACTGCACTCCAGCCTGGGTAAGAGTGAGACTCCATCTCAAAAAAAAAAAGCCCCAAAAAACCAAAACCAAACCAAAACAAAACAAAAACAAAAGAAAACTAGATTAGTGGCTGCCAATGGGTAGGGTGAGGGTGTGGGGAGGAGGAGAATGACTGCTAATGGGTATGGAGGTTTTTTGGTGTGTTGCGGTGATAACAATGTTCTCAAATAGATTGTGGTGACAGTTGCACAACTTTGTGAATATAGTAAAAACCATTGAACTGTAGGCTTTAAATAGGTTAATTGTATTCATGTGAATTATAGCTCAATAAAGATGATAAAAGGAGGCAGAGGAGGAGGGATCTCCTCTTTCACCAGCTGTGGAAGCATTAAGGATTCTGTGCAGAGAGAACAGAGAATGCAACTTTCCTGGATTTTCTGTCTAATACTTTTTGATGTAATTGAAAAGAACCATGGGTTTGGGAGCCAGGCACATCAGAGTTCGAGAACCATTTCCACCATTGACCATGACTAACTTCCTTCAAAGTGATTTTTTAAGCCTTCTTTTATAAGATGTGATGTCACATTTGGATTCTGTTACATTCCTCCAGTGAATACTATTTGTAACTTGCATTAACTTGATTAGGTGGGTAGCAGCTCAAATCTCAGTTTCAATATTCTATATTCAAATCAGCTGCTTGCAGTCTGTCTCACGCGTGAATGGTTCAAACACCAGTCAGAGGCTTGGGCAGGGTTTGCACACAATTTAGGGTTCTTCTCTGGCTCTCATTTTTTGTTTTTTGTTTTTTGTTTTTTTTGAGATTCCCTTTTTATTCTTCAACATCCATGGTTGCCCAGTTTTTACATCCTTGTTACATAAGCCAAAAAGTAAGTGGGCTTTCTATAATTTTGGCTTCCTTACATTATGACTGGAGTTTGTCATCAGGGCAAAATCCCACTAATGGAAAACTCAACTCATAAAGATTCCTTCTTTCCAAGTTTTGACTTCCCTCCAAAATCTCTTGCTTTTCTTCATGCTCCAGAGGTCTCAGGTGGTTGTTTTGGGGAGGATTTTGTCCAGAGCTTATAGCTGAGTTTGGTAGGAGGATCAGTATGTTGAAAGGTTACTCTTCCACCCTGGAAGTGGAACCTAGCATTTAGCTATAGGTGGAAAGTGCACGGAACCCTTGGATAAGTCTGGCCCAATGTAGTCTTGAACAACAATTACTATATATATGTGACAGAGCAGGAGCATCACCATCTTGGACAAGCACCACCATTCTAAAGTTCACCTTGGTCAAAAACTGCCTAAATCCAAAGTGCATCAGCCCAATGGCTAAGGTCAGCATGACCATAAACCACAAATGACATCTCTGACGAGAAATTTTCCAACATAATATAAGCTCCTCCCTGACCAGAGATATGCCAGCCCTGAGATAACCTGCCCTCCAACCAAAGACATTCCAACCCCACTGTAAACTTCTCCCCAACACAGAAACATTCCAAGCCTTTAATAAACTCTCTCACCAATAAATACTGTTAGTTTGTAAGGGAGAGTGCTCCTGACTGAAATCAGCCAGAAGCCCCTCTCAGGTTTATTCTCCAAAATAAACCTGTCTTTGTTGAGGAGCTTTTCATGTTTCTTTCATCTTTCTTTAACTCTTACAATATGTTTTTTCTTCTTCAACTTTTATTTTAAGTTCCAGGGTACATCTGCAGGATGTGCAGGTTTGTTACCTAGGTAAACATGTACCACTGTGGTTTGCTGCACAGATCAACCCATCACTTATGTATTAAGCCCAGCATCCATTAGCTATTCTTCCTGATGATCTCCTTCCTCCCCTCCACCCCCCAACAGTCCCCACAGTGTGTCATTCACCATCATGTGTCCATGTGTTCTCTCTATATGTTTTTAATTTTAAAAATGTTTGTGTAGAAACAGGGTCTCTCTATGTTGCCTAGGCTGGTCTCAAACTCCTGGCCTCAAGTGATCCTCCTGCCTTGGCCTCCCAAAGTGCTGGGATTACAGATATAAGCCACCATTCCTGGCCCTAACAACAATCAGTATTAATTATCCTAACCATAATAGTGTGTGAGATAAATATTATTACCATTGTTCCATTAAAGGATGAAGGCTCAGAGATGTTAGGCAATTTACATAGCACCTTATAGCTAGTAATTGGAATGTTATTAAATGAAGTAAGTATCAATTTGGAAATTTGGGTAAATATTTCCATTCCTATTCTTCCTCGAATTTTTTTTTTTTTTTTTTGAGATGGAGTTTTGCTCTTCTGGCCCAGGCTTGGAGTGCAGTTGTGTGATCTCAGCTCACTGCAACCTCCACTTCCCAGGTTCAAGCGATTCTCCTGCCTCAGCCTCCTGAGTAGCTGGGATTACAGGTGACCACCACCATACCCGGGTAATTTTTTGTATTTTTGATAGAAATGGGGTTTCACCATGTTGGCCAGGCTGATCTCAAACTCCTGACCTCAGGTGATCCACCCACCTCAGCCTCCCCAAATGCTGGGATTACAGGCATGAGCCACCTTGCCCGGCCTCTTCCTTGAATTTTGAGTGACCCTGCGTGTCCCTGAATGTCTAATCTTCATTGATTTCTATCTGTAAATGGGGATTTATTATTGTGCTTCTGAACCCTTGTGGTTTCTTTTTAATTAGGATAAATGAACTTGAAGATGTTATTGAGGTGTGCAGCTCAGGTTCAGTTCAGAAGCAGATACAGTAGCTAACAATTACTATTTAAATGGGGATAAGAGTAGGACCCGCAGATCCCTCAAAATTTCTAATACATTGCCACAAAGACCCCCAGCTCCTCCCCTTTATTCTCTATGTAGCTTTGATAGGTAATTTTCCCTTTGAGTCTTAGTTTCTCCAACTGCAAATTGGGTTTAATAATTCCCAAATCCCCAAACTTGGAGAAAATCCAGGGAGAAAGCTGACTTTCACATGTCTGACATTATACTTCACCAATGATAGGAAATAGATTTAAGTTGACAGAATTAGAATTAGTGGTCTCTATCTGCACTTCAAAGAGAGAGGAGACAAAATTCAATTGTGCCAGGGAGGTCAATAGTTTCTCTTTGCGTTCTCCCATGATGCAGTTTTCTTTTTCAGATGGCTGGGAGTGAGGCTTCCACTTGGCTGGGAGGCCAGTCCCCAGACAGCAAGCTACTGTGTACTCCTTCCTCCTTGCTGTCACATACCACCACTTCCTCTCTAGAGTGGCCTCAGGCTTTGGTAAATGGTTAGGCTGCTGACAAAGCTGCAGGTAGTTTCTGGGGAAGTGGCTTCTTCTTATTATTTAAGGCTTCATTTTTATTTTATATTTTCTTATCCTTGTCCTGCCCCAGGGAAGGAAGAACCCTCACACACACAATGTGCTTGCAATGGACCAAGCCATAGAAAGTAGAATCTGTAATTCCCCGGTGTCTCTAGAGATGGACTTGAATAAACAGGATTCTTTGTGTATAATCATTTGGATGCACAAAAGATTATATCATGGAAATATGTCATGGAATTATATCATGGAAATATCGACTCATCTAGGTTCTATTATCCCCATTTAACACATAAGGAAACTGAGTATCAGATGTTGTGACTTGTGCAAGGCCTCACAGCTTTTTTTTTTAATTTTTATTTATTTATTTTTTTTTGAGATGGAGTCTCGCTCTGTTGCCCAGGCTGGAGTGCAGTGGCGCGATCTCAGCTCACTGCAAGCTCCGCCTCCCGAGTTCACACCATTCTCCTGCCCCAGCCTCCCGAGTAGCTGGGACTACAGGCGCCCGCCACCTCGCCCAGCTAATTTTTTGTATTTTTAGTAGACACGGGGTTTCACCGTGTTAGCCAGGATGGTCTCGATCTCCTGACCTCGTGATCCGCCCGCCTCGGCCTCCCAAAGAGCTGGGATTACAGGCGTGAGCCACTGCGCCCGGCCCAGCCTCACAGCCTTTTAGCACAGAGCCGTCACATGTTAACGTGACTTGGAAGGAGGAAGTGTCCTTAGATAATGATCATTTCTTCAGACTCTTCCTTTGGCTTTTACCTATGATTTCGTAGCTACAGTCTAGATTAGTGACTTAATCTGATATTTTCTGGGAGATTTGGCCTTGGAGTTGTTTGTATGGGAACTTGGACGGTGAGAACCAAGTGTGTGCATCCATTTTTGTGTGTTTTATATGTGTCTGCAGGGCTATGCAAGAATAGACTTATCCTAAGCTATCAGTGTCAGGTCTATTTATGTTCACCATTGTATTGCTGGCATGTAGCTCCTTTTCCTGCAATAACACAGCTGCCTCCTTCCCAGTACAATTTTGTCCCGTCTCCTGTATGCCCAAGAACCATACAAACAAGTAAAGATGTACGGCAGAATTTGCAGTCAGAGCCTTTTGAAATTCCAAGTGAATTCCCTCCAGCTGAAAATCCCAACCCCCAGACAGGCACACCTCCCCCTCTGCGCTGTTCTGCTGCAGAAGGATTTGTCTGGGAAGGTCTCTGAGTCCACGTCTGTTTGATGACAGCTGTCCAAGTGTAAGAGGTATTATGCATTTGGAAAATGAGTTATTTGGCTGAGTTGATGGTGTGTGACCATGAGTGGCAGATGTCTGTTTTTGTGCTGGGCATTACACCCTCACTTCTTCTGGTTTCCAAAGCAGACATGTTGGAAAGAGATGGATGTGATGTAAACACCATTCCTCTTTGTAGGAAAGAATAACATTATTCTGAGTGTGATAAGTCCTGCCATGAGGGCCTCTGCACCCTAAAGATGGTCCCCATCTTCTGCCTTTCTGAAAGCCTTAATGGTTTATCTCCTTGACTTTTTCACCTGTGGAAGTCCAGAGGACCAGTGGGCACTGAAGTATACCCTTGCAAACCACATCTCTGAGCCCTTCATGTGGAGCCTGTCCAAAGCAGACATTTCCCTTCAGAGCTGCAGTATCTGCTCTAGCCCTGGTCTGATACAGGCAGAATGGTCTACCTGGTGGGTTATTTTGGATGAAGTTGTGTCAGAGGCATTTGAACCAGAGTGACTCCATCTTGAATAGGAGCTGGGTAAAATGAGGATGAGCTCTATTGGGCTGCATTCCCAGGAGGTTAGGCATTCTTAGTCAACAAGATATTTACAGTAAGGGGAACAAGTTTATTGTGTTTACCAAACAGACCCAGGTCTTAACAGACCAACATCTTAAGAACAAAAGCATTCTTAGTTTAATAATAAGTTTTGCTTTAAAGATAATAATATAGATTCTTGCAGAAGACAGTAGTTGCACAAAGATATCAATCCTTTGTCATAAGCCCTCGTAGTAGAACACATGCCACCCATGATTTTTTGCTTAGTTGTCTTATATATAAAGAAGCATTATATCTAAAGCAGCCATGTTCCTTCTTTTGCTTTCAGAAAGACTTGTTCTGTCTATGGACTGGAGCAGCTATTCTTTCATCTCCTTTCTTTCTTTTCTTTCTTTCCTTCCTTCCTTCCTTCCCTTCCACCCCTCCCTTCCCCTCCCTTCCCCTCCCTTCCCCTCCCTTCCCCTCCCTTCCCCTCCCTTCCCCTCCCTTCCCCTCCCTTCCCCTCCCTTCCTTTCCCTTCCCTTTCTTTCTTTTTTTCTTTCTTTCTTTCTTTTTCTTTCTTCTTTCTTTTTTTCTTTCTTTTTCTTTCTTTCTTTCTTCTCTCTTCCTTTCTTCTCTCTTCCTTTCCTTCTTTCTCAGGGTCTCACTCTGTCACCTAGGCTGGAGTGTAGTGGTGTGAACACGGCTGACTGCAGCATTGGCTTCCTGAGCTCAGGCGATCCTCCTGCCTCAGCCTCCTGAGTAGGTGGGATGACACATGTGCATCCCCATGCCAGGTTAATTTGTTTTGCATTTTTGTAGAGATGGGGTCTTGCTATGTTGCCCAGGTTGGTCCCAAATTCGTGGGCTAAAGGGATCCTCCCACCTTGGCCTCCCAAAGTGCTCCTCCCTTTTGGAATTCAGGAAAAGCTGACCAGCACTTAATATCCGCACAGACCTTAAGTCTGACAAGCTAAGAAACATTTATAATTGATTCTTTCTAAAGACTGCTATCTGGAGGTTTCATCTGCATGATTAAACTTTGGTCTCCACAATCCTTTACTGTAACCTAGACACTTCTTTCTATTAATAATAACGCTTTCAATCAATTGCCAATCAGAAAACTTTTAACCTGGAACCCTCCCCTGCCCCCTACCCCCTGCCGAGTTGTCATGCTTTTCCAGATAGAACCAATGTAAATCTTACACGTGTTTGATTTATGTCTCATGACTCCCTAAAATATCACTGTGCCCCGACCACCTTGGGCACATATTCTCAGAATCTCCTGAGGGCTGCGTCATAGACCATTGGTCACTTATATTTGGCTCAGAATAAATCCTCCAATATTTTCCAGAGTTTGACTCTTTTCATTGATATTTTCTTAATAAACTTGCTTTCACTTCATTCAGTGGACTCGCCCTAAATCCTGTCTTGTGCAAGATCCAAGAACCTTCTCCTGGGGTCTGAGTTGAGACAGCTTTCCAGTAATAGTTGTATTGAAAGAAATCAAAATATTTTACCCCAAAATATATTTCTTGGACATGTTTTGAAATGGCTGCAGCGAGGCCAGCAGACAGGAGTGGCCTTGTAAACTTTCTTCTGCAGGGGAAATTTGCATCTGTAGAGAATCTCCAATAATGCAGCCAGGCCTTTCCTGGATCCAGGAGAGATTAGAGTCTGGAATCTTAAAAGTCTGAAAATAAACATTTTCATCTCTTCTGTCTGAGGGCTACTACCTGTGAGGCTTTGCCTACATAACAAGACCAACTTTGCTAGCTAAGTCTCTTTCCTTCTCTCTCCTACAGCCTGTCTTGCCACCACTAAACCTGATTTACCAAGATAACCTGTCTTATTTTATTGTATGCCTTTTCTCCTGTTAGTTGATCTGTCTCATGTCAGTGATTTTCAGCAAACCTTTAGGGGGCCATGGGTCTTGGTTCCCACAGTGGCCAATGGGAGTCAAATGTCATTTGATTTTTACCATCAGGGCACATGACCTACACTCAGCATAAACCATTCCAACAAGCTAGGTTACAGTATAGAGCTAATCCTATCGCCATCATCTAAGGGATCTCCCTCTCTCTCTTATGAAGCTAAAAGCTCACTTCTTGAAGTTTCTGTTTTCTCATCAATAAGATGAAAATGGGCAAACAAGCCCAGGCAAGAAGAAGAGAGAGTGAAGTACCCTGGCATAGGCTAGAGATAGCCAGAGTGAGTTTGCTGATTTAACCTCCTAAAAACATAAAAAAGAAGACGGGACCATATTCACATGTATGACCTTAATCATGCAGTGACTCTGCTCTTTAGAAAATATGACCTGTCGGCCAGGTGTGTCAGTGGCTCATGCCTATAATCCCAGCACTTTGGGAAGCCAAGGAGGGAGGATCACTGAGGCCAGGAGTTAAAGACCAGCCTGGCCAACATGGTGAAACTCTGTCTCTACTAAAAATACAAAAATTAGCCAGGTGTGGTGGTGCATGCCTGTAGTCCCAGCTACTTGGGAGGTTGAGGCACGAGAATCACTTGAACCTGGGAGGCGGAGGTTGCAGTGAGCCCAGATTGTGCCACTGCACTCCAGCCTAGGTGACAGAACCAGACCCTGTCTCAAAAAAAAATAAAATAAAATAAAAAAAGAAAATATGTTCTGTCAATACATTTGACTTTGACCATATGTGGTTAGCATTTCTCCATTTCAAGGTTGAGATTAGAGAAGAGGGTGTCTGTCCTTGGTTCTTCCCCTGAAGAAGCATTTAAGTGTCATACTTCTCCCCTTTGCCCAGGTTCTTGTTGACATAATCGAAGGAGTATGAAAAGAAGAGAAAAATCTACATTAGCGGTAGAACTAGGGAAGAGTGCCATCCATGAGTGAGACATTCCAGTAACTTCCCCTAGACAGAATACAAAAGGGATCAAAGTCAAGGGGCATACTGAGAGCTAGTCCAACTCTCCTTCCTAAAATTTCAGTAGAAAACAAATAAAGGAGACCTTGCCAGAACTCCACCATCAGCTAGTTTGGAAGGGCAATGGCTGGAGGATAGATGACATCTGAGAAATACTGGACTGTGAATTTCTTTTCATTGTTGTTGAACTTTGCAGACTTGGGAAACCCCGGAGAGTGAGTGGTGATCCGGCACCAGGAAAAAGGCCAACTATTGCCACATCATATGCAAGGAATGAAGACAGGCTAAATAGAAGATGTCAAACTCTGGATGATTGCTAGATTGGGAAGTTGCAGAATAACTGTATGATGTATGGGTGATTAGCCTACATAGCTCTTAGCATCTCTTTCTAACCCGAGAATGTTCGATTGCATGAATTAAACCTAAGTTTAATTCAACTTAGGTTTTAAGTTCTAAACTCAATTGCTCTATAGATTTTGATCAGCTATCTCAAGAGAATAACATGTGCGCTAAAAACATGCATTCAGAGAGAGTGAGGGATTAATGTCAGTTCTAATGCAACACATATCTGGTCACTGTATGCTAGGTAATGGGAATCTGGAGATAAAGGATATATCATTATGTTTTAGAGAGGCTCAGAATTAGATGGAGAAGAAAAGACACATTGGGTTATAGAGTGATTAAATGCTCTAATAGACCACTGTGATGAAGGGTAATTAATCTGCCTAAGGGAAAGCTACAGAGAGGAAATAATTTTTGAACTGGGCCTTGAGTATTAACTCATGGTACTATTTCATCAGACATTATGAGGAGAGCAAATAATCTAGTATGATTGAAATATGAGGTGAATAAAGGGAATGATAGGTCATTAAGGTGGAAAGGTTGGCTAGAGCCAAGTTGTTTGCCCTGCTAAAGAACTTGTACTTTATTCTGCAGAAGGTGGGAAGCCATTGAATCAATTTCTTACAACATCACTCTTGCAACAGAGTCAAAAGAAGACCTCTAGGCAAGATGGTAGACTGGGTGCATGCAACGATCTCAACCCTCCAATGCAAACACATAGAAATGATCAATAAAATACTTTGGAAATATATAAATGTACTAAAATAAGCATAAAAATAATAGAAATCCCTCCCTTACTAATACCCTGCTAAAATACTTCCATTGATCAAAGTGCAAGGGAAGCCCACTGAGTTAAGTGAAGTTTATGCTACCAGCTGAGAAAGGAACAGAATACCAATTCCTATAGAAAATGGAAACTGAATGTTTACCACACATGATCAGAGGTGAGGATCCTGTCTCTCTGAATGAAGCCAGGGGCTGGATTTATGTACCCTGACCCAAGTTATATACAGTATATATATATATTCAATTCAATATATATATTATATATATATTTGGGTCAGGGTACATAATATATACATAAATATATACATACACATATATATATATGTATATATATATATTTACTTTTTGAGACAGGGTCTCACTCTGTCACCTGGGCTGGACTGCAGTGATGTGGGTGATTCTCCCATCTGAGCCTCCCACATAGCTGGGACTATAGGTAGGCACCACATGCCCAGCTAAATTTCATATGTTTTTGTGGAGACAGGGTTTCACCGTGTTGCCCAGGCTAATCTTGAATTCCTGGACTCAAGTGATTCTCTCACCTTGACCTCGCAAAATGCTGGGATTATAGGTGCAAGCCACTGTGCCTTGCTTTAAAATAATGTTTTTAAATGCATAAAATGAAATATATTAAGAAAACTAATTATATTGAAATACAGTTTTCAAAATACGAAAAGGAACCCCAATCTGCAATATGATAATACTTGTGCTTTTAATTAACACATTATTTGAGAAGGATCTAGCATTGGATCTACTTTCAGTAAAATGATTTGAAAATAGGCAGGGTGCTGTGGCTCTCTTCTGTAATCCCAGTACTTTGGGAGGCTGAGGCAGGTGGATCACTTGAGGTTAGGAGTTCGAGACCAGCCTGGCCAACGTGATGAAACCCCATCTCTACTAAAAATACAAAAATTAGCTGGGCATCATGGCAGGCGTCTGTAGTCCCAGCTACTCAGGTGGCTGAGACAGGAGAATGGCTCGAACCCGGGAGGTGGAGGTTGCAGTGAACCGAGATTGTACCACTGCATTCCAGCCTGGGTGACAGAGCAAGACTTCCTCTCAAAAAAAAAAAAAGGATGATACGAAAATATTTGTAATTTTCATTAGTGACAGAATCATGGATAACAGTAAGTCATATTCAAAATTCAAATTCACCCCTCACATAAGGCCTCTATGAAATCATTTCTTATGCTGATCCAACAGATTCTGTGCACCTGGCAGTGGTGGGGAAGTGGGTATCCAATGACTATATGAGTAGTCTACTCATATAGTAGACTATATGAGTATTGAGTACAGAGAATACTCAATAAATGTTCATCAATGAATGAATGAATGAGTGAACAAATAAATGGAGTTGATCACCTGAGAAACAGAGGAAAATATTCTCTCCTGCCCGTACATTTCCTATCTGTCTTCCTTCTTATTTCTTTTTATCTGTCACTCATGTATGTATGCATTCACTACACTATTTATTGAACAGCTACTACATGAAAGACACTAGGATTTGTAGATGATGCCAAGATGAATAAATAAGATGTGAATCTGGCCCTAAAAGAGGACATAGCCTGACATATGGTGGAAACCCAGAAAAACCTCACCTGTGTTCAGCATGTGACCATTTTTATCCATTGCCTATTTTTTTTTTCCTTAAGATTTCCCATAAAACTTAAGAAACCATCAAGGCGAATTTCAAAGTTGGCAATAATGAAATAGCAGCCGGGTTGCAGTATCTGAAAAAAAAAACCTGTCACACACAGGGCTTGTTCTAACCATGCAATTTGCAGAGCTGAGTTTGGAAGAAGTAGGTCAGTTTGCAGAGTTAGCTGCCATAAGATTCTGCAAACAGCTGCCTTAGCTGGAACCTATGTTTGCGAGGGAAAAATCACAGATGGGACCTTTTTTTTTTTTTTTCTGAGACTCAGTCTCGCTCTGTCACCAGGTGCCAGCCTGGAGCGCAGTGGCCGATCTCGGCTCACTGCAACCTCCGCCTCCTGGGTTCAAGCAATTCTCCTGCCTCAGCCTCCTGAGTAGCTGGGACTACAGGCACGCACCACCACACCCAGCTAATTTTTGTATTTTTAGTATAGACGGGGTTTCACCATGTTGGCCAGGATGGTCTAGATCTCTGGACCTTGTGATCTGCCCTCCTTGGCCTCCCAAAGTGCTAGGATTATAGGCGTGAGCCACTGCGCCTAGCCTGGACCTTTCTAAAATATTCCACAGAGAGGTGCTTGCTATTGAATTTTTAAAATATTATTTTATGAGATGTTTCCATTCTGACTTATTAAGAAATAGGTCATTTCTCCCACAAAGTTTGATAACACCTGATTGGTGTGCCAACTTTCTTCTTATGTTACCACAAGACTTTTGATAATGCCTATTCCACTGTTTGTTGAAGTCTGCTACACAAGTAAAATTGTGATGCTTGTTGGTTGTAGGGAATACCTCTTCTCCTTCCGTAGTGGTCAGCTAGCCGGTCAAGTGTGGGTCCACAGCTGAACAGGAAATCTTACCTATTTCCCACTTTCTTGGTAGAGAAGTCCATGATATAAAATAGGGTGCGTAACCTACAGTCCACAGGCTACAGCCTGTTTTGTAAATAAACTTTTATTTGAACACAGCCACACTCATTCATGGCCTAAAATACTTGCTATCTAACCTTTTATAGAAAAAGTTTGCAATCCCTAGATTTAGAAGGCCAACAGTTCAGGTGTGTCCTTCTGCTCATGAGGTGGCTGAGGATCCCAGGACACATGTAGGGATGGTGAAAATCCACACAGTGGGCTGGCTTAATTCAAATTTCCCTCTTCTTTTTCAATCTTAAGCCTTATACAGATGCTATCCCAGAGGGTATCAAAGTCTGCTCCATCTACAGAGGAAGTATTTTTATCTTGTTGAAGGGATAGATGGAATAAGACAAGTTCTTCAATGACCATAAAACAAAGATGAAAGTCATAAGAGAGATACAGAGAAGAGTACTTTGGGAACTCAGTGTGGGAAAAACTACTTTAGACTTAGAGGCGTAGAGAAAGCTTTGCAGGAAAAATAAGGGTATTGAATCCAGGCTTTTTAGCAGAAATAGAATCTGAACAAGAACCTCATAAAAAAAGGTCAGGAGATACATGTGATCTGTGAGAACTTGGGAAAATCACCCAAGACCCAAGTCTTGGGTCTTCTACATCCACTTTATCAATGCACCCAATAAAGTTTCATTAATTTTCTAAGTCACAGGCATGGCATTATAAAGATCCAAAAACAGTAGATGACCTCTTTTCCTCTCGCTTCTCTCATTTTCCAAAGTCTTGCCCAAAATGATCCAAAGAGTATATAAAGAGATCAGCAAAGGAAAGCAGGGAAGATGGCACACATCTGCTATGACTTCAAGGAATTTCTTCTAGAGTTAGAGAAGCCATGACTAGATTAAAAGAGGGCAGCAGTGTTTGGTTTTCTGTCCTTGTGATAGTTTGCTGAGAACGATGGTTTCCAGCTCCATCCATGTCCCTGCAAAGGACATGAACTCATTCTTTTTACAGCTGAATAGTATTCCATGGTGTATATGTGCCACATTTTCTTTTTTTTTCTTTTGGTATGATACCAGTTTTATTCTAAAGTATGCATATTCACACAACAGAGTAAATCCTGCAAGTGTATAAATCAAATGTTAAGTTTGCATGATTGAAAATTATTTACATTTTCCATGAGATTCTGTTCTTACATTTTCCATGAGAGTCTGTTCTTACATTTTTCCAAATGGTCAATAAATATTCATAAAATTCAAAAAAAAGTGATATTTAAATAAGCATATGCTTGATCAAAATACATTTGACCATTTATTCAACAAATGTCTATATAGAGTAGTGATTAAAAAGATAGCTCAAGTTCTTAATTCGACCTTGGGTGGGTTACTTTTTATTTTATTTTATTTTATTTTATTTTTATTATACTTTAAGTTCTAGGGTACGTGTGCACAAGTGCAGGTTTGTCTCATATATATACATGTGCCATGTTGGTGTGCTGCATCCATTAACTCGTCATTTACATTAGGTATTTCTCCTAATGCTATCCCTGCCCCAGCCCCCCACCCTATGACAGGCCCTGGTGTGTGATGTTCCCCACCTTGTGTCCAATTGTTCTGATTGTTCAGTTCTCACCTATGAGTGAGAACATGTGGTGTTTGGTTTTCTGTTCTTCTGTTAGTTTGCTCAGAATTATGGTTTCCAGCTTCATCCACGTCCCTACAAAGGACACGAACTCATGCTTTTTTATGGCTGCATAGTATTCCATGGTGCATATGTACCACATTTTCTTAATCCAGTCTATCATTGATGGACATTTGGGTTGGTTCCAAGTAAACACTGCATGTTCTCACTCATAGATGGGAGTTGAACAATGAGAACACATGGACACAGGGCAGGGAACATCACACACCGGGGCTGGTTGGGGGGTGGGGGGCTGGGGAAGGAATAGCATTAGGAGAAATACCTAATGTAAATGATGAGATGATAGGTGCAGTAAACCAACATGGCACATGTATACCTATGTAACAAACCTGCAGGTTCTGCACATGAACCCTAGAACTTAAAGTATAATTAAAAAAAAAAAAAAAAAGGAGGGCAGCATGGGCCACAAGAAGAGATGTGGAAAGTTAGAACAGCAGAGCTGCACTGCTTCTCCAGTTTCCAGAGGTGATGTCTAGGAGGGAGGATAAATCATGGTGTGCATGGGAAGTACTGCAGGTGAATTGCATTCACCTGTCAAGAGCAGCTGCCTCCATGGTCAAAGATGGTGACAACCAATGGGAAGCTGGCGAGCAGCAAGTCTTCTCCATGACATGATGTAATTTTTTCCTGATAGAGTGGGTGGTGTCACTAGGATGATTAGCAAAGCCGCATTGTGTACTTGAAGCTGAGATCAAGTTGCATAGAATATAAAATAAAATAAAAATGACTGGTGCTCAGCTCACTATCTTCACTAAACGCAAAGTCAAAACAGGGCAGAGATCTCCAGCAGTACCTGGCTTTCTATACAATCCAATCCGTAACGTTTCTTAGCTGCCTTAACTGATCACTAAAAAAATCATGATCTGAGGCAGGGAGATCACCTGAGGTAAGGAGTTCAAGACCAGCCTGGCCAACATGACAAAACCTGTCTCTACTAAAAAATACAAAAATTTGCTGGGTGTGGTGGCGCACCTGTAGTCCCAGCTGCTTGGGAGGATGAGGTACAAGAATCGCTTGAACCTGGGAGGCGGAGATTTTAGTGAGCTGAGATTGTGCCACTGCACTCCAGCCTGGGGAAGAGAGTGAGAAAAAAAAAATTTACGATTCTACAAAAGCCTGCAGTCAGACAATAGAGGTTAAGAAGGTTCCCTCTCAGTATTTTTTCACAGATATTAGGCAAAGATAGAAATATCTTTTATCAAACCTAAAAAGTCAGAAAAGGAACTTGAATTCCACGGAAAGATATTTCATTGTAAATAGGAAAAGAAAATTCAAAAGAGAGTATCTTAGGAAAAATGGAAGTACATTTTAGATAGCATGTATTTTCTGCTCTCTCTGAAGTGAAAGTAGAAATACAGGAAGTTATCACAGTAGTCTAAGATGAAAAGTTGTAGCCTGAGATAAAGGGAAAATATAAGGAAACCAATAATGGTAGTGCAGAATTTTAAATTGCCTTAGAAAACTAAATCAGTGCTGTCTATTATAAACTTGGGAGGCTCTAGAATGCAAAGTACCAAAAAAAGTGATGAAAATGATGAGAGAGAACATTATAACTTATGTCTAGAGGACAGAGAATGGAGATTCATGATATAGAGAACTGGTCTTTGGGAGAAAGATAGAGGAATAAATGTTATATAACAATCAAAGACGAAATTGAATACAGCATTCCTGAACTAAAGAAAGAACTGAACCTACTGAGGCATGGGGTTCAGCTAGTTGTGGGCAAATTTAACAGAAAGAAACCAACTCTGAGGTGTCTTTATTTTTATATATGTAAGTTTAAGGATAAAGAAAGAATTCTATAAGCATAAAGTCTGTATGAAAATAGTTACCTACAAAGGCAGTTTATTAGACTGGTAGCATTTTTTTAACAGGTCCCTTATGCTCCCTTTTCCCTTTCTCATTCTTGAAAAAGAAGAAATCTGTCCAGGCCCCAACCACCATCGTTCCCTCCTGAATCTTTGCATAGCTCTTTAACCGTCTCCTGGCATCTCCCTTCACCTAGCTCCCACAATTTGTCTTTCACACAGCAGCCACAGAGATTCCTTGTTTATAAACACACCAGGTAAAAACGGTTTTTTTCTGCTTACCTTTGTGGTCTCTAAATCTCATCCATCCATCCATCTATCCATCCATCCATCCATGCATCCAAAAAATATTCATTATGGACCTTACTCTGTGCCAGGTACTGTTCTAGGCACTGCAGATATATCAGTGCACAGAAAAGATGAAACTTCTACTTTCGTGTTTGTTTGCTTGTTTGTTGTTTTTGGGTTTTTTTAGACAAATTCTCACTCTGTTGCCCAGGATTGAGGGCAGTGGTGTGATCATAGCTCGCTGCAGCCTTCAACTCCTAGGCTCAAGTGATCCTCCTGCCTCAGCCTCCTGAGTAGCTGGGACTACAGATATGTACCACCAAGTCCAATATATTTTTTATTTTTTGTAGAGATGTCAATGCAGAATTTGCTATGTTATTCAGGCTGGTCCTGAACTCCTGGGCTGAAGCAATTCTCCCACCTTGTCCTCCCAAAGTGCTGGGATTACAGGCATGAAACACTGTGCCTGGCTACTTTTATAGAACTTAAAATGCTTTTTAGGAACTTTCTCGTAGAAGGAGGACAATAATGAACAAATATTAACAAATAAATAAGAAATAAATTAACAAAGAAATGTATGGCATATTATGTGTAACAAGTGCTAAGGAAGAACAACAAAGAAGACTAAAGAGAGAATATAGAATGGAGAAAGGAGCAAAGAGTGCTCCTCTGAGAAGTTGCACAGAAATCCAAATGGACTGAGGGAACAACCCAGACAGACATCTCCGAGAAGAATGAACTGTGAGTATAAATGACTTGAACTAGAAATGTGCTTGCTTGGAGCACTAGAAGCAGAGCAAGAAGGACTGTGTGGCCGAAGCAGAGTGAGTGAGGGGAGAGTGGGTAGGATGGGCGCTTAGACACGCAGGTAGGTAGGGGTTAGATCACTAGGGCCTCCAGACAGTGGTAAGGGTTTTTGAATTTTATATCTGAGTGAGATAGGAACCAACTGTAGCATTTTAGCAGAAGAGTGACATGATCTGACTATATTTTGTATTTTATTTTAGTTAGGGTCTTGTTGTGTCACCCAGCCTGGAGTGTAGAGGTGCAATCATAGCTGACTGCAGCCTCAAACTCCTGGGCTCAAGCGATCCTCCCACCTCAGGGTCCTGAGTAGCTGGGACTACAGGCACACACTTGGCTAATTTTGTATTATTGGTAGAGACAGGGTGTTGCCCAGGCAGGCCTGGGACTCCTGGCCTCAAGCAATTCTCCTTCCTCGGCCTCCCGAAGTGCTGGGATTACAAGTGTGAGCCACCATGCCTGGCCTTGACTAACATTTTAAAGGAGACAGGTGAGGGGACACAGGGAGATCATTAGGGAGCTACTGCAATGATCCAGGAGGGAGATCATGCTGGATTGGATATGATAAGATTTTCCCAAACTTTTAAGTAAAGGGCAGGGTGCACCAATCCTGTTTTGTGCCCTTCTATTCAGCTCTCTCCTCATGAACGCCTATCCCCTGAAGTGGCATCTTCCTCCTATTCCCATTGCCAGGTTCCACATCTATGAACTAAAATTCTATACAAAAGCAGCAATTGCTGTCAAGTGTTGCTATGAGTTTCTCTTTTTTTTTGAGACAGAGTCCTGCTCGGTCACCCAGGTTGGAGTGCAGTGATGTGATCTCGGCTCACTGCAACCTCCGCCTCCCGGGTTCAAACGATTCTCCTGCCTCAGCCTCCCGAGAAGCTGGGATTACAGGCACCCACCACCATGCCCGGCTAAATTTTGTATTTTTAGTAGCGATGGGGTTTCACCATGTTGGCCAGGTTTGTCTCGAACTCCTAACTTCAAGTGATCTGCCTGCCTCGTACTCCCAAAGTGCTGGGATTACAGGTGTGACCCACCGTGCCCAGCCAAGGTTCTTACCATACTGTCTTCACCCTTGGTGTCATGGGGATGACACCTGCACAAATTCTATCATGTCAGTTGTCCTCTCAGATCTGTTCCCTGTCTAAATGTGGAAATGTGTTGGGCAGATCTTCAAGGTTGGTTGACCAGTCCTCTTATGGTTGCAGCCCACCTTGCCCCTCACACTTGTGATCAAGGTGACCTACTGGACTTAACAAAAGCTCTTTTATCTTTTTTAGATGTTCTTGCTTTCATAAGTCAACATAAATGAAAACCTGAGCAGCTTGTATTTTTTTGTTAATACAGATCAATTTGCCCCATAATTGAATTCAAGTCTGCCTAGATTCAGGCATTACAAATTTTATCTTTTTTTTCTTTCTATATTCATCTTCAGTGTCTTCACAGTGTTTAGAGAGAAGATAGGAGAGCCCGTACCTGAAGCTGTTAGCCATTCACCATATTAAAACAGGCATTACAAAGACTGTACAAAGTAAAATAGTAGAGGCTATCCCACTGCACTCAGGAACAAGAAAAGAATGGCAGCAATTATCACTGTTACAGGCATTTCCACAGCAGAACAAGTTTTCAGAATAAGAAATGGATATATATGATATATGACTAATTAGTTAGGAAACACAATTTCTACCATGTGGCCCACTAGAGTTTTAACAAAATTTCTATTCTGTATGAACCAATAGGGAAAAGGCTGTTGTGGAGACCAGAGACATAAATATGCTTTATTTTAGAGATAGGCTGTTCTTTCTATGCTGCATTATTTTTTCTTTTGGTTGTAATATATCAATCAAGAACTTCAAATTCAAGGTCGTAGATGATAGAGGATACCAAGATGTAGCCAAGTACGTAGACTGAAGAACAAATCAAAAAGTGCTTAGGTCTGTTTTTGTACATCTTAATCTGGCGTTTTTAGCTTATAATAACAAAAACACAATCAAAGCATTAGTCTTTAAATCCCTTCAGGACAAAATGCATTATTGTAAATCTAATACTTTCTAGCTCCATGATTACCTTTTCTAAAGGGATTTCCTTATACAAGTAAATTTACAAATTTTTAAAACTTTGATGAGATGTTTAAAACACAACTCAGTTATAGCAAAGCATATGATACATTGTTTTCAAGCTTCTTGCCAATATAATAAGACAAGAAAAGACAAATTGTCAGTATATATTTTGGAAAAGCAGAAACACAGTTATTATTTTTAAGTGATTGGAAAATCTACTTGGAAAACTCTTGATAACCAAGTTAAAAACTAATTAGATTAATATGAATGTCCAATAATGTGGCTAAACACAAGAGAAATATCAAAAATTAAAAAGTTTTAGATACGAATGAAAAAAATCAGTGAGAAAATTGAGTGAATTTTTTTTTTACTTTTTTTTTTTATTATACTTTGAGTTCTAGGGTACATGTGCACAACGTGCAGGTTTGTTACATAGATATACACATGCCATGTTGGTTTGCTGCACCCATTAACTTGTCATTTACATTAGGTATTTCTCCTAATGCTATCCCTCCCCGAGTCCCCCACCCCATGACAGGTCCAGTGTGTGATGTTCCCTGACCTGGGTTCAAGTGTTCTCATTGTTCAATTCCCACCTATGAGTGAGAACATGTGGTGTTTAGTTTTCTGTTCTTGTGATGGTTTACTCAGAATGATGGTTTCCAGCTGCATCCATGTCCCTGCAAAGGACATGAACTCATCCTTTTTCATGGCTGCATAGTATTCCATGGTGTATATGTGCCACATTTTCTTAATCCAGTCTATCATTGATGGACATTTGGGTTGGTTCCAAGTCTTTGCTATTGTGAACAGTGCCGCAATAAACATACATGTGCATGTGTCTTTATAGTAGCATGATTTATAATCCTTTGGGTATATACCCAGTAATGGGATGGCTGGGTCAAATGGTATTTCTAGTTCTAGATCCTTGAGGAATCACCACACTGTCTTCCACAATGGTTGAACTAGTTTACAGTCCCACCAAAGCGTTCCTATTTCTCCAGCATCTGTTGTTTCCTGACTTTTTAATGATTGCCATTCTAACTGGTGTGAGATAGTATCTCATTGTGGTCTTGATTTACATTTCTCTGATGACCAGTGATGATGCGCATGTTTTCATGTGTCTGATGGCTGCATAAATGTGTTCTTTTGAGAAGTGTCTTTTCATATCCTTTGCCCACTTTTTGATGGGATTGTTTGTTTTTTTCTTGTAAATTTGTTTAAGTTCTTTGTAGATTCTGGATATTAGCCCTTTGTCAGATGGGTAGATTGCAAAAGTTTTCTCCCATTCTGTAGGTTGCCTGTTCACTCTGATGGTAGTTTCTTTTGCTGTGCAGAAGCGCTTTAGTTTAATTAGACCCCATATGGCTATTTTGGCTTTTATTGCCATTGCTTTTGGTGATTTAGTCATGAAGTCCTTGCCCATGCCTATGTCCTGAATGGTATTGCCTAGGTTTTCTTCTAGGGTTTTTATGGTTTTAGGTCTAACATTTAAGTCTTTAATCCATCTTAAATTAATTTTTGTATAAGGTGTCAGAAAGGGATCCAGTTTCAGCTTTCTACATATGGCTAGCCCGTTTGCACCATTTATTAAATAGGGAATCCTTTCCCCATTTCTTCTTTTTGTCAGGTTTGTCAAAGATCAGATGGTTGTAGATGTGTGGTGTTATTTCTGAGGCCTCTGTTCTATTCCATTGGTCTATCTCTCTGTTTTGGTACCAGTACCATGCTCTTCTGGATACTGTAGCTTTGTAGCATAGTTTGAAGTCAGGTAGTGTAATGCCTCCAGCTTTGTTCTTTTTGCTTAGGATTGTCTTGGCAATGCGGGCTCTTTTTTTGGTTCCATATGAACTTTAAAGTAGATTTTTCCAATTCTGTGAAGAAAGTCATTGGTAGCTTGATGGGGATGGCATTGAATCTATAAATTACCTTGGGCAGTGTGGCCATTTTCACTATATTGATTCTTCCTATCCATGCGCATGGAATGTTATTCCATTTGTTTGTGTCCTCCTTTATTTTGTTGAGCAGTGGTTTGTAGTTCTCCTTGAAGAGGTCCTTCACATCCCTTGTAAGTTGGATTCCTAGGTATTTTATTCTCTTTGTAGCAGTTGTGAATGGGAGTTCAGTCATGATTTGGCTCTCTGTTATTGGTGTATAGGAATGCTTGTGATTTTTGCACATTGATTTTGTATCCTGAGATTTTGCTGAAGTTGCTTATCAGCTTAAGGAGATTTTGGGCTGAGAATGATGGGGTTTTCTAAATATACAATCATGTCATCTGCAAACAGGGACAATCTGACTTCCTCTTTTCCTAATTTAATACCCTTTATTTCTTTCTCTTGCATGATTGCCCTGACTAGAACTTCCAACACTATGTTGAATAGGAGTGGTGAGAGAGGGCATCCCTGTCTTGTGCCAGTTTTCAAAGGGAATTCTTCCATTTTTGCCCATTCAATATGATATTGGCTGTGGGTTTGTCATAAATAGCTCTTATTATTTTGAGATACATCCCATCAATACCTAGTTTATTGAGAGTTTTTAGCATGAAGCGCTGTTAAATTTTGTTGGAGGACTTTTCTGCATCTATTGAGATAACCATATGGTTTTTGTCATTGGTTCTGTTTATGTGATGGATTACGTTTATTGATTTGCGAATATTGAACCAGCTTTGCATCCCAGGGATGAAGCCAACTTGATTGTGGTGGATAAGCTTTTTGATGTGCTGCTGGATTCGGTTTGCCAGTATCTTATTGAGGATTTTCGCATCGATGTTCATCAAGGTTATTGGTCTAAAATTCTCTTTTTTTGTTGTGTCTCTGCCAGGCTTTGGTATCAGGATAATGCTGGCCTCATAAAATGAGTTAGGGACGATTCCCTCTTTTTCTATTGATTGGAATAGCTTCAGAAGGAATGGTACCAGCTCCTTTTTGTACCTCTGGTAGAATTTGGTTGTGGATCCTTCTGGTCCTGGACTTTTTTTGGTTGGTAGGCTATTGATTATTGCCTCAATTTCAGAGCCTGTTATTGGTCTATTCAGAGATTCAACTTCTTCCTGGTTTAGTCTCTGGAGGGTGTGTGTGTCCAGGAATTTATCCATTTCTTCCAGATTTTCTAGCTTATTTGCATAGAGGTGTTTATAGTATTCTCTGATGGTAGTTTGTATTTCTGTGGGATCGGTGGTGATATCCCCTTTATCAGTTTTTATTGTGTCTATTTGATTCTTCTCTCTTTTCTTCTTTATTAGTCTTGCTAGCAGTCTACAAATTTTGTTGATCTTTTTGAAAAACAACTCCTGGATTCATTGATTTTTTGAAGGGTTTTTTGTGTCTCTATCTCCTTCAGTTCTGCTCTGATCTTAGTTATTTATTGCCTTCTGCTAGCTTTTGAATGTGTTTGCTCTTGCTTCTCTAGTTCTTTTAATTGTGACGTTAAGGTGTCGATTTTAGATCTTTCCTGCTTTCTCTTGTGGGCATTTAGTGCTATAAATTTCCCTCTAGACACTGCTTTAAATGTGTCCCAGAGATTCTGGTATGTTGTGTCTTTGTTCTCATTGGTTTCAAAGAACATCTTTATTTCTGCCTTAATTTCATTATTTACCCAGTAGCCATTTAGGAGCAGGTTGTTCAGTTTCCATGTAGTTGTGCAGTTTTGTGTTAGTTTCTTAATTCTGAGTTCCATTGTGCCATTTACATAAGGACCTAAAAGTAAAATATCTAGAAATAAACTTAATAAAAAGAGTAAAATTTTTATGAAGAAAAATATAAGCTTAACTGGAAGACATAAAGAAAGACTTAAAAAAATAAAAAGACTTAATTAATGAAGAGATATATCAAGTTCTTGGGTAGAAAGATGGAATTACATAGATTTCCATTTAATTTCCTAACATTAATCTTTAAGTTTCGGGAAATCCCAATACACATACAAATATAGATTTTTAGAGGCTAGGGGAATGTCAACATAATTTTATAGCTCATTTGAAAGAAGATATAGGATTACAACAGAGTATTTTGAAAAAGAAATGCAATATGGTACACCCTAAGTATTTAATCTGTATGGTGCATATTGAGACCAATAGATCCTTGGATCAGAATAGAAAGCATAGAAATAGAATTAAGTACAAATAAATATTTATTACCAAAGATGCTGGTATTTTAAATAAGTAAAAAGATAGTACAGTATTCAATAAATGACTGGGGTTAATTATTGGGGAAGACATTTAAATTCCTATCTAATACTGTGCACCAAAAAATTCCATATAGATTAAGAAATTAAAAGGAAAAAGTTAAAACATAAAACTATGTGAAGAAAATATTAGTAAATATGTTATATAAAGTTTAGTGAGGGACCTTGCTTGAATACAGCACTATATCGGCATACTATAACTCCATGCCAGCTGTTAGATATTTTGAATATCATCTCTAATGAAAATTCAGAGATATCTGAGATGGTTGGTGACCTGGATATGGTAGGTTTCAGAAAATTATTCATGAGAGACTGAGAGGCTTCCCTGGGAGTGATTCAATCATTGGAAAAATAAGTCAGGCATGATAATCTTGACCCTGTATCTAGGGATGGCATTTGTAGTTAAGGATTGCTTGGGGATCCAATGTGGTGGCTATCACAAGAGTTTGTCTCTATTTAGCCCTGTGGACCAATTACCAGGTCTGGGTAGAAAGAGCATGATATGGTTTGGCTCTGTGTCCCCACCTAAATCTCACCTTGAATTCTAATCCCCATAATCCCCACGTGTCAAAGGCAGGACCTGCTGGAGGTAATTGAATCATGGGAGCGGTTTCCCCCATGCTATTCTTGTGATAATGAGTGAGTCTCATGAGATCTAAGGGTTTTATAAGTGTCTGGCATTTTCCCTGCTTACACTCATTCTCTCTCTTGCTGCCCTGTGAAGAGGTATCTTCTGCCATGATTATAAGTTTCCTGAGGCCTCCCTAGCCATGTGGAACTGTGAGTCAATTAAACCTCTTTTCTTTATAAATTACCCAATCTCAGGTTACTTCTTCATAGCAGTGTGAGAATGCACTAATAGAGATCAGTAAACAAAAACTGCAGGAGGTATTTCACCAAAACTTACAAAACAATGAGGCACCAGCAGTCCCATTTTGGTGTCATTTATAGCTGAATGAAACACAAAAATGGATGCGTGTAGGGGAGATTGATGGATGTTTTGAGTTGGGATAGGCTAGAGAAAGCAGCAATAATAAATGGTCCCCAAAGTCTCAGTAACTTATAAGAACAAACGTTTATTTCTTGCTCACGTTATCTGTCCATCATTACTCAGCTGCAGTTCTGTAACATCATGTCTTTATCCAGGAGTCAGGTAAATTGAATATCCTTTGTTGGGGCCACTACAGCTCTCACGGCAAACAGAAAAAAAAAAACACAGTAAACACACAGTGTCTTACCATGAAAGTGACACTTACATTTACCTTTCCCTGGCCAGAGTATGTCACATGACAAAGCCTGCAGTCCATGGAATAAGGAAGTACAGCTTGCCCACAGGGAGGCGTGCTGCTGGCAGGGGTACAGCAACATTTTAAAAATAATTTCGGCTGGGCGTGGTGGCTCATGTCTGTAATCCCAGCACTTTGGAATGCCGAGGCAGGTGGTTCACCTGAGGTGAGGAGTTCAAGATCAGCCTGGTCAACATGGTGAAACCCTGTCTCTACAAAAAAATACAAAAAATTAGCCAGGTGTGCTTGTGGGTGCCTGTAATCCTGGCTACTCAGGAGACTGAGGCAGGCGAATCGCTTGAACCCGGGAGGCGGAGGTTGCAGTGAGCCAAGATCATGGAATTGCACTCCAGCCTGGGCAACAAGAGAGAAACTCTGTCTCAATAAATAAATAAATAAATAAATAATAAATAATAAAAAAAATTTCAGCTTTTATTTTAGATTCAGGGGTCACATGTGCAGGTTTGTTACATGGGTATATCGTGTGACACTGAGGTTGGGGATACAAGTGATCCTGTCACCCAGGTAGTGAGCATAGTACCCAGTGCTGAGCTCCCACCTATAAGTGAGAACATGTAGTATTTGGTTTTCTGTTCCTGTGTTAGTTCACTTGGGATAATGGCCTCCAGTTGCATCCATCTTCCTGCAAAGGACATGATTTCATTCTTTTTTATGGCTGCATGGTATTCCACAGTGTCAATGTATCACATTTTCTTTATTCGATCCACCATTGATGGGCGCCTAGATTGATTTCATGTCTTTGCTATTGTGAACAGTGCTGTGATGAACATATGAGTGCATGTGTCTTTTCGGCAGAACAATTTGTTTTCTTTTGGATACATACCAGGTAATGGGATTACTGGGTCAAATGGTAGTCCGGTTTCAAGTTCTTCGAGAAATCTCCAAACTACTTTCCACAGTGGCTGAACTAATTTACATTACCACTAACAGTATGTAAGCATTTCCTTTCCTCAGCAGCCTCACCGACATCTGTTGTTTTTTTAGCTTTGTAAGGGTAGCCATTCTGACTGGTGTGAGATGATTTCTCACTGTGGCTTTGATTTGCATTTCTCTGATTATTGGTGATGTTGAGCATTTTTTCATGTTTTATCTTCTTTTGAGAAGTGCCTGTTTGTGTGTCTTTACCCACTTTTTTTTAAATTATACTTTAAGTTTTAGGGTACATGTGCACAACGTGCAGGTTAGTTACATATGTATACATGTGCCATGTTGGTGTGCTGCACCCATTAACTCGTCATTTAACATTAGGTATATCTCCTAATGCTATCCCTCCCCCCTCCCCCCACCCCACAACAGGCCTCGGTGTGTGATGTTCCCCTTCCTGTGTCCATGTGTTCTCATTGTTCAATTTCAATTCCCACCTATGAGTGAGAACATGCGGTGTTTGGTTTTTCTTGCTTGTTGAATTGTTTAGGTTCTTTATAGATTCTGGATATTAGAACTTTGTCAGATGCATAGTTTGTGACTATTTCCTCCCTTTGGGTATAGAACATTTGGTGGATCAGAAATAAAATCGAACGTACCCACTTTCCCGAAGACTACTTGTTGCTCTGCAACCTACAGAGTCTGGGACATTCGTGATCCTTTGGGGAAATGCCCTATGGCCCCGGAGCCAGCAGTACATGGAGCTTTTCTAGAAGCCATCAGGTTGCGCTTCCCTTTCTGAGGTGAACGTTCAGCCAGTGGAGCAGATGTTGGCTGCCAACGTGGTGCCAGACCCCACTGTGATGGACGGCTCCTTTGTTTTGTTTACTCTTCCAGGCAGGGTGATAAATTCTCCTTCTAATCAGGTTCCTTGTTTCTCATTTCTCCAATGCACCAACCCTGCTAATGAATGATTCACTGAAGTTAGTGGCTAAGACACAGCAAGCTGCACCCTGCTCAGCCTTTGTTATGCCGAGTCATGCCCTCACTATCTCCCAAACACAAAATCAAGTTCCCGAGTATGGCGGGGATAGGTGATGAAGTGTACAACAGCCTCGGGTAATTTGTTCACAGTAATTCAGGCCTGTATATTCTGTCAAGGCTGCTACTGAATACATTTGGTTTAACTTGGTGAGGGAGACCGGTACTTGCAGGGAAACTTCTGAGGCCGACCGCTGCAGAGTCCTGAGAGTTCTTAAGCAGTGTGCCTAAGTGACCGGATAGTGCTGGTGCTTTAGCCCTGGGAACAGAAGAAGCCTCAGCTATAGAAGGATCCTAGGGGCTAACTCCGAGGGAACTCACCCCTGACTGATACCATCACTATGGCTTGAGGACAATTCAATTGAACATAGAACAGAGATATTGAAAGGGAAGGGAAAGGAAAATGGATGAATATGTATTTAAATAATCCCCAGTAACAGAGCAGGCAAATAAGGAAACCGGATAATTCAGGGAACCTAAACAACGTATATGCAGTTGAATCTCATGGTGAGCTGGTGGACATCGAAAAACCAACGCAGCCACTCTTTGTTTCTCTCTAATTGGGGTCATGTGGTTTCGTGTCTCTGCCGTTCTCGGTGAGTCTGATTCATTCTCCTTTTTTATAGACTAGTTTCTTATTACTGCTTGTACGGAGTCACCAATAGCTGCCCCAATACAGTATACCTAGTCCTGAGATTACATGACCGTCTTGTAGGGAACATATGGTAAATTACCAAAGCCCCTGCCCCCATGCCAAATTCCTGGGAGAAAGGATCATATTGTTCTCATTTGGGACAGGCCCTGTTTGGACTATGACCTATGGCTACCCATGCTTTTAGGTGAGCATATTTTTTCTTCCTATTTATTGATTTATTTATTTGAGGCAGGGTCTCACTGTGTCACCCAGGCTGGAGTGCAGTGGCATGAACATGGCTCAGTACAACCTTGACTTTCTGGGCTGAAATGATCCTCTTCCCTCAGCCTCATATGTAGCTGGGACCAGAGGTGTATGCCACCACGCCTGGCTAACTTGTTGTTGTTGTTGTTGTTGAGATGGGGTCTCACTTTGTTTCCCAGGCTGGTCTTGAACTCCTGGGCTCAAGTGATCCTGAGACCTCAGTTTCTCAAAGTGCTGGGATTACAGGGGTGAGCCACCAGGCCTGGCCTGAGCACAGTTCTTAGAAAAGAAGGTGTGTTATGTTGGTGTAGTGTGGGAAATAAAAAATTATTTTTTAAAGTTTTAAAAAAGAAAGGGAGGCATGGGTTGGATATGCACTCGAAACGGCATCTATCACAATTTCTCACTGAGTATACGGCACACGGATGCTATTACCACAGATGTTGCTTCTGTTATAACAGCAGATATCAAGGTCTATCTCATCGGCAATGTGAAGAAGATTATGGTCTTTGAGATTGAATGACCTGGTTGTGAACCTGCCTCCTTTACCCAATAACTGAGCAACCTTTTCTTAACTGCAGCCCGAATTTCTTTGTATCAAAATGGGAGTGAAGTTAAACACTTCACAGGGCTATCATGAGAAGCAAATTTATCAAGTTCAAAAGTGTCTTGAACTCACACAGAATTTATATATTTTTTCATTGTTTTTGTTTGTTTTTGAGACAGGGCCTTGCTCTGTCACTCAGGCCAGAGTGCAGTGGCACGATCATGGCTTACTGCAGCCTTGAACTCCTAGGCTCAAGCAATCCTCCTCCCTCAGCCTCCCCAGTAGCTTGGGCTACTTGTACATTCTGTCACATTCAGTTAATTTAAGAAAATTTTTTGTAGAAACGAGTCTTGCTATGTTGCCCAGGCTGGTCTTGAATTCCAGGGTTCAAGTGATCTTCCTGCCCTTGGCCTCCCAAAGCTCTGTGATTATAGAGCGCTCTGACCTCTTCCTTTTTCATAGATTTATTTTGTATATACGTATATATGTATGCAATTTTTTATAGATTCGGGGGTACACATGCAGGTTTGTTACATGGATATATTGCATAATGGTGAAGTTTGGACTTCTAGTGTGCTCGTCACCTGAATAGTGAACATTATATTTTTCAACCCTCACCCCCCAACCCATACTCCTCCCTTTTGGAGTCCCCAGTACCTGTTATTTCCCTCTGTATGTCTGGCCTCTTCTTATTCAAGCACTAATTCCATTCATGAGGGCTCCCGCTCATGACCTAATCACCTTCCAAAGCCACCTCCAAATGCTATCACATTGGCATTGGGGATTAGATTTCAACCTGAATTTTGGGGATGACAGAAACATTCAGCCCATAGCATATATGGACCATTTTGTGCCTATGTATTTCTGCAGGCCAACCATCCAGATTGCTTGGTAGAAGGCCGGGTGCATTTCTTTTCTTTTCTTATTTATTATAGGAGAACCTGCCCCGATGTTCATGTAGGTTCTTTTCTATTTTTCCTAAGCATTGGCCAGCTTGAGAAATAAAGGCACAGAGTACAAAAGAGAGAAATTTTAAAGCCGGGCGTCCAGGGGAGACATCTCATGTCGGTAGGTTCCGTGATGCCCCACAAGCTGCAAAAACTAGCAAGTTTTTATTAGAGAGTTTCAAAAGGTGAGGGAGTGTACGAATAGGTGTGGGTCACAGACATCAAGTACTTTACAAGGTAATAGAATATCACAAGGCAAATGGAGGCAGGGTGAGATCACAGGACCACACGACTGAGGCGAAATTAAAATTGCTAATGAAGTTTTGGGCACCATTGTCATTGATAACATCTTATCAGGAGGCAGGTTTTTTGAGATCAACTGGTCTGACCAAAATTTATTAGGCAGGAATTTCCTCTTCCTAATAAGCCTGGGAGCACTATGGGAGACTGGGGTCTATTTCACCCCTGCAGCCTCAACCATAAGAGGCAGGCACACCTGGGGTGGGGGGCTGTTTATAAGCCTATACCTCCAGGTGCATATTCTCTTTTCCAGGGATGTTCCATACTGAGAAAAAGAATTCAGCACTATTTCTCCCATTTGCTTTTGAAAGAAGAGAAATATGGCTCTGTTCTGCCAGGGTCACCGGCGGTCAGAGTTTAAGGTTATCTCTCTTATTCCCTGAACATTGCTGTTATCCTGTTCTTTTTTCAAGGTGCCCACATTTCATATTGCTCAAACACACATGCTGTACAATTTGTGCAGTTAATGCAATTATTACAGGGTCCTGAGGCAATATACATCCTCCTCAGCTGACAGGATTAAGAGATTAAAGTAAAGACAGGCATAGGAAATCACAAGGGTATTGATTGGGGAAGTGATAAGTGTCCATGAAATCTTTACAATTTATGTTTAGAGATTGCAGTAAAGACAGGCATAAGAAATTATAAAAATATTAATTTGGGGAACTAATAAATGTCCATGAAATCTTCACAATCCATGTTCTTCTGCCATGGCTTCAGCCGGTCCCTCCGTTTGGGGTCCCTGACTTCCCGCAACAATTTATTTATTTATTTATTTATTTGAGACAGTGTCTTGCTCTGTCACCCAGGCTTGGCTCACTTCAACCTCCACCTCCTGGGTTCAAGTGATTCTCATGCCTCAGCCTCCCGAGTAGTGGGGATTACAGGCACGTGCCACCACGCCTGGCTAATTTTTGTATTTTTAGTAGAGATGGGTTTCACCTTGTTGGCCCGGCTGGTCTCAAACTCCTGACCTCAAGTGATCTGCCCTCCTCACCCTCCCAAAGTGCTGGGATTATGGGTGTGAGCCACCGCACCTGTCCCTCTTTTCTTTTCCTTTTTTTTTAAATGAAGGTACTATTGAATTGCCCTCTGGAAAAATTACCAGTTTGATCTACCAACAGCTTATGAAAAGGCTCATCAACAGGCACTTAATACAGGTTGAGTATCCATTATCTGAAATGCTTCAGACTAGAAGTGTTTTGGATTTCAAATTTCACATTTTAGAATATTTGCAAATACATAATGAGATATCTTGGGGATGTGACCCAAGTATAAACATGAAATTCATTTATGTTTCATATATGTCTTATATGCATAGCCTGAAGGTAGTTTTACACAACATTTTTTTTTTTTTTTTTTTTTTTTTTTTTTTTTTTTTGAGACGGAGTCTCGCTCTGTCGCCCAGGCTGGAGTGCAGTGGCGGGATCTCGGCTCACTGCAAGCTCCGCCTCCCGGGCTCACGCCATTCTCCTGCCTCAGCCTCCCAAGTAGCTGGGACTACAGGCGCCCGCCACTACGCCCGGCTAATTTTTTGTATTTTTAGTAGAGACGGGGTTTCACCGTTTTAGCCGGGATGGTCTCGATCTCCTGACCTCGTGATCCGCCCGCCTCGGCCTCCCAAAGTGCTGGGATTACAGGCTACACAACATTTTTTCTAACAAATTTGTGAATGAAATCAAATTTTGACTGCATTTTGACTGTGACCCATCACTTGAGGTCAGGTGTGGTATTTTCCACTTGTGGCACTGTGTTTGCCCTCATAAATTTTCAGATTTTGGAACATTTAGATTTTGGATTTTCAGATTAGGGATGCTCAACTGTATTGCCTAAACATTGCTATTGTATTGGAATAATAAACTCCATGAAACATCACTGTTTTATTTTGCATTTTGGGGGATTACTATTAAGGTTCCACATCTTTTAATTTGTATTTCTTCATTTTGTGCATTGTCTCTTTATATTGTTTGTTCAATTTTCTATTAAATTTTAGTGTTTTATCATATTGATTTTTGAGAAATCTTGATATATTTGGATATCAATCTTTTGGTTATTATATATGTTGAGAATACTTTCCTTCATCCTGCCACTGATCTTTTAGCCTTGTTTAGGATATTTTTTTCAACATACAGAATATCATTGAGTTTTATGGTTGGATTTATCAATGTTTTCCTTTAGGATTTTGCTTAAGAAGAGCCTATACCAACATTAATTTTAAAGTCTTTTATTTTTTCTATCATTTAAATAATTTTATTTGCATGCTTAGCTTTTTAACACACCAAGAATACACACTTTTGAGTATTGTGAAAGGTAGGTTCTTATTTTTTATTTTCCAAAATTACTATTTGTTGACCAGCCCATTCCTTCTCCATAATTTGGAAATGCTGGTTTTATAATTCTATTAGTCCATTTTCACGCTGCTGATAAAAACATACCACAGACTGGGTAATTTATAAAGAAAAATAGGTTGAATGAATTCACAGTTCCACGTGGCTGGGGAGGCATCACAATCATGGTGGAAGGCGAGGGAAGAGCAAAGGGACGTCTTATATGATAGTAGGGAAAGAGAGAGCTTGTGCAGGGGAGCTTCTCTTTATAAAACCATCAGATCTCGTGAGACTTATTCACTCTCACAAGAACAGCATGGGAAAGACCCATCCCCATGATTCAGTTACCTCCTACCAGGTCCCTCCCACGACATACAGAAATGGTGGGAGCTACAATTCAAGATGAGATCGGGTAGGGACACAGCCAAACCATATCAATAGTACACTAAGTGCCCATACTATATGGGCTTTTTTCTGGGGTCTCTATTTTACTCCAAGGATCTATTTGGCTATTCCCACACCAGAGCTGCATTGTAACAGGGAGTGGCTTTTCAGGATGCCTTCCTGGAGCTTAGAGGTATTGGAAAGGAATCACTACACATCTAACTAGGGGAACGATTAACATCTCCCACATATGCTCAGGTCTCTTCCCAGGAGCTCTGACACAGCCCCTTTCTTGATTCCTGAGGCTACAGCGGGAAATGTGCTGACCGCTGGAGGAGCTTCAGACATTTTCATCACTCAATGTTTGGTCTAAATTTACTACTAAGCTCAGAAAGAGCCGTGAAAATTCTCCATGCCATCTCAGTCTAGGCCTGCCTTTAAAATCCTCATGTTTTATCCTGGGATTTATCTATTCCTAGGGTGACGGAGGACAGGAAGACCCATCCACTTCTGGGCTGGCTCCGCAGTAAGTGTGCAAACACGTGGCCACTCCATATGGCCCCTACTAGATAATTACATGACATGATCTGGCATCAGTTATTTCAGAGCAACTGGGTATCAGCATCTAAGCACAGATACACAGATGATATATTAACAAATATTCCATATATTGTGTCACATGTGTGCTGTCACAGCCTGGTTAGTTTTGGTAATTCCTCATCAAGCTGAAAAAAATGGACTTGAAATATAGTTTCACCCAGAATCACACTGCTGTCACATGGACTTTATTTTTTTGTTTTTTATTTTTGAGACAAGGTCTTGCTCTGTCACCCAGGCTGGAGTGCAGTGGCACGACCTTGGCTCACTGCAACCTCTGTCTCCAGGCTTCAAGAGATCCTTGTGCCTCAGCCTCCTGAGTAGCTGGGATTACAGGTGTGTGCCACCACATCTGGCTAATTTTTGTATTGTTAGTAGAGGCGGGGTTTCGCCATGTTGGCCAGGATGGTATCACTTGACTTTATATTACAGCTTTTTGTCTCTGAGTCTTCCTCTAGCCCTAGTCTTCCTGAGTGCCTTCAAGGAAGGCACTTCATCTTTTGTATCTTTGAATCCCCTCCCCCTCCTCTGCAGGGCTTAGCACAGAGTCTGGCACAAAGGAATTGTACGCTATTGTCATAACATGTGCCCAAGTGGATTGAGTAGTTAGCATTGTCACACTCTCTCCCTAACATTGTCCTAGTTACATAAAGCTTTTCAGCCCCATCACCCATCATCCCACGATTTCCACTTGCTCCTTGCCTCTCCATGATGCCATTGTGTAATTTCTCTATCTCAATATTGCTCAATTGTCTGTGTGACCCTGGTGTCTGTCTCCATTAGCGTCTTTTACATTAAATCGGATATCTGCACCGGCACAAGAGGCTCTTTGCAGCTTGATCAGCAAGCAATGGATCAGACAGCTGAACCGTTGATTTAATTGGCATGAAATAACGAAGCCATCTGTTCTGTGGAGTTGATCTTTTAAGTGTTACTCTCCTATCTGCTCTGAAATTTCTTGGCCACTTGGAAGGACCATGGATGTCAGATGGTGGATCACGGAAAATATCTGCTCCAAGATAGAGAGCAAGGGTTTAAGGGAAGTTGAAGAATTTTATGGTGCTCTCAGTATTTCATCCTGCCTTATCTTTCTGCACAACACTTACTAGTACCTGCTGTATTGCATATTAACTTGTTTATCTGTCTCTTTTAATGGAAGCCAAGCACCAGAAGGACAGGGACTTTGTCCTTTATGCTCCCTGCTGGATGCCAGTACCTAGAATACATGGCCCACCTTGATTTGGGTACTGATGAGGCATGCTCAGCTCCTCTTTGGATTTCATTTTGCTGTGACTTGGTGTTACAAAGGGCTATTGGGAATGTCAGGTGGATGGAAAAGTGCACAAAGGCCAACACAGGAAGGTGTCTAAGGATCAATTTGGCAAGTTCAATGCCTGTAGCAAACTTGATTTCATTTATTTATTTATTAGAGATGCAGACTCACTCTGTTGCCCAGACTAGAGGGTGGTGGCTTGATCATAGGTCACTGCAGCCTCTAACTCCTGGGCTCAAGAGATCCTCCCACCTGAGCCTGTTGAGTAGCTGGGACTACAGGTGCATGCCACCACGTCCAGCTAATTAAAAAAAAAAGTTTTGTAGAGACAGGGTCTCGCTATGTTGCCCACTCAGGTCTTGAACCCCTGGACGCAAGAAATCCTCCTGTCTCAGCCTCCCGAAGTGCTGGGATTACAGGCATGAGCCACTGTATCTGGTGCAAACTTGATTTTAATGTAGAATGGTCTTGGTGTTCAAAGGGTCTAAACCAGAGAAACAGGAAGGGGCGGCACAGCAGTGGTGGGTTGGGTCAGTTTGGTGAGGTGGACTTTGGAAATGTTATTTAATCTTTCTGAACCTAGGCATCATCATTTGTAAAATAAGGATAGTACTTACCACCTCCAACTTATGAGGATTAAATGAGACAATGTATATGAAATAATAGCCAACACTTACAGCACTTACTACATGCCACGTACTATATATATATATATATATATATATATATATATATATTCATGACAACCGTTTGGGTTGGGAACTCTCGTTATCCTCAGCCTATTCAGATGGGGAAACTGAGGCACAGAGGGGGCCCAAGTTTTCCTAGCTAGAAAGTGGTAGAGATGCAATTCAAACTAAGGCTGGTTCTACAGTCCATGAAAGCCAGGTGTATAATGGCAGATAAAGAGCTTGTGAATCAATCTGTGAGTCCCCAGTCACTCCTCACTTTTCTAGACATTGATGATGATCTGGAGGCCATGACAAGATATCAAGTAGGTTGCAGAAATGAAGACATAGACTATATATATATCTGGGTCAAGGCAGATAGCCTGTTCCTACATCAAGGAACAGGGGTTAAGGTGAACTAATGAGGTCTCAGAGTCCCAGATTTTAAGGATTCGAGGTCAGGTTTCATTCCAGTGGGACATTAGAGTAAGAATCACAACAGAGGTAAGTGAGCCAGGTGCCAAGAGCACAGGTGCACAGGGAGATGGCAGTTTGAGGCTCACCAGGCTTCCAGGACACTGAACATTGAAGTAAGGCTGATTAAAGCCTCCTGGCTAGGGGAATAAAGACCTGACGACACACTGCCAGGTTGAGTTGTCTCTGGCTCATGTCCTGGAGAAGCCACAGCTCAGAGGCCAGTATCACTGGAGGTCAGGCAAGACTGGAATATGTTGAGATCATCCTGCCTACCTTGCTCTGCCTTAGGTCAAGTCTTCTCCCTCTGTTTGGTCAGCACAATAGCTAAAATGTCCTTTCTGGGACAATGGACTCCAACAACATCCATGATTTTAAGGGCAAAGGTGTACTTAGAGCATGTGAGGCTACTGAGCATGTGAGGTACTTAGAGCTACCAGTCTACTGAGGACAGCACGTTTCATGCAGGGAAATGGGAAACAGAAAAAATTGTTTTATTTTTGCTTAAGAAACATTTATTTGTTTTTATTTTATTTTACTGTAAGTTCTGGGATACATGTGTAGAACATGCAGGTTTGTTATGTAGGTATACATGTGCCATGGTGGTTTGCTGCATCTATCAACCTGTCATCTAGGTTTTAAGTCCCACAGGCATTAGGTATTTGTCCTAATGCTCTCTCTCCCCTAGCCCCCTATCCTGCAACAGGCCCCGGTGTGTGATGTTCCCCTCCCTGTGTCTATGTGTTCTCATTGTTCAACTCCCACTTATGAGTGAGAACATGCGGTGTTTGGTTTTTTGTCCTGTGTTAGTTTGCTGAGAATGATGGTTTCCAGTTTCATCCATGTCCCTACAAAGGATATGAACTCATTCGTTTTTATGGCTGCATAGTAGTCCATGGTGTATATGTGACACATTTTCTTTATCCAGTCTATCACTGATGGGCATTTGGATTGGTTTCAAGTCTTTGCTATTGTAAATAGTGCTGCAATAAACATACATGTGTATGTGTTTTTATAGTAGAATGATTTATAATCCTTTGGGATTATACCCAGTAATGGGATTGCTGAGTCAAATGGTATTTCTGGTTCTAGATCCTTGAGGAATCGCCACACTGTCTTCCACAATGGTTGAACTAATTTACACTTTTACCAGTAGTGTAAAAGCATTTGCTTAAGGAACATTTATATTGTGCTCTTATTACGTGCCAGGCACTGTGCTAAGCACATGACACATATTGACTCAATTACCTCAACAACCCTGCAAGGTAGTTTCTTTTATCCCCATTGCCAGATGCAGAGACTGAGGCATGAGAGAATTAGTCTGGTCAGTGCAGGTACAACACAGTAGATGAGTTCAGTGATGGAAGCAGTTTGGCACCCTTAGAGCTTTGTTTCTTGGTCCTGATGTCTTTGAAAGGTGTTCTGGGCAAGCTCAGTGTATTAGTCCGTTCTCACACTGCTATAAAGAGCTACCTGCGGCAGCATAATTTGTGGAAAAAAGGGGTTTAGTTGGCTCACAGTTCCACAGGCTGTACAGGAAGTATGGCTGGGAGGCCTCAGGAGGCTTACAATCATGGTGCAAGGGCTAAGGGGAAGCAAGAACATCTTCATATGACAGTAGGAGAGAGAGTGTGTGTGAGTGAAGGGGAAACTGCTACACACTTTCAAACAACAAGATCTCGTGAGAACTCTGTCATGAGAACAGCAAGGGGGAGGTCTACACCATGATCCAATCACCTCCCTTCAGATCCCTTCCCCAATATTGGGAATTACAATTTGACATGAGATTTGGGTGGGGACACAGAGCCAAACAATATCACTCAGCTTCCAAAAGCTATTGATCCTTCTTCTTTGTTCTCTCCTCCTCCTCTTCCTTTTCCTTTTTTTTTAATTCTTAATTTTCAATGACAACCTTTCCCTTTATACCTTGTTTTGTTTTCTGACCACTTCTACATGTCTAAAGCTTTATTCATCTATTCAAGTAGTTATTGAACTGCTGCCATAATGTCAGGCATTGCTCTAGGCACTGATGACCCTGCCCTCCTGGAGTTTACATTTTCACCGGGGTGGAGAGACAATGAAAAAATAAAGAAACACCTATACATCCCAAGTCATCTCATGTAACAATACCTATCATGAAGGGAATGAAACACGCTGATGTGAGGAAGCAATAGGACAATCAGGGAAGGGTTCTCAGAGGAGGTGACTTTTGGGCTGAGAGTTGAGTGATTAGAAAGGACAGGTGATACAAAAATCCAGGGGGTGGCTGGGCACAGTGTCTCATGCCTGTAATCCCAGCACTTTGGAAGGTTGCGGTGGGAGGATCACTTGAGGCCAGGAGTTCAAGACTAGCGATGTAGCGATATATCAAGATATAGTGAGACCCCATCTCTAAAAAAAACAATAACAGAGCATGGTGATGCACACCTGTAGTACCAGCTATTCAGGAGGCCTAGGCAGGAGGATCTCTTGAGCACAGGAGTTGGAGGCTGCAGTGAACTATGATTGTGCCACTGCACCCCAGCCTGGGCCATAAAGAGAGACCCATCTCTAAACAAACAAAACTCCAAAGGAGGAGAATTTCAAGTGAAGGCCACATCAAATACAAAATATCTGAGGTGAGAATGAACTTAGTATGTTTCAGTCATACAGAAGAGGCGATAGGCTGGGAATGTGGGGATTGGTATAAGATGGAGATGGAAAGACCTTTAGAAAACTTTAAGAAGTACCTGGTGACTTAGTTCCCATTTTTCACGGTGACAGTATGAGCTATTAACCTCCTCTAGAAAAAGAGGTTTAGGGCAGTCTAGTCCCTATTGTCTACCACAACATTCCAGCAGGTGAATTTCATACTTTTCTTTTCTGAAATTGGCTTATGGAGTTCAGCTTTAAACAATGGAGGCCAGGGTCTGTACCTCGGTTGTAGAAACCACTTTTTTTCCCAGGAGGACTCTAGGTCTGGCAACTTCCAAGAGTTCATCCAATTTTTCACAGAAGACCCCTTTCAAGACAGTAAGTTAATTGCTCTGCCTAGTAATGAGAATGGAGTTTTGTCCAGACCTCCCTCAAGGAAGGATTCTAAGAAGGCCTCCTGCATTTTAGGTAGGTTTCTACAAGCCCTAATGGGTAGACTGACTGCTAGATGTTGTGATTTTTGCCATTACTTGGCTGATATTCCATCTGAAATGTATAAGTGATGATTGTCACCAACTTTGTGGGTTTGGGTCTCCAGATGCCTCTCCACATTGGAATCAACCCATCCTTCAGCATCCCCAGGTCCATCCTCCCAAACATCAAGCAGCAGACTCTTTGGGAACCCAAGTCAGGGTGTATGTTAAAGAAGAGGCTGGATCCCATTCCATTATTGTATGGTTGTTACAGTAAGCAAATATATAGAAAGAACACACTGAAGAGATGTTGCATACAATCAAACTATTCTACTATACAAATATGTAGGGGGCACACACTAAGGAGATCTTCGATCTTAGATTGAGAAAGAGAGAGAGATTTCACTACTAGTATATATATATACTAGTGTATATATATAGTATATATATACACTAGTAGTGTATATATATACTATATATATTAGATTATATATAATAATTATATAAAATACATATAATCTATTATTATTCTAGTAGGCTAATATATAGAAAACAATTTTCTATATACTTATGTATGAAAAAACCATAGAATAATGGCTGGTCATGGTGGCTCATGCCTGTAACACCAGCACTTTGGGAAGCTGAGGCAGATGGATCACCTGAGGTCAGGAGTTTGAGACCAGCCTGGCCAACATGGTGAAACCCCGTCTCTACTAAAAATATAAAAATTAGCCAGGTGTGGTAGTGCATGCCTGTAATCCCAGCTACTTGGGAAGCTGAGGCAGGAGAATCACTTGAACCTGGGAGGCAGTGGTTGCAGTGAGCCGAAATAGTGCCAAGGCGCTCCAGCCTGTGTGGCAGAGTGAGACTCTGTCTCAAAAAAACCAAAAAGCAACAACAAAAACCATAAAATAATGGAATTGGATATAGATATCTCTATATATGTAGATATGTATATATATGTATGCAGATATATCTAGATCTATCTATCTGAGAGAGCAAATGCCAAATGGATTCAATTCAATTATTCTAGTTATACAAATATATGTAAAGAGAGTCCACTAAGGAGATGCTAGGTCCAAGTCACAAAGTCTAGTATACAAATACACACAGAGAGAACACCAAAGAGATTCTGAATCTATGCCAAGCATTGTAATATACGAATTTATACAGAGAGCATGCTCATGTGCATTTGCTCTAGAGCCTCTTCCAGTCCATTCTCTATGCAGTAGCCTGGGTGATCTTTGAAAGTCACAAAGCTCACTATATCACATCAAGCAAAGAGCTCAGCGGAACCTGGCAGTGTCACTTGATCCTGGCTGTGCCTCTTGGGTAGGAGGATCAGAAGGAACACAGGTCCTTTAAGCTTGTGGGGATCAGATGCCATGAAATTTGAATTTGGCTGCTAGCTTGGGGCACTGCTGAGAAATGCCAGCTTTTATTACCTGGAAATCTTGAAGACTCCTGTTCAGGTGAAAATTTAAGTTCAGGCAAAACTCTGTTTGCTAAGGGTGGCAGGGGCATCATCATCATCTGAGAGTCTGAAGAGTTTGTCCAGCCCCACTCATCAGGCAATCCTGCTTGCTTTAAGGCTTTTTAACTGGCATCTCATTCCTCTTGGACAAAACTCTAAGTTCCTTGCATTGCATACCAACCATTGCAAGAACCGGTTACTTCTCCGTGTTCACTATATTTCAGCCACACTGACCTCCTTCCCTTTCTTTCTTTTCTTTCTTTCTTTCTTTCTTTCTTTCTTTCTTTCTTTCTTTCTTTCTTTCTTTCTTTCTTCCTTCCTTCCTTCCTTCCTTCCTTCCTTTCTTTCTTTCTTTCTTTCTTTCCTTCTTTCTTTCTTCCTTCCTTCCTTCCTTTCTTTTTCTTTCTCTCTCTCTCTCTCTTTCTTTCTTCTTTCTTTTTTTTTTGAGGCACAGTCTCGCTCTGTCACGCAGGATAGAGTGCAGTAGTCCTATCTCAGCTCACTGCAGCCTCTGCCTCCCGGGTTCAAGCGATTCTTCTGCCTCAGCCTCCTGAGTAGCTGGGAGTACAGGCGTGCACCACCACACCCGGCTAATTTGTATATATTTTTAGTAGAGACAGGATTTCACCATGTTGGTCAGGCTGGTCTTGAACTCCTGACCTCAAATGATCCACCCACCTCGGCCTCCCAAAGTGCTGGGATTACAGGCATGAGCCACTGCGCCCCGTCTCCTTCCCATTTTTTGAAAGCACCATGCTCCTTCCTGCATCTGGGCCTTTGCACATTCTGTTCCTTTTGCTGGGGGCTCATAGCTTTGCCTTAATTAACTCTTACTCTCCCTTCAGATATCAACTCAAATGTCACTTCATCAGGGAACCTTTTCCATACCCTTGAAAAACAAATTTTCTCTAAGAAGGGTGTTCCCATCAGTAACCTAGAGTTTTCCTCACAGCACTCAAGTATATTTATTTATATTGTTCTTTTGTTTGATCATGATCTGCCTTTCATCACTAGCATGTTTTCTCCATGAGGTCGGTAATCATAGAGTCTGTTTTCTTTACTATTATATTCCTAGTGTTGAACCCAGTACCTGGAATATAAAAGATACTCAACAAATATTTCAAAATGTAGAAATGAACCTTTAGAAAATCCTTGTTTAAGTTAAAGCTATGCATCAGTAAAATTAGGAAACCTCAGTCCAACTCCACCTATTGCCTGGCCCATACTAGGGGTTTCATAAATATTTGTTGACCAGCTGACAGATATGGAAGGAGGTAATGAGGGATGCAGTCCAAACAGTCTTCCTGCCCTCAGTATCTCCTTTCCAGGCTATAAATTCAGCCACGGGCATCCTCCCATCCACCTCTGCCTCCACCTGCATCCTATGGTCCTCTGAAATGCTTTCCAAATTCTGCCTCCAGAACCCACTTGCTTTGTTTTGCTTCCTCTCTGTTGCTGATTATCTGCAATTCCTTCTCTTTGTACGCTTGATGGACCTAACGATTCTATTGCTCCGCTCCTTTGCTCCCTGCTCTGCCACTGGAAACAAGCCCATCCTCCTCTGGGATTCTGATATTGGTTCTTTTCTCTGTGTGCTGGCCTCACTTTCTCCCATGCTCTGTTGGTCTTTAGAGACCACAGCCTTTGGACATCACTCAGGAAAGGAAGTCAGATAGTCATTTCCCACTGTGATTATTATTGCTGTTTAGGACATTTAACCGATCACCAATTAACTTATAAAACCAGAGAGCAGAGTGGCCTGCATTTTAACTACACGACCAGGCAAGGCACTAACGCCAGGCCTCTGTGCCTGACCAGATGGGCCATTTGTGGATCAGTTACTTTGGCCATTGGCCACTCCAGGCACGGATGGTTATCATCTTCCAAGTGGCCGAGTATAGTGGTGGCTTCATTTTCTGGCAGGGTCTTGGCTGTAGGAAGAATTATGAAGTACCAGGGAAAGAAGTTTGTTGTGTATTAGTTTCTTGGGGCCTAGGATGGAGTCAGGGTCCGCATCCCAAGTAGCCTCTTGGCATTTTCCTCCTGGGCATACGAGCTACTGTATATATTTTGGACAAAATACAAAGAAGAATCTGATACGAACTTCAACCTTGACTGCATATTAGAACAAGCTGGGGAGTTAAAAAAAAAAATCCAAGTGCCTCTCTCCTCCATACATGTATTTAGGAAAGTTACCATACATCAGTATTTTCAAAGCTCCTAGAGAAATTTCAATGTGTCTCAAGGCAGAGAACCGTTGATCTAGGACAGTGTTTCTCAAACCTGAATGTGAATAAGAATAATCTGTGGAACATGTTAAACACAGATTCCCAAGCCCTAGCTACAGAAATTTGGATTCAGCACTACTCAGCCATAAAAAGGAAGGAAGTAATGGCATTCGCAGAAACTTGGATGGAGTTGGAGGCCATTATTCTTAGTGAAGTCCCTCAGGAATGGAAAACCAAACATCGTATGTTCTCACTTATAAGTGGGAGCTAAGCTATGAGGACACAGAAGCATAGGAATGTGATATAATGGACTTTGGAGACTTGGAGGGAAAGGGTAGGAGGAAGGTGAGGGATATATGACTACACATTGGCTGGGCGCGGTGGCTCACGCCTGTAATCCCAGCACTTTGGGAGGCTGAGGCGGGTGGATCATGAGGTCAAGAGATCCAGACCATCCTGGCCAACATGGTGAAACCCCATCTCTACTAAAAATACAAAAATTAGCTGGGCATGGTGGCGTGTGCCTGTAGTCCCAGCTACTCTGGAGGCTGAGGCAGGGGAATTGCTTGAACCTGGGAGGCGGAGGTTGCAGTGAGCTGAGATCGCACCACTGCACTCCAGCCTGGGCGATAAAGCGATACTCCATCTGAAAAAAAAAAAAAGAAGAAAAAGAAGACTACACATTGGGTACAGCATACACTGCTTGGGTGATGGGTGCACCCAAATCTCAGAAATCACCGCTAAAGAACTTACCCATGTAACCAAACACCACCGGTTCCCCAAATACTATTGAAATGATAATAAATGTAATAAAAAATAAGACAAAAAAGAGAAAATTTAAATCTGGCTGCAATAATAAATGGTTCTCTGAAAAAAAAAAAGAAATTTGGATTCAGTCATTTCTAGAGTGGGGCCCAAGAATATACATTTCTTAAGCTCCTGGATGATGTTGTTGCTGCCTGTTTACAAACCCCATACACTGAGTAGCTCTGTTGTAGAGCTTCGCTTTAGGGCAAATTGTATGCTCACCAAGGAGTGGGAAACATTAATACATAAAGGGTGCAAACTTGCAGCATCTGGGCCAAATTTAGCTAGCAAATGTATATTATATGACTTGCATACAGTATGTTTTTGACATTTAGAATTGGCAATGCTTAAAAATTGAGATTTGGGGCTTCTCTTGAAAAACCGGAAGAACCCTTCTACAAATACTGGGCCTGCTTTCTTATGTGATAAGGACTGAAAACAGAATATATGTGCTAAAAGCTGCTACAGAAACTATTTCATTCTCTGTGTGATAGCTTCATGGCCTCTGCAGGCATTTAAGTTTGCAGCTCCTAGTTTACACCCTCACCCCTTCACCTGTTCTAAGGTTGAAAATCCACTGGTCTCAAGCATTGTATCTTGAGCCATCCCATTTTATCCCTGGAACTTGCTCTATTCATCTGTAAAATGGATTGATATCACCTATTCAGGGTTCTGATAAAGATTAAATGGAGATGGAGATCATGCTTTAAGTTTCATACGTCTGCTTCACCCATGAAATATTCCTGTATCCAGAATTTATCAAAGTATAGTCTCTAGACCCCCAACATTAGCATCACCTGGGAACGTTAGAAATGTAAATGTTTGGCCGGGCGCGGTAGCTCACGCCTGTAATCGCAGCACTTTGGAAGGCCGAGGTGGGCGGATCACGAGGTCAGGAGATCGAGACCATCCCTCATCTCTACTAAAACTACAAAAAGTTAGCCGTATGTGGTGGTGGGCATCTGTAGTCCCAGCCACTCGGGAGGCTGAGGCAGGAGAATGGCGTGAACCCGGGAGGTGAAGCTGGCAGTGAGCTGAGATCGCGCCACTGCACTCTAGCCTGGGCGACAGAGTGAGACTCTGTCTCAAAAAATAAATAAATGAATAAATAAATAAATGTAAATGTTCTCCATCCTAGAACTAAACGCTCAATCAATTACCAGGTATTTCAGGGAAAAGCGGAATTTTGCATGGATTTTAGCATGCTCAAAATCCCATCATAAATGCCATAATTTATATGGAGAATTGAGACAATCAAGATCACAAGTGGCTGAAGTTTTGCAGGTGAGAGAGACCAAGAGGAAAGGTTAGTATTGCAGGATGGAGCTTTCTCACTGCATTTTCTCTGGAATCCCTCTTACCTGCTACCTGCAGGCTCCTCTATGCTCCTGTCATGAGCCAATGAGCCAATGAGCCAATGTTGGGTGAAATAGAGACTTATTATTCATCTCAGCTCCAGCTGGACTGAGACTTGGTGTCTAGGTTACCTGCTCTGAGCCCTGGGCACTCACAGGCTTCTAAGAGTATATCTAGTTTCACCACATTGCTCCAATCCAGACAAAGGGCTTATTGTCTCAGTTCACCTAGCAGGCATTCGAGTTCTAAAGGACAGATCCGCAGCCAATGCTATTGCCATCTGCCTGTGCTGACTCTGGGTTCTGCCTGTGGTCTGGGCTTCCCTAACTTCATCACACCCATTGGATTGGGCCTCATCAGGTCATGATGTCTCCTAAACCTGGCCTGAAAGTGCTGCTCCATTTTAGACATTATATGGGCCAGCTCTGTAGTGAGGTCAGTTTCTTTGCTCTCTGACTCCCTCCCTGTCTACACTGGCTGAATTTCTAAAATCCAGGATGGCTATGACTAGCATCTGCCTGAGGAATAGCAAAAGGGAACTGGGGTCAAATGACACTCGGGAGGAAATTGTGAAGTGACTACATGCTATTCTTAAGGCAAGAGAAGGTGCGGTACAGAAACTTCACACTAGAAACTTCTTTATCTTGATTGGGAATAGAACATGCATTGAAACAGCAGTGAAAAGGAAGGTGAGGAGATAAAATATTTTTCTAAAGGTGATGATGAATACATTGGGATGGATTACAGAAGGATTCCATAGGAGTTCTTGCTCTGGTAGTTTTTAAAAAGTGACTCAGCAAGAATGACTCATCTATCTGGGATGAATTAGGTTTAATAGTGATGAAAATAGGGCTGGACTGTGATTTTTCTGGATTGCTTCTAAGCAGAGGGATTATTCGATAATAATGATAATAATGATAACAATAGCAATTATCTTTTGAGTGACAGGTATTTTTATTGATAGTTTTTGTACATTATCTCAGGGATCAGCAAACTCTCTGCTATAAAGGGCCAGATAGTAAATATTTCTGGCTTTGTGGGCCACATGATCTCTGACGAAACAATTCTTAAATCTGCCCTTGTTGCTCAAAAGCAGCCATAGACAACAAGTAAACAAATGGGTTTGCCTGTGTTCCAATAAAATGTTATTTACAAAAACAGGTGGCAGGCTGGATTTGGCCCACAAGCTCCAGTGTGCAAACTCCTGCATTATCACATTGACCCTCATGATACTGGGAAGTAGGTACTTGTATTATTCTCCATTTCACAGGTAAGGAAACTGAGTCTTGGAGGGATTGAGCAGCTTGCGTGAGATCCAACAGTATGTGTCAGGCCCAGGAGTCCAGCTCAGGATCTCCTAAGCTATCATGGCTAGGTAAACCCTTCTGCCCCGAGATGGGTCTCCTCATTGAAACCATCCCTATAAACTTTATGAAAGTAATCAGGGAGGAAGGGAGGGGAAGAAATAAAAATAAACCAAGCTTGCAGCACACACAGCCTTAATCATGAGGTCAGCATGCTCTCTGATCTGCTTCCTTGGAGTTATTTGGTGCCAACTGTAAAAGTTAAAGACCAAAATCTGACCAAAATCAGCCAGAAGCCCCTCTCAGGTTTATTTCTCTTGTTTCTTTAACTCTTACACCAATTTTCCTAGGATCATGTAGATCTTTGTATTAGGCCGTTCTTGCATTGCTGTAAAGAAATACCTGAGACTGGGTAACTTATAAAGAAAAGAGGTTTAATTGGCTCACAGTTCTACAGGTTTTATAGGAATCATGATGCTGGCATGTGCTTGGCTTCTGGGGAGGCCTCAGAAAGCTTCCAATCATGGCAGAAAGTGGAGGGGGAGCAGGTATGTCACATGGAAAGCAGGAGCAAGAGAGGGAGGGAGGAGGTGTCACACACTTTTAAACAGTCAGATCTCATGAGAACTCACTCACTATTGCAAGGACAGTACCAAGGAGATGTTACTAACCATTCATGAGAAATTTGCCCCTATGATCCAATAACCCCACCAGGCTCTACCTCCAACACTGGGGATTACAACGCAACATAAGATTTGAGTGGGGACACGGATCCAAACCATATCAATATTGTTACAAGATTATAGTTTCCCTTAACTGTCCTATAGATAAGAATGTGAACGTTATGAAACATTAAGTTTTTCCTTTGAGATATTTTTTCAGGTTCTGCATACCAGTGAAACTACTGATGCCAGCTGGTCTAAAGGATTCCTTGAAAAGCTGACTCATCAAAGAAGGCAGTTTTCACATCCTGATGATTTCATCCTCCTTACCCCAACCAATCAATGACCCCAATTTTCCGGCCCCTTACCTTCCATGGTCTCCATCAGAACTCCTCAGGGAGATAGATTTGAGGATCTCCTGTCATCTCCTTGCTGGGTGCCCTGCAATCATTAAACTCTTGCTCTGCTGCCAACCATGCTGTCTCAGTGTAATGGGTCTGTTACAGTGTAGCAGACATACAAACCCATTGGTCCTATAACATCGTGATTCCTTGTGCTGCAGATTCAATTCTTTGGTCACTTAATGTTTATTAAGCAGCCTCAAGGTACCTGCTATGCTGCTTAGTTTTTTGTTTTTGTTTTTGTTTTGTTTTTTTTCTGAGACGAGTTTCACTCTGTTGCCCTGGCTGGAGTGCAGTGGCACCATCTCAGCCCACTGCAACCTCTGCCTCCCAGGTTCAAGCAATTCTCCTTCCTCAGCCTCCTGAGTAGCTGGGATTACAGGCACCTGCCACCATGCCCAGCTAATTTTTTGTATTTTTAGTAGAGATGGGGTTTTACCATGTTGACCAGGCTGGTCTCGAACTCCTGACCTCAAATGATCTGCCCGCCTCGGCCTCCCAAAGTGCTGGGATTACAGGCATGAGCCACCATGCCTGGCCTGGTCTTTTTATATACATCATCTCACTTAACAATCAGAATAGGTGCATGAGGTAGCTACTATTATCCCCACTGAAGGCCAGAGGTTCAGAGGATGAAGCACAATTCTCAATGTTCATTTTTTAAAAACTTTTTTTCAACTTTTATTTTAGATTTAGAGGCTGCATGTGCAGATTTGTTACCTTGATATATTGTGTGATGCTGAGGTTTGGGGTATGAATAATCCCATCAACCAGGTAATGAGCATAATACCCTACAGTTAGTTTTTCAACCCTTGCCCCCTCTGTCCCTCACTCCCTTGTCTAGTAGTCCCCAATTTGTATTGTTTTCATCTTTATGTCCATGAGTAACCAACGTGTAGATCTCACTTATAAGTGAGAACATGCAATATTTGGTTTTCTGTGCCTGTGTTAGCTCACTTAGGATAATGGCCTCCAGCTGCATCCATGTTGCTGCAAGGGACATGATATCATTCTTTTTCATGGCTGTGTAGTACTCCATGGTGTATGTGTACCACATTTTATTTATCCAATCCACCATTGATGGGCATCTAGGTTGTTTCCTTTTTTTGTTTGTTTGTTTTGCTTTTTTTTTTTTTTTTTTAAGACGGAGTTTTGCTCTGTCACCCAGGCTGGAGTGCAGTGGCACAATCTTGGCTCACTGCAAACTCCACCTCAAGGGTTGACACCATTCTCCTGCCTCAGCCTGCTGAGTAGCTGGGACTACAGGCGCCCCCCAACACGCCTGGCTAAGTTTTTGTATTTTTAGTAGAGAAGGGGTTTCACCACGTTAGCCAGGATGGTCTCCATGTCCTGACCTCGTGATCCGCCCGCCTCGGCCTCCCAAAGTGCTGGGATTACAGGCATGAGCCACCATGCCCAGCCGGTGGTTTCCTTTTATTTCTTATTGTGAATAGTACTGTGATGAACATGTGAGTTCAGGTACCTTTTTTGGTAGAATGATTTATTTCCTTTTGGATATATACCCAGTAATGGGATTTCTGGGCCAAATGGTAGCTCATTTTAGGTTCTTTGAGAAACCTCCAAACTGCTTTCCACAGTGGCTGAACTAATTTACATTCCCACCAACAGCATATAAGTGTTCTCTTTTCTCACAGGCTCGCCAGCATCTGTTGTTTTTTGACTTTTAAGTAATAGCCATCCTGACTGGTGTGAGGTGATGTCTCACTGTGGTTTTAATTCGGATTTCTCTGATGTTTAGTCATGAGGAGGATTTTTTCATCTATTTGTTGGTTGCTTGTATGTCTTCCTTTGAGAAGTATTTGTTCATGTCTTTTGTCTACTTTTTATGAGGTTGTTTGTTTTTTGCTTTTTAAATTGTGTAAGTTTTTTATAGATTCGGGATATTAGACCTTTGTCAGATGTGTAGTTTGAGAACATTTTCTCCCATTCTGTAGTTTGTCTGTTTACTATGTTGATAGTTTCTTTTGTTGTGCAGAAGCTCTTTAGTTTAATTAGATCCTGCTTGTCAATTTTTGTTTTTGTTGCAAAAGTAATTGCTTTTGAGGACTTAGTTATAAATTGCTTCCCAAGGCTGATGTCCAGAAAGGTGTTTCCTAGGTTGTCTTCTAGGATTCTTATAGTTTGAGGTTGAAATTTAAATCTTTAATTCATCTTAATTTTTTTTATATGGTGAAAGGTAGGGGTCTAGTTTCATTCTTCTGCATATGGCTAGCCAGCTATCCCGGCTTCAAAGTCCATCCTTAGTGAGAAGCTGAGCTGAGAGTCAAATGCTGGGCTCTCTAAGTTCAGTGACCTCCCCTCCAGACCATCTTACCTCCAGATTTAAAAAGTCTTGAACAATTCTTGAATTCTCAAAGCAATACATGTTTCTTGCAGAGGAATTGAAATAATCATAAAGACGATGATAAAGGATCACTGATGATCCACCTTCCAAAATCAACCTCTGCCACTAATCAGATACTTTTCTTCCATCTTGATCCATGATTATTTATCCCTTACAATTACATACTAAATAAAATATTTTATGTTAGAATATTATATAGAAGGGAAACATTTTCTTATGTTATAAAATTTTAATAAAAGTACCATTTTTCTGACAACATATTTTCCATCAAAGGATATAATTTTAACAATGTGGGTACTTTTTTTCTATCATAAATGCATGGTTTTTTTTGAGACGGAGTCTCGCTCTGTCACCAGGCTGGAGTGCAGTGGCATGATCTCAGCTCACTGCAACCTCTGCCTCCTGTGTTCAAGCAATTCTCCTGCCTTAGCCTCCCGGGTAGCTGGGACTATAGGCATGTGCCACCATACCCAGCTAATTTTTGTATTTTTAGTAGAGATGAGATTTCACCATATTGGCCAGGCAGGTCTTGAACTCCTGACCTCAGGTGATCCGCCTGCTTCGCCCTCCCAAAGTGTATGATAAACGCTTTGATTACATTTTTCTATAAAATACTTAATTTAAACATAAAAATTGTTTGTACTTAAGGTGTACAGTATAATGATTTGATATATGCATACATTGCATAATGATTACCACTATCAAATTAATTAACACATTCATCACTGCCCATAGTTACCATTGTGTGTGCATGCACGCATGTGCGTGTGTGTGTGTGTGGTTAGACACTAACTTGTAGAAACAGAGTGGAACAGTGGTTGTCAAGGGCTGGGGGTTGGGGAAATAGAGAGATGTTGGTCGAAGAGAACAGACATTCAGCTATAAAATGAATGAGCTCTGGAGATTTAATATAACATGTACACAATGGTGACTAGAGTTAATAATAATATATTGTTTATTTGAAATTTGGTTACATTCTTGTATATAAATCTCTATCTGAATCCTAATTATTTGTCTATGATAAATTTCAGGAAGGATAATTATTGCTCCAAAGGGTTTTAATTATTTTTAAAGATCTTTACACAATTTCAGATTGCATTTTTTAGAAATTTTTGCTAATCTTTATTTCTTTCAGTAGGTTAGATTTACCTTACCCTAAAATCAACAATGCTTTTTTAAATTATGATAATTTTATGGATTAAAATATTATCATTACATTTTTTAAAAAATTTCAACAATTTTAAGGGTACAAGTTGTTTTTGGTTATATGGATGAATTGTTTAGTGGTAAAGTCTAGTATTTTAGTGCACCTGTATACCACCCCATTAGTGTACATTGTACCCAATAGGTAGTTTTCATCTTCACCCCACTTCCACCCTCCTCTTTTCTGTCTCCAATGTCTATGGTACCACTCTATATGCCTTGCATACCCATAGCTTAGCTCCCACTTATAAGTGAGAATATGTGGTATTTTGTTTTTGATTCCCAAGTTACTTCACTTAGAATAATGGCTTCCAGTTCCATCCAAGTTTTTGCAAAAGACACTATTTTGTTCTCTTTTAATGGCTGGGTAGTTTAAATGTTGCAGTTTTACATTGCATTTTATTGACAAGTAGCAAGCTTTTTGTGTTTTTTTATTGATTTGTCAGAGCTCTTTATATATAAAGGATACTAATAGTTTTTTTCTGGAAAATATTACTTCCACATTTATATTTGCCTTTAACAGGAAAATAACCCATCTCTATTTACTTGTAATCTTATTCATAGCAAAAGATACTCGTTCATTAGCATTTCACAAACTGAGCAGCCAGAGAAGTAGCAACAACTATTCTGTGTCTGTAAGTGCAACTTCTATTTCTATGAGTAGAATTTACCAGGTGGCTAGAAATCACAGGCATAGAGGCTTAACAGTTTCTCCCAGCTCTCTGCTACAGACTGCACACTTGCTGGGATGCACTTTCATGCATGAAACTTCAGGGTAGAAATTAGCCCAGATGAGGTAGCCAGGTGATACAGGGAAGAGCTTTTGAGGCTGAGGAAAGAAGGGCTGTCTTTATTCTGTAGACAGCCACAGGCACTGGTTACCTCACCACTCTTTCAGATAAATACAAGAAGGCAACAAACAATATAATAACAACTTTGTTTAAAGGCTATTTAATTGAAGCTTCACAGGAACCTCATTTTCATACTTTTTGCTAAATTTAAAACAAGAAAAATGTTATGAAGCCTGACGTAGTCCCCTTCTCAATGCTCAAGAAATGTTTCATTTTGAGGAAAAATAACCCTTTGTTAAGTTCCTTATTTGGGGACAAAAACATTTCTTTCTATGTATTGGAACAGGCTAGGGTAGTGTTTTTCAATCTTGAAACTATTGAGATTTTGGACCAGGTAATGATCTGTTGTTAGGGACTAAAGAATGAATGAATGAATAAATGAATGAATGAATGATCCAATAGTAACATTTAAATGTTTGAAGAATTGTGATATGAAAAATTCACGCTTATTTTTCCTGTTGGTCCATGGAGCTAAATTAATTTCAGGGAGAAAGAAATTGGGATCTGTGCAAGAAATCTCTGTCATAATGAAAACTACGCAAAGATAGAAGGGTCTACCTCCAGAATTAATGAGCTCCTATTCACTGGAGGCATTCAAGGAGAGACTGGGTTATTCTTACGCAGGATGTTGTACAAGCTGCTCATACAAAAGATGGGTGATTCAAAGTTTCAAAGTAGCTTTTAATCACTGAAATTCTAGAAATCTGTGTTTCTTGATGTCTTTCCTTTAAACTATTTCAGCTTCAGGTAGTACTTCCACTTGAGGAGCTTACTTATTTTAAAACCAAAGGCAAACTTCTAGAGTGATCGAAAATCATCACACATATTATACCTTCTAGGAGGCTCTAGAAAAATGCTTTAAATAATTTGAGTTAGAGGTTTCCTGCAACAACAAAAAAATGCTATTTCCATTACCCCAGAGCTGTAACATTCTTCGTGTTCTCTGTACCTTATTGTTGAGAATAATCAAAGGAGTCCATTCAGTAAGGTAGGGGCGGGGAGCACAATAGATATATTAATATATGGGGCAGGGGGGAAGTATTGTATTCCTAGGCAGTTTTCATAATTGGTGTTACAGATCTTTGGTTGAAATTTCAGGCTTACCCTGAACTGAGATCTAACTTTCTGGAGCCCTAACTCTTCTGAGGGGTTAGCCTTCTCTTCCTCCTACTAGAAATTATGGATGAACAGAAGGCATGGATTAACAGGCATCATTTTTACTAAAGGACACAGGTCTGCAGAAGAGAAGTCAGCAAGATCCATGGGTCAGCAGGAGCCATGAGTCATTTGCAGCCGTGACTCAGAGGTGGCTATGAGTCACCAGGAGCCATGGGTCAGCAGGATCCATGGATCAGTAGGAACAAGGGGTCAACAGAAACTGTGGGTCAGGTAGAAGTATGAATCTGTAGAAACCATGAGTCAGTATGAGCCAAGATTCATCAGCTGCACAGGTCAGCAAGAAACATGGTTCAGCATTTTTTTTTTTCTTTTGAGACAGGGTCTCACTTTGTCACTTGGGATGGAGTGCAGTGGTGTGATAGCTCAATGCAGACTCGAACTCCTGGGCTCAACTGATTCTTCTGGTTCAGCCTCCTGAGTAGCTGGGACTACAGTCATGTACCACCATACCAGGCTAATTTTTTGTTTTATTTGTAGAGACAGTGTCTTGCTATGTTGCCCAGGCTTGTCTAAACTCCTGGGTTCAAGGAATCCTCCCATCTCAGGCTCCCAAAGTGCTGAGATGACAGGTATGAGCCACTGCACCAGGCCCTGCAGAAACTTTTCTTGGCACCACGGGTAAGCAGGGGCTATGGGTCATGGGACTCATTGCCAATGGGAACCATACATCACCAGAAAGACTCAGGTAGTGGGGGAAGAGGACAAAAGACACTCAGAAAGATGGCAGTGCTAGATTTGAAGGTGACTGATGCCAAAAGGTAACGGAAGCTATGATTGAACAAAAGCTAAAAAGTAACAAGAAGTTGAGTGGAGAGCACTTGGTTTTAATACTATCAATAGTATAGGGAATAAGTAAGCTACCATCATAATAGGCTAGGAAACAATGTTTCCAAGAGGGTAGCAAGACAGCCAAGTGCATATAGAAGCATTGAATCCTGTGATCTAACTCCTGAACTACATTCTGTCTCTGTGAGAACTGGCAGTTTGGCAATTGAGATTTTTGTCTTTCCTAATTTCCCAGGTATCCTTACCATGAACATCTATTGCTAATTATTTCTTTATGTTGGATGCCTAAAAGAGAAATTCTTCAGACATATTATATGAGTTTAATTTTCTTGGGTTCTTGACACATATTGCTACATTACTTTTCAAAAAATGTATAAATTTACTCTCTCCCATCTTCTAATTAAAATACTTACAAAAGTGTATTCTCAAAGGTACCAAGTTTCAAGAGGAAGTGAAAATCATTAGTTTTGCTATCTTTCAGGAGTTTCTAGTACAAAAAATTCAGATAAATATCTGAAATGTAGAGCAAGAGGGCAAAGGAGATTGGTACTTGCCATCCTGACTATATATTCTACCATGTTAGTCAGAACTCTGGGTTTATAAGGGAAAGAATCCATTTCAAACTGGCTGAAGTCAGTAAAAATAGTTTATAAGGGCATGAAACTTGGAAATCTATTAAGTAGTGTGATTTCAGGTGTGGCTGGATCCTGGGTCTTGATGATGTCAATCAGGATATAAACATCTACTCTTTACCCCCACCTCGACCTAGTGGTTGAAAGTTCTGAATGGTCAAGTCAGTTTCGTGCAATGTCCTCCATGCTGGAGACAGATATAGAGGGAAATTTCATGTCTCCACCCACTCCAAGCTACCTGACTTGGGAAAGTTATGGTTTTATAATGGAGATGGAGTGGGCAAGTCAAAACACATGACCACAAGCCCATCTTATAAACATGGGGGCTTCAGGACATCCTTCAACTGGGTAGAAGCTGCTTTTGAAACAGTTCAAAACTGTTTGAAGTTTTCCACTTGTATAGTGGCAAAAAGCACAATTACTTTTGCACCAACCTAATTTCATTTCATATGTCTTCTAGAATCCAGGCTACAATTTACAATGGTACAACTTTACAGGCTAGGGAAAGAATGGGCTGGTCTGTTATATCCAAGAGGTGGAGTCAATGGCAGTGATAGTTTGTGCCTGGAACAACCATAGAAACGATCCATGAAAATGCCTTTTAAGTATGATTTTTAATAGCAGCATAATAGTCTTTCACTTTGGGGGAGTGAAGGTTGATGACACACCTGCTATTGTGCAACATCTGGAAGCTTTCTGTTGACAGCAGCCTGGTCCACTTAGGCAGAGGAAGTCCCTCTCCCCCATAGTATCCTGGAATAAGGGGAGCCAGTGTGATTTAATTCAGGCCCTTCCAAAATCTTGCTAAGCAAAAACAACTGTCCCTAAGTGTTCAGGAAACATCAACCCATCCTTCCCCTAACATGTTCTTCTTCTGGATAAAAACATTTTCAGAGTATCACATGCTCCTGAAAATGTACTTCCTTGTATGCGAAACCTGCTAACAGTCCCCTTGAGAAGTGTTTGAATGTGTAATGAGTGCCCAGGCTCCTGGTGTCAGATCTGTGATGGAGAGGATTCTCTCCCCAAGGCAGCATTCACTCCAAGAACTTCCACCAGGTGACTCTGGGGAGCAGTTGGTGTTAACTCCAGGCTGCTGTGGTCAGGAAATCACTTTGCATAAGAACTCAATCCTCTTTTTCCTCAAGGCCCCTATTCTGTAATATAAAATTGGGTCTCTTTTAGGCTGGTCAGAATCTGCTTTCCTTCCCCTTCCATAGAACCTGCCTCTAAGGGATTCCAAATCTATCTTTATGGGCTACACCATTTCGTGGGGGACACAGATGTGTAATTAAGTCATGATGATACAGTTTGAAAAGTACCAACTATAAGACTAATCAAAATGATAGAGAATCTTAGGAGAAGGAGGAGAAAAATTTGCCCAGGAAATCTAGAAAACTTAGGAATAGAGGAAGCAGTCAAATTCAGTCTTGAAGAACAGGAGTTTGTCAAGAGGCAGACCATGAGGTCAGGAGATTGAGACCATCCTGGCTAACAAGGTGAAACCCTGTCTCTACTAAAAATAAAAAATAAAAAATAAAAAAATTAGCTGGGCATGGTGGCACATGCCTGTAGTCCGAGCTAATCGGGAGGCTGAGACAGGAGAATCACTTGAACCTGGGAGGAGGAGGTTGCAGTGAGCCGAGATCACACCACTGTGAGACTCCGTCTCAAAAAAAAAAAAAAAAAAAAAAGAAAAAAGAAAGCTAACATTTGTTGAACACTTACTGTGTGCCACTCATGGTTCTAGGTGTTTGACATGTATTACGTGTATTAATCATATAATATTTACATGTTATTACATTCCTTTAATCCCACAGCAGCCATATGAAATGGGTGCTATTATTCCCATTTTACAGATAAGGAGACTGAGGCCCCAAGAGGTTAAATTATTTGCCTAAGGTCACACTTCAAGTAGGTGGTAGACCTGGAATTCCACTTAGACATTTTTATTTCAGAGCTTGTGTTCTCAGCCTCTTTGCCATTCTGCCAGAAAAAGCAACTGGATCAGTATAATAAAAGGTAAGGAGGCATTGTGGTGGTTTAAATATATGTCTAAATTTTTTCGATTTTTTTTTTTATTACAGCTGGAGTCTAATTTCCCTCTCCTTAAGTATAGGCTGGGCTTAGTGTCTCGGTTTCAGTAAAAAATATCAGAAGTGACAAGTGTATGGCTTTGAAGACTAGGTCATAAACAGCAGTGTGGTATCTCTTCGCTCTCTTCCTCAGATTCGTAGCTGGGGGAATGCCAGCCGCCATGTTGTAAAGATGCTCAAGAAGCCCCCTGGAGAGGTCTGTATGATGAGAACCCCTCACCATGTGTCTGGCCAACAGCCAGCCAGGAACTGAGTGAGGCCTCCTGCCCACAATCACATAAGTGAGCTTAGAAGCTGATTCCCCATTCCCAGTCAAGCCTTCAGATGACTTCAGCCTTAAGCAACGTTTTGATTGCAACATCCTCCGAATCAATAACTAAACTAGTCCAAATTCTTGACTCACAGATACTGTGGGAAAATAAATGTGGGTTGTCTTAAGCCACTAAGTTTTGGGATAATTTGTTACACAGCAACAGATACTAGCACTGGCATGAGAATACCTTGTGTCTTCAATGTACATCAGCAGTCAGTATTTCAGAGCTGAAAGCTCAGACTTTAGAGAGGACTGGCAAAGAGGAGTGAGGTTTTTAGGAAAAATTATAAAGCACGACAGCCAGTCTGCAAGCACATAGGACCTACTTACCAGAAGCAACTCTCTAGCTCTCCAGTCCCTGGCTTCTCCAGGAAATGCCTCCATTTCTATAACTTCTGGTTTGTGCCACCATATTGCTTTTATTACATTAATCCTTGTTGTGCAGCCATTTGCAGACATACCTTTCTTTCTGACCAGATGGCAAGCTCCTGGAATGCTGAGCTCACATTTTATTCCTCTTCCTCCTTGCACACAATCCTTTGGTCACTGCAGGAGCCCCATAAATGTTTGGGGGATGAATGTTGCCCACGCAGAAGCCACATGGCTGATAAATTGACTTTTATTCAATTCCAGCCAACATGCAGTTTTCTTGTTTTTGGCCCAGAGAATCATGTCTGTGAGAAGGATGGATGGAAACTCAAGAGGCAAATTAGTTTGAAGTACTGGTAGAGCTGGACAGTTTAAACAGAGTGGTGTGGAATGATTAACACCTATGTGGACTCAAGAACAATGCATAACAGAACTTTAAGAGTGAACCAATGAAGACACAGCAATAAACCAGGGATATTCTTGGGGGTAAGGAAGGCTGACCACTAAAGGAAATACATGTCAGTACAACCTGTAGTTTCTATGTACCATTTGAATTAATCTCCCCATCCTCCTCCCATCTGCCTTGTTCTCGCCACTGTTTGCTCAGCTCCTGCACATACAATACATTTGATATATATCTATTGAATGAAAAAATGTTGATTTAGTCTATAACTAATAATCGTGGCACTCCACTTCTCTAGATTGTTCCTACAGAGGAGTTGGGTCTCATGTTTGCTTGTGTTTATAGATAAAGAAGGATTTCATTCAGTCATAGAAGGCTAGGGACAGACATATCCTGGCATCAGTAGGCAGGCAAAGGTTATCAGAGCCCTAGGAAGTGCAGGACAATAATAAGTAAGAGAAGAGCTTCAACCATGTCAGTGTGTGTAGGAGACCTCTGTTCTTTTGTGGGCTATACACTATGTTCTCCTTCTTCTTTAATAATAGTTCCCTGAGTTACACTGGAAAACCATCCTTTTGCTTCTTTGTCTGTATGATTTGAATAAAGAGAACTCTCTGCCTCTGCATCCTGGGAAAGACAGGTGCCCCAGACTTGGTCAATAGAAGCTCTGTATTCTCCTGGCAACAGTGATTTGTTCTGAAATGGGCAAGTGACCCAGTCGAAGCCAGTGAGATTCAGTAGGACTTTTGCTACCACTGCTGGGAGAGAACTTGCCGTCTTTTCTGCTGCACTTGAGCCTGGGAGAAGTTGGCTCCAGAAATTTTGCCATCTATCTTGCCATCAATCGGTAGAACTGAGAATGAAGCCAACAGAATGAAGTCAGAGATTGGACAGAGAATGAAACAGAGTTCTGAGGACATAATTCAGACTCTCAATGAGGCCATATCCCCCTTGATATGGTTTGGCTGTGTCCCCACCCAAATCTCATCTCGAATTGTAGCTCCCACAATTTCCACATGTTGTGGGAGGGAGTTGGTGGGAGGTAGTTGAATCATGGGGGTGGTTTCCCCCATACTGTTATCATGGTAGTGAATACGTCTCATGAGATCTGATGATTTTATAAGGGGTTTCCCCTTTCTCTTGCCTCTCATGCTCTTTGCCTGCCATCATGTTAGACGTTGTTTTGCTCCTCCTTGCCTTCTGTCATGATTGTGAGGCCTCCCCAGCCATGTGGCACTGCGAGTCAATTAAACCTCTTTCCTTTATAAATTACTCAGTCTTGGGTATGTCTTTATCAGCAGTGTGAAAATGGACCAATACACCCTTTTAAAGTTGCATATGTCAAATTCCCTTTTTGTCTTAAGCTAAAACTTGACTTTAGTTTTCTTTCTTTTGTAACCTTATAAGTCCTGACCAAAAGGGCTGGCTTTAGATGGCATACCTTTAGTCAAGGGCCCACTCAGGCCACATACAATATCAGGCTCAAGGTAGCAAGACAGAGTCAGTTTTCACCAGTTGGTAGAGGTGAGGATTCTGATCTACTGGTTCTCTTGGGCACTGTACTGGGCTTTCAGACAGAATAACTTAGGTGCCTGTATTAGTCTGCTTTGCATTGCTATTAAAGAACACCTGAGGCTGGGTAATTTATAAAGATAAGAGGTTTATTTGGCTCACAGTTCTGCAGGCTGTACAAGAAGCATGGCACCAGTATCTGCTCTGCCTCTTGTGAGGTTTCAGAAGGCTTTAACTCATGGTGGAAAGCAAAGGGGGAGCAAGTGTATCATACGGTGAGATGGAAGAGAGAGAGGGGAGGTCCAAGACTCTTTTTAACAACCAGATCTCATGTGAACTCATTACCACAGGGAGGTCACCAAGCCATTCATTAGGAATCTGCCCCCATAACTTAAGTACCTGCCAGTAGGTCCCACCTCCAACACTGGGGATCACATTTCAACATGAGATTAGGAGGGGACACATATCTAAATTATATAAGTGCCTGTTACTGTGTATGATTGGAGAAGACAGGGACTAATGCCATAAGCCACCAGGATTGATGGATACCTTCTGTTCTGTTCTGTTCACAGTGCTAATAACTACATTGTCTGCAGAAAGGTGTCCATGAGAAATGTGACCTGAGATCTGAGGTGAAATCAGCTCAAAGTTCCTGTAAATGCATCCATAGGCACTTGAATCACAAGGAATTACATGGGGGATTCAGGCATGGAGTCTCAGCAACAGAGTCCAGCAGGGAGGATAGGAATGTGGGTCCAGACAGGGCAGGAGGATATAGCAGGGAGGACAGGCTAGTGATCGTTTGCCCAAATATCAAAGGCCATGGCCAGTGCAGACTTTCGTTCAGGCACATATCAGCATGAAAAGGGGCTAATCTGGTGGTGGTGGCAGTGGTCGTAGTGGTAGGGTATGTGTATAGCAGGAACCTAAGTGGTGGCTCTACTTGAAATTTTACTGCAAAGCATGGTTCTGGGCAATCAACCCACTCGACACAGGAAGCCAGCCACGGGAGGGCATATAAGGAAAGTACACAGCCTCCCCTCTCCACCTACCATGGCAACATGTGGTAACTGCAGGGGAGAAAATAGACGTAGGCTCTCATGAGGCTACCATAAGGTGGTAGAGATAGGGAATACCATAATTCAGTGAGTTCAAAGTCATCAAGGGCTCATCATATCCATTGATGTTAGGGTTGAATAAGATAATGCATGTGACATATTAACTCTATAACTTGCACTTCTTTAATTACTAATGCAATTGAAACTCTTTTCATCTTTGACTATTTATGTGTCCTCCTGTGTAAATATTTTTCTGTTTTTGTATTGACACTCTCTTTTTTGAGAGTATTTATCCTTTTACATTTATTTGAAAGATCCCTTTAGACATTAAAGGCATTCATATTTTATACAATTTTTGAAGTATTATTTATGTTACCTTTGGGTGAACTTGCCTTTGCAACTTAATAAGAAAATTTTTTCCTTTATGTATTCAACTATATAAGTCAATTGTTTTCCCAAATGGTTAAGCAATAGTCTGTAAATCATTATCCCTATAAATGTGAAAGGCCACCTTTTATCATATTCTGAACTTCTATATGCTTTTCTTTGATCTGTTTCTGGACAGTCTGTCCCATGGAACTGTGTATTCCCGTACCACCGTTTTGCTGTTTTAACAATTACAGCTTTATAATACATATTAATAGGTATTGAATTCTCATTATGCCTTTTTCCCCCTCAAAGTCCTATTCTCTATTTCCAGCATGATTTCTTCTAGATGAGAATTAGAAACTTACTGTCAAGATCCGAAGAAGCCCCATTGGGACTAAGATTAGAGATAATTGGAGATACCACATTGACTCTTTCCATTCAGGATTCTGGTGTATTTTTTTTTCATTTTATCCAAATCTTTGAATACCTCTCAGTAAAATTTTATAACGTCACTCATACAGGTATAGTACATTCCTTGTTCAGTTGGTTATTTGTTATTACGTATTCTTTTTCTTAAGAATGGAACCTTCACACAATGCACTTTTCTCACCAGCTATTTCTGGTACAGTGGACCTCATTAAATAATAATTATTGATGATGACAAAGCTCAGTGAATAGATAATTAGAGAGAGATAAACTGACTACCCACAGTTCATTTGTGAACCTGATCATTTTACAAATAAGTGAAACAAAGAAAAATGATCACTGTGGCTTTCCCCCTTAGCAACAATTTATGAGTTGTACTTCTGTACATAGAGAAGTCTAATTTATAAAATTTATATTTATTTATTCATTGACCTGTTTGACAAACGTGGGATACAGAAATAAATACATCAGTTATTTTTCAACTTATTTGTTTGAGTGGCCACACATGTCACTTAGTAGGTTTATTACTCCCACGGGTGCCTACCCCCCCGCCATATGCCATATAAGTTCAGATGCTTGTTCGTTCCGAAAGGAGTTGTCCTGCTTCTAAACACTGAGCAGAAGAAGAATCGGGGAGTACGGTCAGTCCTCAGCTATAGCTGCTTCACTGGGTTGTTCAGTCCAATAGAAGCTCTTACACTGCTGCGTTGATACCCTTGTTGAACCAGGGCTCTGGGAACACACACGTGTACTTCAGGATTATCCCTTCCAGCTACATCCAGCTGCCATTTTAAAAACACGACTCCCTGATGATATGAAGGACATAGTGCTTCTCCTTGGGGCTGTGTTAGGCACCTCACCAGTGAAGAGGTGAAGAGGACGTGGGAATGTCAGAGGTGTCAGAGCCTTCCAGATCCATCCTGTAACCTGTGAGTCGTGACTCCCTGTGTCCCTTAAATTCATTGCAATGAGCTCCAGGAATTCACATACATACCAGGCCTTCTATGCAGTAAAGCGAATGTGTCTTGACATAAATTTCACAGATGCACATAAATGTTGTGATTAATAACATACAACTTCATTTTAAAGCATTTACCACATTCGTAGCAGCCTTTATTATTTCTCATTTGATAGCAAATTCTCCTTTGTCTTAACCTGGCAGTTCTCTGAGGACACCATGTCCCTTGCAATCCCACAAGGGAAAGTAATTTATTATCTCAAACCCACACGCCTCAAGGGGGCAGAAAGTATGGTTATTGTGGTCCTTGTGATTTCACTCTGTGCTTTCATACCATTGTTTCATCTCATTTAAAAAAACCAAACCAAACCAAACCAAACCAAAAACTGTTCTGAAGCTCAAGCCTCTCAACTCTAAAACGGATTCCATCCCTTTCCACTAAAGACATTCAAAACCCTGTTTCTGTATGTAATTCTGGTTCACATTTTTCCTTTTTACTCTAGTGGCTGCCATCATCTGGGCTGCCTTCAATGGCTGAGTAGTCAACCTATGCAATGCATCTCAGAGCTATGATTTCCTCATCTCTAATACCCTTACCTTCCTTTGTATCTCAGCCACCCACTGTGACCAAAGTACCTTGCACCTTATCATCTCTCTAAACTGTTCCACTCCGAGTCTGTAATGCTAGCATGCAAACCTCCTATTCTTCCAATTTACTTGCTCAAATACCATTGTTACTACTGTTCTTTCACTGCTTAGTTATCTCCAGTTTGCTATGATCCCCATATCAATCCAGGCCCATTTAAAAGAAATCACACAAGCTATTTCAACAGAGAGAATTTAATATTAAAAAGTGTTGGCTGGGTGCGGTAGCTCCCGCCTGTAATCCCAGCACTTTGGGAGGCCGAGGTGGGTGAATCACCTGAGGTCAGGGGTTTGAGACCAGCCTGGCCAATGTGGCGAAACCTTGTCTCTACTAAAAGTATAAAAATTAGCCGGGAGTGGTGACAGGCACCTGTAATCCCACCTACTCAGGAGGCTGAGGCAGGAGACTTGCTTGAACCTGGGAGGCCGTTTCAGTGAGCGGAGATTGCACCACTGCATTCCAGCCTAGGCAACAAGAGTGAGACTCCGTCTCAAAAAAAAAAAAAAATGATGTTACGTATTGAAGAACTGAAAAGGGAAAACTTTCTAACTTTAAGGCATCATGGAGGTAATGACTGCAAGAAGCAGCTACTATGACTAGAAACGAAGAAAACAAAGGGGGAAAGTTGGAATGACTAAGACATAGAAGCTTGAAGGAAAAGCCCCAGGGCTAGGTCTCAGACCTCTGAGCAGGAACACTGCTTGGCAGGTGCTGCTGCCTTTGCGAAGGTGCCAGGAAGTTGGTTCAAGAAGGAAGTCCTGCTGCAACACGAAGAAGCATTGTTAGGTGTTGGTCACAGGAATCACAGGCAGACAGAGGGGAGCAGGTTCCTCCTCCTACCTCCAGCCTTGTGGTGACCATCTAGTGTTTTATGTTGGTAAAGCCTAATGGGACTAGGCAGCTGGAGTCCCATATAGAAGTGTCATTTGTTGGCTAAGGCAGGTGGATCCCCTGAGGTCAGGAGATCTATACCAGCCTGGCCAACATGATGAAACCCCGTCTCTACTAAAAATATAAAAAATTAGCTGGGCGTGGTGGTGGGCACCTGTAATCCCAGCTACTTGGGAGGCTGAGGTGGAAGAATCGCTTGAACCCAGGAGGCAGAGGTTGCAGTGAGCCAAGATCATGCCACTGCACTCCAGCCTGGGCAACAAGAGCAAAACTCCATCAGAAAAAAGAAAAGAAAAGAAAAGGACAGGACAGGACAGGACAGGACAGGACAGGAAAGGAAAGGAAAGGAAAGGAAAGGAAAGGGAAAGAATCCTGTGTCAAATGTCATAGAAGTGTAATTTTGCTGAGTATCAACCCTGGCCCCATGTGGGTTTGAAGCCAAAAGACAGGAGCTTAATAACTGGAACAACTCTTTTACTTACTTTCTATCCACTATTCCCACTTCTTTGCCTTTCCAGCTTAAGATTAACTACCTAGAATTTCAGTGACTCTCTCACTGATATCATAAATTCATTTGCTTCAAACAAGCCAATTGCACCACGAATACAAGCCCAAAACTGCCTGTAAGTCTTATTACATTCCTCTAGGCAAATTGTTTCTCCGTGCTCTGCAAAGACTGTCTTAAATCTCCACTGTCCTCAAACTTCAACTTCCTTTTTCCTCTTGCTTTTTTCTGACTTAAAGATGGAAACTTCCTCTCAACCCCCTGCTACTAAACTGACATCTGCACTCAGCCTTCCCACCTTTTCTCCTGCCTCAGTGAGAAAGGGCGTGTTTCCTTGTGTGAAGCCAGTCCCTGTGCCTGTGCCCTGGATCCCACCTTCTTCTTCTTTCTGGGAATTTTAGGATTTGCCTGTATCTGTTCCACTCTGTATCTTGGCCTTTCCCCCCTTTTACTAGGTCCTCATCTTTGGCTTTGAATAAATTTTAATTTCATTCACTAATTTCTGAAAAACTTACATTCAGAAAAATGGTACAGCCACTTCAGAGAACACTTTTGTGGTTTACTGTAAAGTGAACTATACATGTAACATAGGACCCAGCAATCCCACTCCTGGGTATTTACCCAAGACAAAGGGAAACTTAGGCTCATGTAAAACTTGTGTGTGAATGTTTACTGCAGTTCTCTTCAAAATCGCCCAAAACTGGAAACAATACAAATGCCCTTTAACTGGTGAGCAGAAAAAGAAATTGTAATGTATTCATAGGATGGAATACTGTACAGGGATAAAAAAGAATAAATTACTGATATATACAACAGCATAGATGAATCTGAAATGCATTATGTCAAGTGAAAGAAGACAGACTCACACAGGAAGGGGAACATCACACACCAGGGCCTGTTGTGGGGTGGGGGTAAGGGGGAGGGATAGCATTTGGAGATATACCTAATGTTAAATGACAAGTTACTGGGTGCAGCACACCAACATGTCACATGTATACATATGTAACTAACCTGCACGTTATGCACATGTACCCTAAAACATAAAGTATAATTAAAAAAAAAAAAAGAAGAAAGACTCAAAAAGTGACACACTATGATTCCATTTATATGACATTTTGGAAAAGTCAAAATTATAAGGACAGAAAACAGATCAGTGGTTGACATCAAAAATCCTTTTTATAATTTAAATAGATAAGCTTCTCCCACATTAAAAAACACAACAATATGACAGAAAGAAAAGGCATTTTGGATTCTTCTGTCCCCTTTAAACTTTGCAATATTGCTCTCACTTTCACAGGAAATTTTATAAAAACAATTGTCGACACTCATTTTCTTTACTACCTCTCCTTCCACTCACCCCTTGTCCAACATCACTCTTACTTTCATCTTATTAAATCCAGTGGGTATTTCTCTGTACTCATGTTCCTCAACCTTGCTCAACAGCTTCCCCAAAGTGTTGAATCTCCCTTCTTCACTTAATTTAAGAACAGGTCTTCCTGCTTAGACAGTGCAGGAGCAAATACTGTGCTTGAGTCTGCCTGTAATTGCCCCAGTATCTAGCACAATTCATGCTGCAGATTACGAAAAACCTGAGTAGACACTTCTGGAAAGTAGTATTGGCACAGGTAGCTAGAAGAGATGACAGTGCTTGCCATTTTCAGAGAAATTCACTATCTCACCTGTTTTTCTTCTTTTATGATATCTCCACATAAAGATCTTTTTGCCATTCATCCCCAACCACTGAAGAACAAGACAAAACTGAATTGTAACTGCACAAAAGCTAAGCCTCTTGTTCATTTAATTTTTGCCTTTCTAAATGTATTTACCAGAATGATGAACCTCTTTTATTGAACCTTGAAGGAGATACCTTTTCCTCACTGGAATGGGTTCAAATTCTGGATTTATTGCAAGTTCTGTGTATCCTCTTTGATTGATTGGTGCTGAACAGCCAAGCAGCAACATTACTAATTATCCTCAGGATGTAATGCAGTTGAAGAGTCATTAAGAACTCTCTAAATTTGGAAAGCCTCCACTGCCAAACAAAGCGACTCTCTTCTCACTTCAGCCAGGAGGACAATGCACAGTCAGGTCTCTGGGGTCCTCTTTGACTCAACTTGGACTTCGTTTGTGTTCTAGCAACTCCAATAACACAGGACATGCCCCTAATTTTGCCCAGTGACAAAGATGAAGCAGAATTCTGCTGAAGTGACTAGACTTTATTTTTATCTTTTCTCTAGTAAGAATTTGGTAAGCTTTTCTTCTGTGTAGAGCACAGGGCTGCCATAGGGCAAGTAGATGGAACTTGCTTAATTGTAAGGCAGAGTTTGTGTGGTTTAGGGACCCAAATATTTCTCCCATCAGCCTGTCTCTGATCCCTAATCTACTGTTGAATGTACAGTGCCTTGTGAAATGAAGGAGTTGTGACCTAATTAAAAAAACTGAGTGGGAGGAGAAAATGTACTGGATCTGATATATGAACTCAGATCATGTACGCAAAGTACTCATTACAGCGTCTGGAGCATGGAGAGTACTTAATAAATATGAGCTGTTATTTCTATTACTAATAATTGCTGCAGCATTCATGAAGCAAATCTTTGTTGAGCATCTAGTTGGTGCCAGGATACTGTACTAGACAGAGATACAGAGATGGATTGCTGTAATTTCTCCTCTCAAAAACATGAGGTAATCAGGGTAATAAAACACTCTGATAAATAATTAGAATTTAACATAATAAATGCTATTCATAGTAGAGGAATTGAGCACTATGTCACAGTGGAGAACCATGCAGCTAGCTGGGCTTGTACAAGACAGGAGACACTGTATGGAAGAGACAGGCCAGGAAAAACATTTAGGGCTTTGACAGATGAAGAATGAGGGAAAGGGCATTTTGGGGAGATAAAGTCCATTTAGGAAAAAGCAAAATAACTTGAAAACAGCACAACAGAATAACAGGGGACGGTCATTAGTCCACCGTGTTCAGAACACGATTATTATGGAGGGATGTAAAGGAAAATTAGACAGAAAAAATATCCTAAATAATTGAATTCACCTCTTAAGAGCTGCATAAACTTAATCCTGTAAGAAATAAGGGACCCGTGAATAATACATAAGTGAATGGGTATGGCTGTGTTCTAATAAAACCTTATTGACACAAACAAACAGTAGGCCAAGTACAGGTTTTCAAGCAGTGATAAGCTCTGTGACCCCACCCAAATCTCATCTTGAACTGTAATTCCCATAATCCCCACATGTCAAGGGAGGGACGTGGTGGCAGGCGATTGGATCATGGGGGTGATTCCCCTATGCCGTTCTCATGATAGTGAGTGAATTTTCATGAAATTTGATGGCTTTATAAGTGTCTGACAGTTCCACCTTCACATGCACTCTCTCTCCTGCTGTCTTGTCAGAAGGTTCCTGCTTCCTATTCCACCATGACTGTAAGTTGTCTGAGGCCTCTCTAGCCATGCAGAACTGTGAGTTAATTAAACCTCCTTTGTTTATAAATTACTCAGTCTTGGGTAGTATCTTTATAGCAGTGTGAAAATGGACTAATACAAACAGGGTCTACAAAAAAAGTTACTGTTTAGAAAGAATACATTCATTAATAGTGAAGGGCAGAGGTTGGCAAACTATGGCCCATGGGCCAAATCCAGTCCTCCTCATGAGCTAAGAATAGTTTTTGCATTTTTAAAAAATTGGAAATCAATCCAAAGAAGACTATTTCACAGCACATGAAAATGATAGAATATCCAAATTTCAATGTCTATAAATGAAGTTTAATGGAGTATAGCGACACCCATTTGCTTTTGCCATGCCTATGGTTGCCTTTATGCTACAACAGCAGAGATGAGTGGTTGCCACAGAGACTCTCTAAAATATTTACAACCTGCTGTTTAAAGAAAAGGTTTGCTGGTCCCTGGTTGAAGGATATACATTAGAGCAGAGGGAAAAGGGGAGGGCAGGAAGATGTGTGCTAAGGCCTGAGGAAAGGGATGCTTCACCAGTGTTTCTCAAACCCAACTTATGGGTAGGCTTCTTACAAAACTTCTCCAGGAGCTCTGGTGCAACTGAAATTATTTTATTCAAAAGTAAAATAAATATTTACAGACAGATTATTTTGGTAAAAATCCCCTTTTTGGCTGGGCATGGTGGTTCACTCCTGTAATCCCAGCACTTTGGGAGACCGAGGATGGTGGATCATTTGAGGTTGGGAGTTCAAGACCAGGCTGGCCAATATGGTGAAACCCTGTCTCTACTAAAAATATAAAAAATAGCTGGGCATGGTGGCAGGCACCTGTAATCTCAGCTACTCGGGAGGCTGAGGCAGGAGAATTGCTTGAACTCGGGAGGTGGAGGTTGCAGTGAGCCAAGATCGAGCCACTGCACTCCAGCCTGGGTGACAGAGCAAGACTACATCTCAAAAAAAAAAAAAATTCCCCCCTTTTTTTAAGCTATTACATTAACTCTAAAATCAAAACAAACTTAAAAATTAAATACAAATAAATTTTTTAATTTATTTGACAGGACTAGTCAATTTCTTAATATCTTTAATTTAATGTGACAAGTGATATCTTTTTGCAACATCAAGATTTCTGTTTCTAGGCCCAATGCTGGTCACTAGGTTTATTTGAGTGTGAGGGCAGGTGTCTACCACCATGATCTGGTTGATGACTTAATTATCTCACAATCTTCTCTAGGTGCAAATGCTTCAGAAACCTTCATTCACATGGAACAGTGGTCAGCAAAATTTTCTGTAAAGGGTCGGATAACAAATACTTTAGGTTTTGTGACTCCTGTGACAACTACTCATCTCTGCCATTGTAACTGGAAAGCATCCACATACAATATATAAATGATGGTCATGGCTGTGTTCCAACAAAACTTTATTGAAAAAAACAAGCAGTGGGCCAGAATTGGCATAAAGGCTGCAGTTCACTGATGATTATTGCAGATCATGAACTTCTCCATCAGGAAAGCAGGCAATAGGCAGGAATTTCTGTGTAGTCATGGACACATTTAACAGGCCAGGAGACAACTGCAGAACAAAGGGAGATCAATCAACCACATACAGTATTTACGAAATTTTGTTCACAAAACTAGGCAACCGACTGGATTTGGTTCACAAACCATAGTTTACTAACCCTGGATACAAAACAATGTCAGATTATGCTTTTACTTAACACTTGTATCCAAACCAGTTCACAACAACAATGATCACATTGGGAATTTTCCTTGGATCAGAATATGGCTGCCACCAACAGCTCCTCAACCATAAGAGGCTCAGAGATGCTCAGAGGTCATAACCACTTAGTTTCTGATGGGACAGCCAGAAGGGCTGGGAGATGATAGGTTTTATGCATTAGCCACCAGGGTCTAATGCACACAAACAGAATCTGTGCACCACTGATGTTGGTCCTTAAACTTGAAAATGCAGTAAACAAAGAGATTTGGAAATAGTCTTTTAAATTTGGTACCTAACTTTTTATCCACACAGCAAGGCACTTGGGATCAGAATTTTGATTCTCTTTACGAAGCCCTTCTATATATAGAATCACATTCTACTTCTCTCTTGTAGCCTAACACACCAGAGAATTAATTTTATTGTTATTATGTTTTAATTTTAGACAAAGAATACATTTTGAAAGAAAGAAGGGACAGGAAATAATATACTTTGAATAAAGAATAGGCTTGTTTAGTAGAGAGTTGCAAGAAAACAAGAAACAACTTTGCCACACATTTTCCCCTTACTCTCCTCTTCCCAGGACAGTAAGTTCAGAAAAAAATGGAGATAAAATCAGATTTTGGTGTGTGTGCTTATACTTTTCATCTGGTGAATGAATGGGTGGCTCTTTACCAAACAGACAAGAAGGCTGAGTTCTCCAGTGGGGCTTGTTTTTCTCGGTATTTTTGGACAAATTGTACTCCGTTACCTATAACCCTAATTATATGTGCTGGCCCCTATGCTAGGTGCTAGTAAACTAGAATGGAAGGTAAGAGCATCTTGCGATGAAACGGATGGCACCAATTGGGCACCACCAAAAAGTGTTTAATAATTGCCTGTTATGTGCCAAGCACTATGCCAAGTGCTCTACGTATGATTTCTCTGGTAATACCAATGAACATCCCGTTTAATAGACATATTATCTTCACCTACTTTACAAGTAAGAAAATTGAGACTCACAGAGGTTAAATAATTTGGCAAAGGACAGACAGCTATTAAGTGGCAGAGTGCGGTTCTGACCCTGCTTGTCCTAGTCTTTGAGCTGCTATTCTGCTACATACATAAGTTGAACACCTAAACAGACAATTCCACACTATCCTATCATGCTATGAGATGGTCAGAACGGCAGTAGAGGCTCTGGGACCATGGAGGTTGTGATGGGGGTGGGTTGATTTTATGCAGAGTATTAGAAAGCAAATGAATTATGGGATATGACTTATGGGTGGGAACCAAGCATAGCCTAGCTTCTGAACCTAGTGGAGTGTTTTGCTGAAGATCTCATTTTAGATTATACTGGACTGTTTTGGAGGAAAAAAGAGAAAACAATCAGCCAAGTTTTCCTTCTAGAGATCCCCATGGCTAACCCCGTCACTCCCTGCAAACCTTTTAAAATGTCGTCTTTACTGTGAGAGCTACCGGACCACCCTTATTTAAATTGCAGCCCTGCCTACCCTCTGTCATCACTTGGAGTTCTTCCCTCTTCCCCTTTTCCTTATTTTCTTACAGAATTGTTTTCACCTTCTAACATACTGTACTGTACTGTATAAGTTACTTATTTGTCATGTTTTTTGCTGATTTTCATTATTCACTACTTGAGTTCACCCCTTTAGAATGTAAAATCAATGAGAGGAGGGATCTGTGTCTGTTTCGTTCACTCACATATCCGAAGTTCCCAAGAAGAGTGCCTTGTATACAGTGGGTCCTCATTCGAGAGTTGTTGAATTAGTGAATGAGGAAATGAATCTTGAGAAACCAACCATGGGCATACTATTGGGCTGAATGATTTTAATGGCCCTTCCCAATCCTACCATTCTGCTCCCACATCTAAGAAAAGCATCTTTCCATTTAAGATGCAAGAGTATTGGAAAGCAAGTTCCCGCCTATCTAGATACCTGACTATCACTGGGATAGTGCTTTTGGACCTGGATTAAGCCTACATGTTCAATAAGCTTACATCTTCAGTCTACTGTGCTCATCTTCATTCCAGTCCTCTGCTCTCCTGACATGAGCAGTTATAGAAGAGAATTTAGTGCATACAGCAAATATTCCCCACATCTCAATGGCAGGCAGAACAAACTCTGTGATTTGAGTTGGAAATATTTTTTTAAAAATTCATGGGAATGTCTTTGAATTTGAATTAACATAATTATAAAATTTACAAGCATCCAGTGTGCTTTTTATAAGGCTCCTATAACAGATGTGTCAAATGTCTAGCTTTGAAAGGACTTCATAATTCAGTTACAATTTCCTCTGGGTTAAATATTGGAGTCTGAGAGTTGGGGGTTGGGGAATGAGAGCCATGCATTTCTTGACATGCCATCTGAATGCAGGATGGATGGAGTCAGTAACAAAGGCTGCGTCCTTTTCTTCTTTTCATTATGTTGAATCATACCCCCTTAATAGGTGAGGAGCACTCCCCATCTTTAAAGGTTGGAACTAACTTCCAAATTCTTTCTTGAGCACATTTTGGCTGCTACCAATCCCTGTATCTGTTTGCACTCCATGGATGGAAGGGATGGAGGGTGCCAACATTTACTTCTGTGTAACCAATGATGATCAAATCTGGAGCTCTGCTTTGACAGTTGATGTCAAAGGACAAATTTAGTGTCATTTATTGTGCATTCATTCCTTTTTTAATGCATATACCCCAGTTTCCAAAGACAGAAAAATCTGAGGTTATTCTTGATTGTTCCTCCAGCTTCACCGCCTTTCCCTGGCTGTCATTTAGTCACCAACTTCCATCACTTGACCCCTAAATATTTTTATAATCCATCCACTTCTCTCCATCCTCACTACTCTTACCCTACTTATGACTACCATATTGTTCTTCTGTTAAGCTCCTAAATCTTAAATGAGGTCTGTAAACAGGGTGACAAATTCATCCAGGGTTCCCCAGGAGTGTTCCAGTTTTAAAATGGAAAGTCCCACATCCCCAAATCTACCACCCCTCAATCCCGGCCAAACCAGAACTTCTGGCCCCACTACCTGTCTGTCTTGTAACTCTCTGCTTCCTTTGTTTGCTCCAGCCTCACTGACTTTCTTCCAGTTGTGTGAACTTGGCCATGTTCTTTCCTACCTCAAGACCTTCATTCTGGCTGGACTTCGGTCTTAATCTGTTTTATGTTGCTATAAAGGAATAGCAGAAGTTGGGTAATTTGTAAAGAAAAAAAGTTTATTTGGATCCTAATTCCAGTGGCTGGGAAGTTCAAGATTGGGCATCTGGAGAGGGCCTGAGGCTGCTGCCAATCTTGGTGGAAGGTGAAAGGGAGCCAGCATGTGCAGAGATTGCATGGTAAGAGAGGAAGCAAGAGGGAGAGAGGGAAGGTGCCAAGGTCTTTTTAACAACCAGCTCTCTCAGGGACTAATAGAGAACTCACCCCCACTCCCACTCCCCAGGACATTAATCTATTCATGAGGGATCCACTCCCATGACCCAGACACTTCCCATTAAGCCCCACCTTCAACACAGGGGATCAAACTTAAACATGAGGTTTGGAGGGAAACATCCAAGCCACAGCAAATTGCTTTTTCAATCACTCTTTGCCTGGCTAACTTCTTCGCCAGATTTTTGGCTTAAATGTCACATCTTTAAAAGAGTCTTTATGATCCAGTGCCCGGGTCCAACTTACTTCTTGACCTTGCTATAACCTCTGATTGTACTCTTTACTTTCCTTTCATATCACTCTCAACTTGTAGTTTTGTTTATTTGTAAAATTATACATTTAAAGTAGGACTTTCTCATTAAAACTCAGCTCCTTGAAGGCAGAGGCCATGTCTTTTATACAGCTGTTTGTCCCTAACACCTAGCACAAGACCTGACAGGCATGAAGCACTCTGTAAATACATCCTTAATAAATTTAATTTCCGTGTATGTTCCTTTTCCCCTTGATTAAACTTGCAAGAGCTTTGTCTATCCTCCCTCTTTTCATTCCTTCCTCCTTCCTTTCCTCTCTCTTGCCTTCCTTCATCCCCTTACTCTTTCTCTCTTTTGAAGAAACAACTCCTGGAATAATTTGTCAACTCTACTATTTTTATCATTTCTAAGCCCCAAATTTCTGCTTTTATCAGTATTATTTCCTTCATCTATATTCATTATTTTTCCTATACTCCTTTTTCTTATTTTTTGAGCTCTTGGGCTTATTTGCCATCACTTTCTTCCTCCTACCTGATTTAGCTATACTGCGCCTGCATTTTCTTAAGGAAGCTGAGCTTTTTTTAATTTTGGGACTCTTTCTGAGCACGTTATTTTCTCTGTGTGATAGACGCTTCCTTCATTAAATTAGCGGATATTTAATGGATACCTTCCCATCTGAACTACTAATTCAGGTCTACTGAACTACTAGTTCTTTAATACCTGGCTCAGCTGTAGCTTGTCTGAAATGCTTTCCTGCTTCTACTCCCCTGTAAGTTAATCTGTTTCTTAGTCCCACAACTATACCTTGAGTAGACATCCGTTATAGTGCATATATGGCACTGGAATATTTATTTGTACTCCACCTTCCCCACTGAACTCTGAGCTCCACAATGACAGTGGCTTACCCTTGTGTCTATTTTTCAGTGGGCTTACATTCTGGAGAAAAGGGAAATAGATAATCAGCATGGCTTTCTTTAAGGTTTCATCTCCCCAAGAAGTAAAAGAGATCTAAAAAAATAAATAGAATAAGTCAATGTGAAAATGGACAAAAAGACGAAGAGATAGAAAAAATGTCAAGTTATGTACCATGTATATTTTCAACTTTATTGAATAATGCTAATGAAAATTTATTGAGACAAGAAGGAAAAAATGGGGAGGCCCATAAAAATATAAATTTGGTGTAAATAAGAGAGGTTTTGAGAAAACTCACACTGGCTGGACTTGGTCCCTACAAAATATAAATTTTGAAGGGTTTGGCAATTGGGACAGAATAAAAACCCTGATCAGAGTGGAATAAATTTGAAGTCCTCAAAGAATGTGTTTTGTAGTCAACCAGGGGAGGATCAAAGACATTAAAGGCATCAAAGGACCCAGTAGATAAAAAAGCAAATAACCTTTGTGCCTTTACTTAGCAGTGCCTGACAGTCTAAGAACTGAAGTGGGTAATGGATGATGCGTCTGGGAACCGGGAAGGCAGAGGTAATGGAATTTCATGAAGGCAAAGGCATCAAGAATGCTTATAAGAATCAGTGATGTGGCTTACCATGGGCTGAGATGAGCGAGGCCAGAAAGAGAGGTGTGAGAATGGAGCTCCTGGTCATGGCAGACAACAGGTTCTGGGGGAAAATAGAAATGAAGAGGTGGAAGGAGAAATTATTATGACAAGTGGGGAGGGTTTCAGAATTCACACTATGTTTAGAGTAGGTCAACATTAGGGTTACATCTTCTCACTGGGCACAATCATTTTTATCCCATTCCATTGATGGAAATGAAATAAAAATTATAAAACATCAAAAGAATAAAAACTGGTTAAAGATTTATCAGTCCCTTTACTGTCTGTCAAATTCAATGCCAACTGCTATTCAGGTATTAGAACCTGCACAGTTCCTGCCGTGCGGCTGAAGGTGAAATTTCCCACTAGTCAGGGCAGCCCTGGGCCCCAGGCATGCTGTGGTTCATTTGATGATGGAGCGGGTTTCAGAGTGATTGTCCTAGCTTGCGGCTGAACCTCTGTCCAAGATCATCAGGGAGAGAAGATATCCCCTTCTGTTATTGGTGCTATCCAAAAACAGTCTTATTCTTCTTTTTTTTTTTTTTTGAGATGGAGTTTCTCACTGTGTCACCCAGGCTGGAGTGCAGTGGCACCATCTTGGCTCATTGCAACCTCTGCCTCCTGGGCTCAAGTGATCCTCCTGCCTCAGCCTCCCAAGCAGCTGGGACTACAGGCGCCCTCCACCACATCTGGCTAATTTTTGTATTTTTTTTTTTTTTTTTTTGAGACAGAGTCTCACTGTGTCTCCCAGGTTGGAGTGCAGTGGCGCGATCTTGGCTCACTGCAAGCTCCGCCTCCCAGGTTCATGCCATTCTCCTGCCTCAGCCTCCCAAGTAGCTGGGACTACAGGCGCCCGCCAACACGCCCGGCTAATTTTTTGTATTTTTAGTAGAAACGGGGTTTCACCGTGTTAGCCAAGATGGTCTCGACCTCCTGACCTCAAGTGATCCACCTGCCTTGGCCTCTGAAAGTGTGGGATTACAGGCTTGAGCCACCACACCCGGCCAGTTTCTTTAATCTTACTTAGAACACCAAGGGATAAGAGTCTCTATACATTTTATAAAAAAGATACAAGGCAAATAAGAATGATTTTTAAATACATGGGGCTTTAAGCTACAAATTTACAGACACATTTTCCCTGTTCTGGTTTCATATTTCTATGCTTTCCGGGAGGCAGCACAGATCTTGGTGTTGCTGTCTTTAAAACAAGAGAAAAGAGTCAAAACAGTTAATCTCACATGCTTTCACATGATAAAGAAAAATCAGCACAAGTTGGCATAGGGGGAGATGTTGGTAGCAGAGCCAAAGTAAAGGATTTTCCCAATGGGTCCTTGTAATGATGCCCTCTTGGAGGAGGAGGGACTCGGAGTAATATACAAAGATCCAAGCTGTGGCCAGGCCTTTAAGTAACTCAAGTGGTTTAGAAGTGATGGCCACATCCCATGAGAAGGCCAAGCAATCAAAGCCAAAAGATGAAGGATGGTGATGGCCCTGAGGATACTGGTAGGAGGCAAGGTAAGAAGGATAACGGTATAGGGGCCAAAGACCAAGGTTTCAAACTTTAGCAACTAAAATGATGATGATGCAACAGAAAATAAAGATGACTAAGTAAAAGCAAACCTACTCTGTGAATAAGGGATTGGGTGCAACTAACCTGCCTGAGTCTATAAACTGATGGCTTCTTTTTTTATTCAAATTTTAATTAATGAATGTACTTTTAGAGATAGTGTCTCACTGTTGCTCAGGCTGGAGTGCAGTGGTGCGATCATAGCTCATTGCAACCTTGAACTCTTGGGTTCAAGTGACCCTTCTGCCTCAGCCTCCCAAGTAGCTGGGACCACAGGTATGTGTCACCACTCCCAGCTAATTTCTATTTTATTTTGTTTATTTTATTTTATTTTATTTTATATTTTATTTTATTTTATTTTATTTTTTTATTTTTAGAAGAGATGGGGTCTTTGTTTGTTGCCCAGGCTGGTTTCTAACTCCCAGCTCCAAGCTATCCTCCCACCTCAGCCTCCCAAAGTGCTGGGATTATAGGTGTGAGTCACTGTGCCCTGCCCGGTGATGGCTTTTTGAACTGAGGTGGGAAAAGTTGGGGAAACAGTAAGGGATTGGTCACTTAAACCACCTTCAAATTGCAATTTAACAGAAGCCCAAGCTCCATCTTCTTCCCTAAGACTGGACACTAGTGCTTCCATTTTCTTAACTGCACATTCAGAAAATTAGTTCCTAAGGCAGCCGTCATGGTGGTTGACATAGACGGACTATAGTGATCACTTGACAGGTGCAAGAGCTTCAGTATCAGGTACTCTCTATCCGTGCTTGCCATTGCTTCCTTTCACCTCTGCACTTCCGGGAGCAACATTAACAGCTGGAAAAATGAGAAATGCCTGTACGTGAGTTACTGCAACCACAACAAGTCAGTGCCGACTGGTAAGTTTGCTGGTTCACCATCTACCAACTTTTGCATTCTAACTTCATGCTATGTGTGAGTTGAGTTCATGCCTTGACAAAATTTCACAATCGTTCATCTCAGAGTCACTTTCAAATAATCTAAATGGTAAGTACTGAATGTGCAAGCGCCAAGGGACTGGTGTTTAAATATATTTGCATATGAACTGATTTCTAAACCATCCTCTGGATCTCATGCCATTAGTTAATATCTCTATAGGCTCTTCAAACATAAGTTAATTCTGTTTTATTTCTTTGTGCTATTATTGTGGTCCCCTAAGGGGTTATATTTGGGAAAAGATACTGAATCATGGCTTTCAACTTTGAACTATTTGGAAACTAAACGTCCCCAAAAGTCCCACCCTTAACCAAATTAGTTTCACTTCAGGGAATGAATAGATCTGAGATTGACTTGTTAGTTCTTGAAGATTAACACAGAGTAATATTTATATTGAATTTTTGATTAAATGATTTTATTAAAGCCTCTAAAAAATAACCCTTTTCATTGGTTCAGACAAAAGATGGCTTTGCTTCAGAAATGCCAGCACAGCCTCCCAGACAGAATGCCTGTGCGGTGTCTTTTTTCCTCTCCCACTTTCACTTCCTAAAAGGGAGAAGCTCCTCAAGGGTCTCAGACACGGCGCTACTGTGTGGCAAGGGGGCACCGCTCACACAGCAGTCTGACCACGTGAAGCTGCTTCACAGTCAGAAGTGCAGGGAACAGGGAGAAAAGTTGTTCTTAGTTATGTGAATACATATAGAAAAACTCTTAAAGAAAGCTTTGCTAGTGTTGTAGGTCAGTTTCCAGGGCCTGAGATGAAGATTGTTGTGAAAAGAAGAAATGTTCTTTGCTCCAATGTTTTATTGGAGAAATGCTCTCTGGAGAGAGGACGTGAGGCAAATGGGAGAAGAAAACTAAGCAAGACTGTGGTCTCAGCTGGAGGCTCACTTCAGCCTGATACCTCAGGAAGCTCTGGCCCACCTTGAGACCAGGCACTGGCCTTTTGTACCCCAGATAGTCACTGGACACTGGCCCCCCTGTGGTGGGGAGTAACCAGGAAAAGCAGTGTCACCTTAGCAACCAATACTCAAAGCAACTGAAGAACGAGTTCACCACCGGTTAAGGGACCTGGGCAGGGCACTAACAGCATCCACTATACTTGGGGAGGGAAGAAAGAAGGTTAGAAAAGAAAGGAAGGACTCTCTGTGAGCGAATAGTTTATAAGCTGAGACTGGGTGGTGAGTGAGAATCAGGGTAAGAGGCTTAGAGGAGAAGCAGGGAGAGTGGTGTCCCAGGAAAAGAGAACTGCAATGCAATGGCCTAGGGCTGGGTGACATCCCTTGCTCTTTGTTCTGGGTGTTCTGGCCTCCTGATTCTGGGATTGAAGGAATGGGTGAAGTGGTACTGCCATAAAGAAGTAGCAATGCGGTAGAGTTTTGTACTTTTGGGGTTCTAGAAGGGGTCCAACAGATTTGTGAAAGAAAATATGAGTATGTGCTGGGCTCTGAAGACTGCTAGTATCACTTTTCAAGTACTTTACCCTCTGTATAAAAGTATATTTAAACAGGGTGCTGTGGCTCATGCCTGTAATCTCAGTGCTTTGTGGGGCCAAGGTGGGTGGATCACCTGAGGTCAGGAGTTCGAGACCAGCCTGGCCAATGTGGCAAACGAAACCTCATCTCTACTAAAAGTACAAAATTGGCTGGGCATGGTGGCAGGTGCCTGTGATCCCAGCTACTCAGGAGGCTGAGGCAGGATAATTGCTTGAACCCAGGAGGCGGATGTTGTAGTGAGCCAAGATAGCACCACTGTACTCCAGCCTGGGCAACAGAGCAAGACTCTGTCTCAAAAGAAAAAAAAAAAAGTGTATTTATCTGCTTTAGAGGGATGAGTGAAGTTTCCTATGCCTGGAAAGTTTACAAATGCCTACCAAGCTCAAGCCCTTGGTCTAGAAGGGTGAAGGATCTTCTGTGGTCTGTGGGGTAACATGGTCCATCCCTCCCAGGTAGGACATCCTATGTGCCATCCCCTACTGACTTAAGGCACATAAAATTCAATGAAGATAAAAAGAAAGAAAGATAGAGAGATAGATAGATGACAAGGGAGTTAAAAATACAAATTTTTGCATGAATTCGGAGATATCAAAAGCCAACAAATAATGTGTTAACTATCCCATGAAGATTAAGGTAGGGAGAAGAATTAACCCTATCTCCTCAGTGTCCCAGCATGAGGTATTTTGATAAGCTATACTCAACTCAGCTGGAGCTGAGCAAGGCAGGTGGATGCAAGGGCAATTGGCAGGGAAGAAGGACTTTGGTTGTGATTGAAGATAAAAGGTGCTCAATAAATATGTATTGGATAGTGAATGAATATCCTAATGAGGCCTCATTTCCTACGGCCACTCTAAAGACAAGCTATAAAAGAGAAGAAACAAAGAGAAAAAAAGACAGAATAACAAAAGAAACATAACAGATTAAGAAGAGCATAAAGCCACACATTTTAAAATGAGACAAGAGAATTTCAACTAAAGATGAATTGAGGACAGACATATACCAAGGTCCTTCAAATGTTAAAAAAAAACACAAAACCCTGCATTTTTAAAAGAACCAGTCCACAACAATGCTAGAGAACTAGAGAGGCAAGTACCTGGAGAAGAACATTTCGAAGAAATCTTAGAATACAGAACACAGATGGGATCTGATTAATGAATAAAACAGATCATGGAAAGTTGTAGCCCCAAATTCCAGAAGGAAGAGGAATCCTTCCCAAAGGAGTCCTTTAAAAACTCCAAGCTCCAGTGCTCGAGGCCAGGAGTTTGAGGCCAGCCCGAGCAACATAGTGAGATCCTGTCTCTCTAAAAACTTAAAAAAAAAAAATTAGCTAGGCATGGTGGCACACACCTGTAGCCCTGGCTACTCAGAAGGCTGAAGAGGGAAGATCACTTGAGTCCAGGAGTTTGGGGCTGCAGTGAGCTATGATTGTGCCACTGCAATCCAACCTGGGTGACAGAGTGAGACCTTGTCTCTAAAAAATTAAACAAATAAATAAATAAATAAATAAATAAATAAAACCTTCCAACCTCCTACTCCACAACTATAAAGGACAGGGATATGGAACAAGTATCAAGGTGATTAATAAATTAATTATAGTTTGAGTCCACGTGGTCTGTTTCATCGAATTTGCATCCTACTCTCTCTCCTTGTATGTAATACTCCAGCTCCATGGGCCTGCTTTATGTCCCTTTATGTAATATGTTCCTACCTCAATGCCTTTGCACTTACTATTTCCTCTGTCTGCAACAATCTATCCATAGACCCTGACAAGGTTGGCTCTTCCTTGTCATTCAGATCTTAGTTCAAACCTCACCTATGCAGCAAAAACAACTTCTCTGACCACAATATCTAAATTAGATCCCAACCCTAGCCTGTCACTCTATCACATTACTCTGATTCCTTTCCTTCCCAGCACATATTAGTCTCTGAGATTGTCTTATTTGTTTATTTCTTTATTATTATCTGTGGGCAAGGATCTTATCTACCTGGTTTATCAGAGTATCCACAGCATCTGGAACATTAATACAATGTGGTGCTTGTATCAGTTAGCTTTTGCTGTGTAACAAATGACCCCAAAAGTTAATGGCCTCAAACAACAACACTTTATTTAGTCTATGATTCGGGTCAGCTAGGCAGTTCTTATCTGCATGAGCTCAGCTAATCTCTGTGGAGCTCTTTCAAGCATCCTTAGTCTGCTTTTAGGTTGGCTGGTGGTTGGATAATCCAGGAAGTCTTTTCCATGTGTCTAGTGTCTAGTTGGCTGTTGATCAGGGCAACAAAGCCATCTGGACCATATGCCCTTTGTTATCCAGCAGGCTTGCTTGGGCTTCTTCACAGAGTTGTAGGGCTCCAAGAGCATCAAGAGGAAGTAAGTAATCACAATGTGCAAGTGATTTTCATATGTCTGTTTCAAGTCACTTTTCTATAGTCCTGTTGAACAAAGCAGGTCACATGGCCACACCCAAGTTCAAAGGTATGAAGAAATAGACCCCACCTCTTGCTAAGAGGAGCTCTAAAGTCACATTGCAAACAGAGGTAGATACAGAGATAAGCACAATTTATAGCCATTTTTGCATTCTTATCATAGTACTCAATAAATATATGCCGAAGATATTTGACTTAAAGAATTGAGTCTTGGAAGGTGGGGTTAGTTGGGCCCCTTCTACCTTCCTCCCTGAATATATACAGCAGAGAACAGAAGTTTTTGGTCCCACATAAGAATCCAAGCTGTGCACTCCGAAGAAAAAATAATTCTAGCTACACCGAGATGCCCCCTCATTTGAGTGTAAAACCATGAATGAGAAGCAAAGCAGAGTTTGAGGAAACTCTGAAACACACAACAGGCAAATCATAAAAAAAGAAAGGCAAGACAGGTTTGCTCAAAAAGGAATATATCAAAGTATCTCACTGCTAAGAATAAAGTCTTCCTTTTTTTTGAGTCATTGTCTACAGCCTGCCTACCCTTTATCCACATCTCTTAAATGAAGTTTTTCAGTTATCACACCCTACCCACTAGCAGAGGCATCCCAAGGAGAAGTGTCTTGGTGAACAGAGCTACACAAATGCAAATGAAAACCTCCTTACTTCACAGCCTAGATCTTTATTCATAAACATGAACCAACAACAGAGTCAACAAATATGTAAGGAAAAGAAATTGCACATGAGAAATGTTAACATTAATAAATAAAATACAGGCGACTGCTGTGAAAACAGGCAAACCGAAGAGCAAGAACGAGAGTCCCTGGTAATTAAAAATATGTGTGGCACTACAGAGAAAATTCTGCGGGCAGACTGGGTAAGAAAATGGATGTAGTTAATGATCACATCAGTGATCTGATGATAAAATTCAATGGAATCATGCAGCCCTGAGCAAAAGGCAAAATAATAAGAAGTCTGAGAGAAATATTAAGCAGCATAGGTGTCTGCTGTTTCTTTTATTGGGGTTCTAGAGGCAGACAAAATAGTCAATAAAGGGAGGAAAAATTCAATGATCTACTATAACATAACTTCCCTGAGACAAAGTCATAAGTATTCAGTTTGAAAAGAATTTCAAAGAGAATCCGTATACATTAAAAAAAATCCATATCTAGAAAAACTTCTGGACTTTAAGGAGAAAGAAGAAATACTAAAAGCTTCCAGACATACAAAATAAAGTTCACTTGCAGTGACAGGGGAGTCAAACTAAATTCTCATTAGTGATCTTGGATGCCAGAAGAAAGTGAAATATACCCTTAAATTTTTGAGGGTATATGATTTTAAACCTAGTATTCAATACTTAGTCAAACTCTAAAAGAGCAGTTTAAAGACATGTACAGAAATTTAGGATTCAATCAAGGACCTCACAAAAAAAAAATACTCAAGGAGATGCTCCAGCAAAACAAACAAACAAAAATGTAAGAAATTAATAGCTGAATATCATACAGAAGAAGCAAAGAAAATTAAAAAGACTTTAAAAGAGGCTATATTTGAACCCTGGGATTTGAGAAATTCTCTCTTAAGCAGAAGGATTTTAATGACACTAAATATCTTCTTAATGGATCTATTCTCGTTACTTGATAGTTAATGAATAATGTTTATATAATTGCAACCTGAAAATTAGTGTTTTTTCATTTATTTTCAATTTTTATTATTAATGCATAGACAAAGTACAGAACACTTAATTAGATATATAGAAAATTGTATAAGAGTTATAAACTTGTCAACATAAAAATAATAAAACTAATAAAACCTTGGGCTGGAGAGGAAGATGGTGGTAATGCAAAGAAGCTAAATTTCTTATCTATCATAAGCAGGAAGTCAAAGGATGGTATCTAAAGTTAGTAAATTAAAAAAAAAGAAATATAAGCATATAATTTAAAATTATAATGGTAACCACTAAGATAATTAAACAACAGAAACTCTTCAATTAGCTGTTTCTACGAAATAGGTCTGGAAAGGTTGAAGATTGGTTAGCAGGATTTTCACTTTTCATTTCAGACTTCTTTATAAGTGGAATGATCCTTGGGGGTGGGTAGGGTAGGGTACAGGATCTCTCTTGCTGCTCAGGCTGGAGTGCAGTGGCATGATCATAACTCATTGCAGCCTCAGATTCCTGGGCTCAGAAGATCCTCCTGCCTCAGCCTCTTGAATAGCTGTGACTATAGGTATACATCATGAAACCTGGCTTTTTGCAGAGACAGAGTCTTGCTGTGTTGCTCATGTTGGTCTTGAACTCCCAGTCTCAAGTGATCCTCCTGCCTCAGGCTCCCAAAGTGTTGAGATTACAGGTGTGAGCCACTGCTCCTGGCCCAAAATAACTTTGTATTTTATTTGTTTCTATATGCAAGTATTATTTTGATTAAAAATTATTTAAGGCAATAGAATAATTAATTTGTAATAAAATTTACCAGTAATACAATTTAATAAAACTTCAGTGAGAACTGTAATAGTTTCAGAAGAGTTAAGATAACAGAAGGCTAAAATCAAACAAATACAAATTTAAAACAAAACTAAGAAGTGACACAAAAATTATTAAATCAAAAATTTAAAAGCTTGAAAGCTTTTTAAAATATATAAATGACAAAATTTAAGATAAAAGATTGGAAGTTATTATAGTTTTCAAGGAAATATAAATGAAGGATAAGCACATGAGGTAAAAGTTAAATATGTAGGAGTTGATTAGGCTAACAATTAAGACCTACTATGTTAAGGTGAAAAGTATGAATACTAAGCACAAAAACTCTAAAAAAATGTTTTCAGAAAAAAATGTAAAGTTTAGTAGTTAGATGGAAGAAAAAAGACATCTAAAAGTTCATGTTTAAAATACTATTTTTGAATAAATATTTCTGATAGTTATAATTTTTCATCCATTCATTCATTCATTCACCACTTTAAAAAAGACAAAAAGCCTTTATTGGACATACTTACTTGATAATCCCGGTGAGATATGAAGATGAAAAAAAAACCTACTATATGTGTCAAATAGGTCAAATTGAGTAGAAGAGAGAAACACAGGCACAACTAAATAAAACACAATAGAATAAAGTTACAATAAAGCTTTGTACCATGTTCTACGGGGCCACAGAGAATGGTGCAATTAACTTGCCTTGGGCATTGGGAATAATACAAAGTGGAGATGCATTTTCTGTTCCACTTTGAAGAGTAAATGGGAATTTCCCACTGAGCTAGAAGAGCCAGGGCATTTCAGGCAGAGGGAACAAAAGTAGAAGGAAAAATAGGTTTGAAATTACATGGCATGTTTGAAGAAAGATTAATAATTTAGTGTGGTGAGAGTTTGAGATATATGGCAAGAAGTGAATATGAAGTTGGAAAGATAAATTGGTACCAGACTGTAAAGAGTTCACATGGTATCTGAAAGTTTTTACTTTGCACTATATATAGTTGGAAACCTTTGAAAGATTTTATGCACCCTAATGACATAATCAGAACCTACTTAATTCTGAGTTATGATGATAGAAAGCTAGTGCCTTTGGATTGGCCATTCCCCATACTCATATAGATGTAAACATTCAAGAGGACATGAAGAATTTCAATAGCACCAGGAACTAGGAATATTAAACGATCACTTGCTATAAAACAGGAAAAACTTTCATTACTTAACTCTTTAAAGCCTACAGATAAAATGGTAGAACCACTAATGGAAAAAATATCTCAAGAAATTTGACAAGATTTCTTCCATCAGGGTTAAAGAAATTTAAATTTTCTTCAATATGGAAGCTATTTACTAGGGTAGTCAGAGTCATTTAACACCCTTACTAAGCATCAGTTGTGATCTGAAATCTGCAGTTGGAAGAAAATGAGCTGGAAGAGCTGTAGGAGTAGCATATAGTAAAGGTTGTAGATTTTTTATCATGAATGCAGAAATAGCCTATCCAGAAATAAATTCTAAATATTTTAGAAAGACAATCAGGTGGTGGTATCAAGATATCACTTCTTAGAACACCACATTATTATTTTAAGGAATAGTTGGCTTTTTTAAACTAGAAAAATTAATGGTAGTTGGCTAAACTAGAAGGTTTCATAATAATTATCTGTTTTAACCAAAAAGTTGGCTAAAGGCTATGCATATGAAATAATTCTAAGCCTCAGAGCAGGAAGAAGTAATAGACCACTTAGCAACCTGATGGGCATTCCGGCGAACTGAAGAGAAATTATGTATATCGCAAATAGGAAAAGGCTATATATGTCCTATTCCTCACTGAACAGGATGAAATGGAAATAAGAACAACCAGGCAACCCCTTGCTGACCCATATTTCAAGTTGCTGTCTGTAGACTGAGCAGCTGGACCTGTCCTGGCAATCAGGCATGACCATGCAGCCCTGGACTTCAGGCTTGTGTGGCAGACTCCATCTCTGTGTCACATCTATGTCAAGCCTACTTCAGTGGCCCAGGCTCCATAGAGCTCTCAGTGGCAGGCAGCTTTTGGTGTGCCCCAGTGCTATGCTGGCTGTATCTGCACTAGGCTTCTGGCCTGCCCCAGTGCCATACCTGTCACAGTGGGCCCTGGGCTTCTGTTGCATCCCAGGACTCAGCTGCCTCTGGTTTCTGGTGTGACCCAGTGCCATGCCTGCCAAAGGCTTTCCTAGGCAAAGTCATTCTGTGAAGACTGGAATAAGTACCTACTTCTTCAAATGTGCCGACACTGACACGCAACCACAAGCATTAGGAACAGTCATGGAGGCCGGGTGCGGTGGCTCACGCCTGTAATCCCAGCACTTTGGGAGGCCGAGGCGGGTGGATCACGAGGTCAGGAGATCGATACCATCCTGGCTAACACGGTGAAACCCCGTCCCTACTAAAGATACAAAAAATTAGCCGGGTGTGGTGGTGGGTGCCTGTAATCCCAGCTACTCGGGAGGCTGAGGCAGGAGAATGGGTAAACCCGGGAGGCAGAGCTTGCAGTGAGCCGAGATCTGGCCACTGCACTCCAGACTGGGTGACAGAACAAGACTCCGTCTCAAAAAAAAAAAAAAAAAAAAAAAAGAACAGTCATGGAAACATGATGCCACCAAAAAGACAAAATAAGTGCCAGTGACTGGCCCTAAAGAAATAGAATATAAACTACTTGACAAATAATTCAAAAGAACTGTTTTAGGGAAGCACAACAAACTTTAAACAAACATAGATAAACAATTCAACAAAATGATGGAAATACTTGGTGACCAGAACAAAAAAATTATTAGAGAGATTGAAATAATAAAAGAAAAATCAAACAGAAATCCTGGAGCTGAAATACACAATGAATGAAATGAAAAATTCAACAGTGAACATCAATAGCTGAATTAATCATACAGAAGAAAGAATCTGTGAGCTCAGAAACAAGTTATTTGAAAATACAGAGTCAGAAGGGAAAAATAAAAAAAGAATAAAAAGGAATAAAGAAAGCTTACAGGATTTACGGGTGGGCAGCACAAGAGCCAATGTATGAGTCATTGGTGTGCGAGATAGAGTAGAGAAAGATAAAGGGATAGAAAGTTTATTTTAAAAAAACAAGAGCAGAAAACATCCCATACCTGGAGAAAGATATAAATATCCAGGTACAAAAAAATAAAAAAATCTCTAGTCAGATTCAATGCAAATAAGATTACCTGAAGACATATTATAATCAAACTGTCGAAAATAAAAAAACAAAGAGGATCTTGAAAGCAGCAAGAGAAAAGCAACAAAAAAAATATAAGGGAGTTCCAATATGGCTAACGGAAGACTTCTTAGCAGAAAGCTTACAGGCCAAGAGAGAGGGCAATGGTATATTCAAACTGCTGAAGAAAAAAACAAAAACAAAAACAAAAAAACAACTACCAAATACTAAGCAAAACTAACCTGCAGAAATAGAGAGATAAAGACTTTCAAAGACAAACAATAGCTGAGAGTGTTCACTACCGTAAGACTCTTCTTACAAGAAATGATGAAAGGTTTTTGCCAGGAATGGTGCTGCATACCTGTAGCTAGCTACTTGGGGAGGCTGAGGTGAGAGGATCACTTGAGTCCAGGAGTTTGAGGCTGCAGTGAGCAATGATTGTGCCACTGCACTCCAGCCTAGGTGATAGAGCAAGACCCCGTTTCTTAAAAATAACAAAACAAAACAAAAATGCAAAAGGAGTTCTTCAAGCCAAAAGAAAAGCATGCTAATGGGTAACATAAAAACACTTGAAAGTATAAAACTCACTAGTAAAAGTAAGAGGACAACCAAATTCAGAATACTCTAATGGTGTAATGGCGTGTGAGTCACTTATATTTTTAATACGAAGGTTAAAATACCAACTGTTTAAAAAATAAAAACTACAATAATTTCTTAAAAGATATAGAATATAAAAAGATGTAAATTGTGAAATATAAATTCAAACTGTGGGGAGGTGGAGTAAAAGTGTAGAGTTTTTTTTTTTTTGCAATCAAATTTAAGTTGTTATTAGCTTAAAATAACCTGCTATATGTAATTATAAGATGTTTTTTGTAAGGCTCATGGTAGCCACAAAGAAAATCCTATAGTAGATTCACAAAAAATTAAAAGCAAGATATCAAAATATATGATCACAAAAAATCACTTAGCCACAATGGAAGATAGCAAGAGAGGAAAAAAGGAACAAAGGATCAACAAATGAATTAGAAAACAATTTACAAAATGGCTGTAGTAGGTCCTTACCTGTCAAGAATTGCCTGAAATGTAAATGGGTTAAAATCTCTAATCAAAAGACACAGAGTGATTGAATGGACAAAAACAAAAACAACAACAACAACAAAAAACAAGACTATACTGCCAACAAGAGCCTCATTCCACTTGTAAAGATGCATGACTGAAAGTGAAGAGAAAAAGAAATATATTCTTTGCAAATGCAAAACAAAAGAGAGCGGGAGTAGCTATACTTATATCAGATAAAATAGACTTTAAGTCAAACTCTAAAAAGAGAAAAAGAAGGTCATTATAGAATGATAAAGGAGTCAATTCAGCAGGAGGATGCAACAATTGTAAATGCATATGCGCTCAACATTGAAGGACCCAAATACATATCTGAAGAGAGTCTCTCTCTTCAGGCTTAAGATCTTCAACTTTTATTGCATTTTATTCTCTCTCTCTTTACATCTAAGTTCTGAAGAGAGAGAGAGACTAAAATGCAATAATAGTAGGGTACTTCAACACACTCCTCTTTCAGTAATGGACAGATCATCCAGACAGAAAATCAAAATGAAAACATGGAACTTAAACTACAATAAAATCAAATGGACCTAACAGACATATGCAGAACATTTCATCCAACAAATGCAGAATACACATTCTTCTCCACAACACAAGGAAGATTCTCTGGGATAAATCATAGGTCAGAAATAAAGTAAAATAATTTAAGAAGATGAAAATCATATCAAATATTTTTTCTGACCACAATGGTATAAAACTAGAAATCAATAACAGAAAGAACTTTGGAAAATTTACTAATATGTAGAAATTAAACATGTTCGTGAACAACCAATGGGTAAATGAAGAAGCTAACAAATTTCTTGAAACAAATGAAAATGGAAACACAACATACAAAACCTATATGATAAAGCAAAATCTGTTCTCAGAGGGAAATTTATAGCAGTAAACACCTATATCAAAAGACAAGAAAGATCAAAAGTAGGCAGCCTAACATTGCACCTCAAAGAACTAGAAAAACAAGAAAAAGCTAAGTTCAAACTTAGTAGAAGGAAATAATCAAGATCAGAGCAGAAATAAATGAAACAGAGACTAGAAAACTAACAGGCAAGATTACACTAAGAGTTGCTTTTTTTAAAAGACAAATGAAATGAACATTTTTTTAGCTAGATTGAGAAACAAAAGACTCAAATAAAATAAAATCAGATATAAAAAAGGAGACATTATAGCTGATGCAACAGCTGTATTTATATTTATAAAGGGTAGTAAGAGAATACAAGCATAACTCATTTTATTGCCCTATTCTTTACTGTACTGAACAGATGTTGGGTTTTTACAAATTGAAGGCTTGACACCCTTCATAAAACAAGTCTATTGGCCGGGCGCTGTGGCTCACACCTATAATCCCAGCACTTTGGGAGGCTGAGGCAGGTGGATCACGAGGTCAAGAGATCCAGACCATCCTGGGCAACATGGTGAAACCCCATCTCTACTGAAAATACAAAAGTTAGCTGGGCGTGGTAGCGCTCGCCTGTAGTCCCAGCTGCTCGGGAGGCTGAGGCAGGAAAATCGCTTGAACCTGGGAGGCGGAGGTTGCAGTGAGCCAAGATCATGCCATTGCACTCAAGCCTGTGTGACATGGTGAGACTCCGTCTTAAAAAAAAACAAGTCTATCAGTGTCAGCTTTCCAACATCATGTGCCCACGTCATGTCTTTGTGCCACATTTTCATAATTCTCATAATTCAAACTTTTAAATGATTATTGTATCTGTTATGGTAATCTGTGATCAGTAATCTTTGATGTTACTACTGTAATTTTTTGGGGGCACAACAAATTGTGCCTACCTAGAATGGCAAACTTAGTAAATGTGTGTATTCTGAACGCTCCAACAACTGGCCATTTCCCCAACTCTCTCCCTCTCCTTGGGCATTCCTATTCCTTGAGACACTACAGTATTGAAATTAGGCCAGTTAAAAGCCCTACAATGGCGTCTAAGTATTCAAGTGAAAGGAAGAGCTGTAGATTTCTCTAAAAATCTAGAAATTGTAAATCTTAGTGAGGAAGGCATGTCAAAAGCCAAGATAGGCTGAAACGTAGGCCTCTTGCACCAAATAGCCAAGCTGTGTATGTGAAGAAAATGTTTTTGAAGGAAATTAGAAATGTTACTGCAGTGAATACACAAATGATAGGAAAGGGAAACAGCATTATTGCACATATGGAGAAAGTTTTGTTTGTCTGGATAGGAGATCAAACCAAGCCACAACATTCCCTTAAGCCAAAGCTGAATCCAGAGTAAACCTCTAAATCTTTTTCTTTCTATGAAGGCTGAGAGAGTTGAAGAGGCTGCAGAAGAAAAGTTGGAAGGTAGCAGAGGTGGGCTCATGAAGTTTAAGGAAAGAAGTCATCTTCGTAACATTAAAGTGCAGGGTGAAGCAGCAATTGCTGATAATAGAAGCTGAAGCAAGTTATCTGGAAGATCTAGCTAAGATACTGATGAAAGTGGCTATACTAAAGAACAGAATTTCAGTGTAGATGAAACAGCCTTCTATTGGAAGAAGATGCTATCTAGGACTTTCATAGCTAGAGAGGAGAAGTCAATGTCTGGCTTCAAAGCTTCAAAGCACAGGTTGACTCTCTTCTTAGGGGATAATGCAGCTGGTGACTTAAGTTGAACCCAATGTTTATTTACTGTTCTGAAATTCTTAGGACGCTTGAGAATTATGCTAAATTTACTCTACCTGTGCCCTAGAAATGCAAGAAGAAAGCCTGGATGACAGCACATGTACTTACAGCATGGTTTGCTGAGTATTTTAAGCCCACTATTGGGACTCGATGCCCAGAAATGAAGATTCCTCTCAAAATATTACTGCTTATTGGCAATGCACCTGGTCACCCAAGAGGTTCGATGGAGATGTTCAAAGAGATTAATATTGTTTTCATGCCTGCTAACACAACATTCATTCTGCAGTCCATGGTTCAAGGAGTTACTTTGACTTTAAAGCATTATTATTTAAGAAATACATCTTGTAAGGCTATAGCTGTCATAGATAGTGATTCTTCTGTTGGATCTGGGCACAGCAAATTGAAAATCTTCTGGAAAGGATTCCCCATTCTTGATGCCTTTAAGAAAATTCATGATTCATGGGAGGAAGTCAAAATATCAACATGAACGGGAGTTTGGAAGAAGTTGATTCCAGCCCTCATGGATGACTTTGAGGGGTTCAAGGCTTCAGTGGATGAAGAAATTTCAGGCGTGGTGAAAATAGTTAAGAAAACCAGAATTAGAAGGGGAGCCTGGAGATGTGACCGAATTGCTGTAATCTCATGATCAAACTTGAACAGACAAGGAGTTGTTTCTTCTGGATGAACGAAGAACGTGGTTTGTTAAGATGGAATCTACTCCTGGTGAAGATTCTGTGAACACTGTTGAAATGACAACAAAGGATTTAGAATATTATGTAAATTTGTTGATAATAGTGGCAGGGGTTGAGAGGATTGGCTCCAATTTTGCAAGAAGTTCTGCTATGGGTGAAAGGCTATCAAACAGCATCACATGCTACATAGAAATCTTTCATGAAACAGACAGAGTCAGTTGATGCAGCAAACTTCATTGTCTCATTTTAAGAAATTGCTATAGCTACCTCAACCTTCAACAACCATTATCCTGATCTGTCACTAACTATGAATATCAAGGGAAACCCTCCACCAGTAAAAAGGTTACTACTCGCTGAAGGCTCCTATCATCATTAGCATTTTAACAATAAAGTATTTTAAAGTTAATTGCTTTTTTAGTTATAATGCTATTGCTCACTTAATATGCTACAGTATGGTGCAAACATAACTTCTATATGCACTGGGAAAACAAAAAATCTGCAGGACTCACTTTATTGCAATATTTGCTTTGTTGCTGTGGCCTGGAACTGAACTGGCAATATCTCTGAGATTTGCCTGTTTTACAAAAAATTATATAGCCACGAATTGTATAATCAAGAGGAAATGGGTTAATTTCTTGACACATGCAACCTACCAACACTGAATTATGAAGAAATAGAAAATCTCAACCAATCAATAAGGATTAATCAGATCAAATCAGTAATAAATAGATAAATAGTGTCCTATCACAAAGTCCAGGCTTTACTGCTGAATCCTACCAAACTTTTAAAGAACTAATACCAATTCTTCTGAAACCTCTTCAAAAAAATTGAAGAAGAAAGAATACCTCCAAACTCATTTTACAAGGTCAGCATCACCTTGATACTAGCAAACCAGGCCAGGCTGGCCTGGAACTTCTGACGCTAGGTGATTCGCCTGCCTCGGCCTCCCACAGTGCTGGGATTAGAGGCATGAGCCACAGCCCCAGCCTAGCAAACCAAATTTAACAGCACATTAAAAATATCATTCACCATGATCAAGTAGGATTCATCCCAGGGATGCAAGGATGTTTCAACATACATAATCAATAAATGTGATAGATCACATTAACAGAATTAAGGACAAAAACCACATAATCATTTCAATAGATGCAGAAAGAGCATTTGACAAAATTCAGCATCTTTTATGCTAAACATTCTCAAGAAATTAGGTATAGAAGCTTACCTCTCAACACAATAAAGGCCATATATGACAAACCCACAGCTAACATCATACTCAAAGGGGAGATGAAAGTTTTTCCCTTTAAAACCTAGAAAATGGCTGGGTGTGATGGCCCATGCCTATAATCCTAGTGCTTTGGGAGGCTGTGGTGGGAGGTTTACTTGAGGCTGGGAGCTTGAGACCAGCCTGGGCAACATAGTGAGACCCTATCTCCACACACACACACACACACACACACACACACACACACACACACACAAATAAATTAGCTGGGCATAGTAGTGCACACCTATAGTCCCAGCTACTTGGCAGACTGAGGTGGGAGGATCTCTTGAGCCCTGGAGTTGCAGGCTGCAGCGAGCTATAATGATGCCACTTGCATGCCAGCATAGGTAACAGGGTGAGACCTTGCCTCTAAAAGAAAAAAAATTGGAACAAGACAAGAATACCTATTCTTACCACCTCCATCCAATATAGTACTGAAGGTCCCAGTCAGACCAATTTGTCAAGAGGAAGAAATCAAAGCCATCCAAATTGGAAAAGAAAAAGTTAAATTGTACCTGTTTGCAGATGAGATAATTTTATGTATAGAAAACTCTGAAAAATTGAAAAATTGTTATAAACAAATTCACTAAAGTTGCAGGATACAAAATCAACATATAAAAACAAATAACATTTCTGTACACTAATAGCAAACTATCTGAAAAAGAAATCAAGAAAACAATCTCATTTGTAATAGCTACAAGAAAACCTTGGGAATAAATTTAACCAAGGAGGTGAAAGATCTCTACACTGAAAAGTACAAAACATTGATAAAAGAAATGAAAGAAGACAGGAAAAATGGAAAGATATCCTATGTTCATGAATGGCAAGAATTAATACTGTTAAAATGTTCATTCTACCCAAAGTGTTGTATAGATTGAATGTAATCCCTATCAAAATACCAATGACATTTTTCACAGAAATAGGAAATAAAAAACCCTAAAATTGATATGAAACCACCAAAGACTCTAAACAGCCAAAGCAATCTGAGTAAACAAACAAGCAACAACAGAAAAACCAAATCTGGATTCATCACATTACCTGACTTGAAAATATACTGCAAAGTTACAGTAACCAAAGCAGTATAAAAACAGAAGCTGGAAAAAAAAATAGAAATGTACAGCAATGGAACAGAATACAAAGCCAAGAAATGAACCTGTTCATTTATAGCCAATCGATTTTTGTTAAAGACGCTCAGCACACACAATGGGGGGAAGTCTCTTCAATAAAGGGTGTTGGGAAAACTGGATATCCACATGCAGAAAAATAAAATTATCTCACACCATATGCAAAAATTAACTCAAAATGGATTAAAGATTTAATGTAAGAACCAAATTATGAAATTACTCAAAGATGATATGGGGAAAAATTCCATGACATTGGTCTGGGCAATGATTTTTATAGATATGATCCCAAAAGCACAGACTAAGAAAGCAAAAATAGCAAATTTAAAAGCTTCTGCACAGCAATGGAAACAATCAACACAGTGAAGAGACAATCTACAGAACGGGGAAAAATATTTGCAGACTGTACATGGGATACGAGGTTAATATCCAAAGTATATAAGGAGTTCAGACAATTCAACGGCAAGAAAAAAAAAAGCCCAATTAAATAACGGGAACAGAATCCGGCTATAATTTGAGTTTGTCCCCACCAAAACCTTTGTTGAAATTTGATTTCCAACGTGGTGGTATTGGGAGGTGGGACCTAGTGGGAGTTGCTTGGGCTGTGGGGGTAGGTCCCTCATGAATAAGTTGGTGCTATTCTTGTGGTAGTGAGTGAGTTCTTGCTCTGGAAATACTGGATTAGTTCTGGTGGGAATGGACTAGTTCTCCTGAGAGTGGGTTATAAAGCCAGGATGCCCCTTCGGTTTTGCTTCTCCTTTGATCTTCTCTGCCATGTCATGATTCAGCAGAGAAATCCTTGCCAGAAGCCAGGGCCACGCCCTTGAACTTCCCAGCCTGCAGGACCTTAAGCTAAATAAACTTAGGAAATGAGTTTTGGAGAAGCTTGGAGAAATTACTGTTTCCAGGGCTGGGACAGTGAAGGTTCCAGAACTTGGGTCATCTTGTAGTGCTGAAATGTAAGTACTAAAACAACTTACAGAGACTTACCAAAAGGACACAAGCCTGCTTAAAGGGGATGTCACTGGCCAGACCTGGTAAAAATTGAAAATCAAAATAAATAAGGATAATAATGTACTATAACTCATTAAATAAAATAGTAATCAATGAATCTACACTGAGAGTAAATAGATAAGTGGATGGATGAACAGATGGATAGAAAGAAAGATAGAAAGATGGAAAGAAAGATAAAAATATAAATAGACAAATAAAGGGAAAATATTATTCCTTCAGTAAATGACCAATTGATAAATGTGGAGGGAATGATAGAGTTGGAAAATCATCGTTTAAAACTCAGTATATGAAAGACTTCTTCAGATAATAATTGTCAATAGATTCTGTATAAGGAGATGAAAATGTGATTAGGAACAGGATGCATGAGATGAAAGTGTCTCCCTTCAAATAATGTAATAGTTACAAGTGGATGATAGCAATTACACAGAGAAATTGAACAATGCCTTTATCACATGAGCAAAATGAAAATTACCAATGAGGAGACAGAATCACATCATGTGACCCCAGCTGCACTTTCCTGAGAATACGTCATTTTTACAATATTTCATCCAGGAATGTATAACATGAATCTAATCACAAGGAAACATCAGGCCAACCCAAATTGAGGGAGGATCTATACTTGCCACGTTTTACAAAAATGTTTGTTATAAGAAATAAAATGCTAAGAACTGTTTCCAGATTAAAGGAGACTAAAGAGCTATAACAATTAAATGTAATATGTGACTCTGAACTGGATCCTCTATTGGAGGGAAAAAAATGTCTTAGAAGACATTATTAGGACAACTGGCAAAATTAACTTATATTGTGAAGTAGATAAAAGTGATATATCAATGTTAAAATTCCTAACCTTGATAACTGAAACATAACACATGAGAATATCCTTGTTTTGAAAAAACATACAGTAAATACTAGGGGATAAATTGGTATAATATATGCAAACTTCTGAAATCAGAAAGAATTAGAAAAACAGGAGGAGAGAAACGTGAATGATAAAATGAATGTGGCATGGTAAAATGTGAAAAACTGGTAAATCTTGTTAAAAGATGTTTGGGAGTTTTATGCATTAATCTTATAAATGTTCTGACAATTAATTACTTTCTCAAAATTAAAAAGTTAAAAATAACTGTGGGTAAAATTATAAATTGGTACTGATGTCAACTTTTTGATATTATGAAATACATGTACTAGTTGACAGAGCAATTATTCTGCTTTTATATATACATACCCAAACACACAAGTATATATACATGTATACACGTATATATATATATGTATACTCACACACGCACTCCCAAATTGAAAATAACCTATATGTCCATCAGTCGAGGAATTATTTAATATCTTATTATAGATGCAGCCTCTGTAATACTCTGTAGTCATTAAAAGGAGTAGGGTAGATCTATGTGTACTGATAGGAAAAGTCTCCTAAATATTTGGAACAACAAGAATTTAGTAAATAATGTTATTTATTATATAATCTGATTTGCATTTATAACGGAAGAAAAAGGCTAGTGCCTATCAAACTGATAACCATGGTAACTTAGGGCAAGTTTATACTTTGGGATAGATTTGGTTCTGAATGGATGTTTGTAAGCCCCATATGTTAATTAAGTCCAAAGTAACTAAGACAGATTTAAACTTGTGGTCTCCATTGCATTTCTGCCTAACAGGAATGTGAATCAATTCTTTTGAAGCTTGAGAAGCAGGCATATTCTTCGCCTTCTTACACATATATTTTCTAGCAGATTTATTTTCCTCAAATAGATAAATTTTGTCTTCCGTGGAAATCAGTTAAGGTAGATATTTGTCTCTTCCTGCATAATCTTTGCTAGTGACATACATTCATTATTCTCCAGCAGTTTGAAGTCTACCTGTGCTAGTTTGCCATTCACATTGATGGTGTGCAGATTCAGATATGCCCAAAATCCAGGTGGGAATCACCTGTGAGACAGAGAAGTCAGAGGCCACCCTTTTACAAACTACTGATTTTTAAATTCTCTGTATCAATTAACACCAGGTGAGTGGCTGGGCATCTGACTTTGATGTTGATCCTATTGCCATAGATTCAAGGTGGGGTTTTTTTGCCCCTTCACTTAGCTGTTTTTTATTTTTATTTTTTCCCCACTTCTTGATGAATATGGTAGATTTCATAGCCACAATTCTCTTCTGGTCTTACGCAATTCATTCTTACCTCCAAATCATCCATGCTCTTCTATAATTTGCACAGGATACATGTGCCACGTTCCTCATTCTCTCCCCTTTCATTTCTATACATCTCTCATTTGTTTCCTTTTTATTTCTGCTCCCTTTCCTAGTAACTTGGCCAATGTCCTTGCTGCTATTTCACTTCTGTCAATAATACTTGTAAGATATCTGAACACTAACGGTAAGCGTGGCAAATACACTACAAACTGAGCCTCTGCAGAAAGACCAGGGCGAACAGGACCATAGGGTCAGTGGGCAACTTGATGCCCTTTTACTTTGAAGAGTAGCTTTCATTATATCTACGAGAATTTGTAAGCTCAATATTTCTTAATAGAGGAGCTTCCAATTTCATCTGTATTCTTGGATTTATTTTTTGTTTGACTTACTAGTATGTACTCATATTTTATTTTGTAATTAACAAACAGAAAATAAAAAAGAAAGGAAGATAGCTTATAATTGTGTTATTTACTGGCAGGCAGAATTGCATTTCTGCACATTTTTATTCTCTTGTGAAAAATGTTTTTGGTTTCTTGTTTGTTTGTTTTGATCTAATCATGGTTGGAGAGTCCTTTGTGTCCAGAAATACAACTGACTCTTGTCTTTTATGTAAAAGAACATTGTTTAACTGGGGGCCCTGCCAAGTTCTGGCCCCAGTTAGAAGCCCTAACCCTGTGGAAAGATATATTCCAGAAAACTGAGCCAAATCAGAATACCTCAAGGGACTGTAAAAAGGTAAAACAATTGAAGGAGTTTCACATGGTATGCATTAAGAATAAGTGATCATGGCTGGGTGCAGTGGCTCACACTTGTAATCTCAGTACTTTGGGAGGCTGAGGCGGGCGGATCAGTTGAGGTCAGGAGTTCGAGACCAGCCTGGCCAACGTGGTGAAACCCTGTCTCTACTAAAAATACAAATATTGGCCAGGTGTCATGGCACGCATCTGTAATCCCAGCTACTTGGGAGGCTGAGACACAAGAATCACTTGAACCTGAGAGACAGAGCTTGCGGTGAGCCAAGATGGTGCCACTGCACTCCAGCCTGAGCGATAGAGTGAGACTGAAAAAAAAAAAAGTGAATAAGTGATTATATAAATATAGGTTGAAAACACATGCACATATAAAATAAGTTTCTAATAAAGAAGACATATCATGTTAAAATACTGATTTAGAAACAATAAATCTACAATTTCAAAGTGAACACCAAAGATTAGGTGAGGGAAATGTTGCAAGGAGCTGAGAGTAAAAACTGGATAATTTATTTTATGTGGAAGGTGTGATTGGCAATTTTTTTTTTTTTTGAGACAGGTCTCATTCTGTCATCTAGGCTGGAGTGCAGTGGTTTGATCACGGCTCACTGCAGCCTCAACCTCCCCAGGCTCAGGTAATCCTCCCACCTCAGCCTCCTGAGTAGCTGGGACTATAGGTACATACCACCACATCCAGCGAACTTCTATATCTTTTGTAGAGATGAGGTCTTGCTGTGTTGTCCTGGCTGGTCTTGAACTCCTGGACTCAAGCGATCCACCCACCTCAGTCTCCCAAAGTGCTGGGATTACAGGCATAAGCCACTGAGCCTGGCCCGATGAGTAATTTTATGTGTCAACTTGACCGTTTACGAGATGCTCACATATTTGGTACAACATTCTGGCTGTGTCTGAGAGGGTGTTTCTGGGTTGACTGAGTTGGTGGACTGAGATGGAGATTTGATCCAATCTGTTGAAGGCCTGAATAGAACAAAAAGGCTCACCTTCCCCTGAGTAAGGAGGAATTTTCATTTTCCCTGTCTTTAGACTGGAACTAAAAAAATAGCTCTTCTCATGCCCAGGACTTTGAATTTGAACTGGATTTACACCATCAGCCTCCTTGTGAACTGCAGCTCTTGGGGGCTTGTCAGCCTTTATAATCATCTGAGCCACTTCCTCGTAATAAATTACTTTACATATCTCCTATTGGTTCTGTTTTTTTCTGGAGAATCCTGACTAACATAAGAGGAGTTAATGCTCTTTTATTTATGATGTTTAAATTTAATTATTTGAAATTCTTAGTTATGACTCTAGGAGGCAGACTACTTGCTGTTTGTCCAAATCCACATTTTCCTCCCAGTCCTGGGCACACAGCTAAGCTCAGTGGCCCAGCTGTTTGCAGTGAGGTGTGGTGCGGGACTAACTTTCCATTGGCACCTTAATGGAATGGGAGTGAAAACGATGTGCACTTTTTCCAGGCTGGAACTTCTGTCCAGGTGTGTCTTCTGTCTGCATCCTTTTTTTCCTTGTGCAGTTTGGTTTCAGGCAATGATAATGCCCTCGGGGTGCCAGAGCCAACACAGACAAGATTCTGGGGAACTGACACATTCTCTGAAGGACAGCCATCTGCCAAACTGTTACCAGAAAGGGGTCTCCATCCAGACCCCAAGAGAGGGTTCTTGGATCTCCCGCAAGAAAGAATTTGAGGTTAATCTGTAAAGTGAAAGCACATTTATTAGAGAAGTAAAGAAACAAAAGAATAGCTACTCCAACAGGCGGAGGCTGCTGGTTGACCATTTTTGTGGTTATTTCTTGATTATATGCTAAACAAGCTGTGGATTATTCATGAGTTTTCCAGGAAAGGGGTGAGCAATTCCCAGAACTGAGTGTCCCTCCCCTTTTTAGACCATATAGGGTAACTTCCTGACATTGCCATGGTATTTGTAAAGTGTCCTGGCGCTGGTGGGAGTGTCTCTTAGCATGCTAATGCATTATCATTAGCATATAATGAGCAGTGAGGACGACTACAGGTTACTTTCGTTGCTATCTTGGTTTTGGCCAACTTTTTTACTGTAAGCTGTCTTATCAGCCAGGTCTTTATGACCTGTATCTTGTGCCGATCTCCTGTCATCCTGTGACTTAGACTGCCTAACCTCCTGGGAATGAAGCCCAGTAGGTCTCAGCCTCATTTTACCCAGCCCCTATTCCAGACGGAGTTGCTCTGGTTCAAACATCACACTCTGGGGACTGTTGTGGGGTGGGGGGAGGGGGGAGGGATAGCATTGGGAGATATACCTAATGCTAGATGACGAGTTAGTGGGTGCAGCACACCAGCATGGCACATGTATACGTATGTAACTAACCTGCACAATGTGCACATGTACCCTAAAACTTAAAGTATAATAATAAAAAATAAATAAATAAATAAATAAAAAATAAAATATTCACTGTAAAAAAAAAAACTGCCATAGCCACCTTGGCCTATAAAGTGACCACAGATAAATTTTTACTGCATTTGAGCCATTCTTTTTAGAAAATCTGCTTGCTATTTATTTATTTTTTTATCTTTCATTTTTCTGTGGAGATAGGGTCTCACTATGTTACCCAGGCGGGTCTTGAACTCCTGGCCTCAAGTGATTCTCCTGCCTCAGCCTCCCAAAGTGCTGGGATTACAGGTGTGAGCCACCATGCCTGGCCATTTTCTTAACTAACATAGGCATATTTAAACACACAAAAATATGATATTACCTATATTTGTGGTCCTAATACCTAAAATATACAGATGTTACATTTTGCCATATTTGCTTTACATGTTGTGTTGGTTTACTAAAGCTTCCCTAACAAAATCCCATAGACCAAGTGGCTTAAACCACAGAAACATATATTCTCACAATTCTGGAGGCTAGAAGTCTGAGATCAAGGTGTTGGCAGGGCTGGTTTCTTCTGAGGTCCCTCTTTTTGGCTTGTGGATGGTCATCATCCTGATCTTCTACAAGGATATCATTCATATTGGATTAGGACCCACCTATATGACTTCATTTTACCTTAATCACCTCTTTAAAGGCCCTGTCTCCAAATACGGTCACATTCTGAGATACTGGGGTTAAGACTTCAACATGCGAATTTTGGGGAGATATAATTCAGCTCATAAAAACGTCTTTGTTTTTAAGGAGTAAAATATTGCAGTTACACCTCCAACTTCATTTTTCCAGTTCATTATCTTTCATCTTAGGTATGAATGCCCTGAAATTAATATGAAACATTCTGAGAATATATATGTGTATGTATAGAATATTAACAAACCATTATAATTTTATGCATTTTTAAAATGTACATAAATGGCATCATGCTGCACGTATCCTTCTGTGATCACCCCTTATTAATCAATCAGCTTTCTTAGCTATATCCATGTTAAGATATGTAGGCCGGGTGCGGTGGCTCACACCTGTAATCCCAGCACTTTGGGAGGCTGAGGCGGGTGGATCACAAGATCAGGAGATCGAGACCATCCTGGCTAATACAGCGAAACCCCATCTCTACTAAAAAAAAAAAAACAAAAACAAAAAATTAGCCGGGCATGGTGGCGGGTGCCTGTAGTCACAGGCTGCTCGGGAGGCTGAGGCAGGAGAATGGCATGAACCCTGGAGGCAGAGCTTGCAGTGAGCCGAGATTGCGCCACTGCACTCCAGCCTGGGCGACAGAGCGAGACTCCATCTCAAAAAAAAAAAAAGATGTGGAGAACTGGTTTGTTCTCTTTAACTGCAGAATCACATTACAATATATGAATAAACTTCAGCAATCCATTTCCTTACTGATGGAACAATTGTTTCCCGTTATACTATGCAAAGCAACACTCTACATACGTCTTGTGTTTAGAAGTGAGCATTTTTTAGTGAAGACACCAGGAAGTGGTGTTTGGTCGTACAATGACCCATGTTTACTTTGACCTGATACTGTTACAGGTATTTCTTCTCCAGTGCAGTTGTGCCAATTTACATTCCTTTCAGAAATATGTGATATTATTTTCCTCTACATTCTTGCTAAGATTTGAAGCTAAAAGACATTACATTTTGCCACTCTAAAGAGCATGACATGGAATATCACCTGTGTTTTAATTTTCACTTTTCTGATTAATAGCGAGGTTGAATATAATCTCTTATGATTATTTGCCATCCAGATTTTCTCCTTGGTGAACTGCCTATTTATATCCTTTTCATTATTTTAGTGATTTTCAAGTTATTTGTTGGATTTTTTTTTTGTATATATTCTGTTTTGCTTTGGTTTTTTGTTTGTTTGCTTTTTGAGACGGAGTCTTGCTCTGTCCCCCAGGCTGGAGTGCAGTGGCGCTATCTCGGCTCACTGCAACCTCCACCTCCCAGGTTCAAGCGATTCTCCTACCTCAGCCTTGCAAGTAGCTGGGACTATAGGCACCTGCCACCACACCCGGCTAATTGTTGTATTTTTTTTTTTTTTAGTAGAGACGGGGTTTCACCATGTTGGCCAGGCTGGTTTTGAACTCCTGACCTCAAGTGATCCGTCCACCTTGGCCTCCCAAAGTGCTGGGATTACAGGTGTGAGCCACTGAGCCCAGCCCCTTTTGTATATATTCTGAATATTAAGGCATTCTCCCAGGTTATTTTTTCTTTCATCCTTTTAATGGCATCCTTTGATTAAAATAAATTTAAAACATAGGCCAATTCAGTCTTTGTCAGTCTTTTCCTCTATGACATATGCTTTTTGTTTTCTGTTTATGACACTCCTACCTGAATGTTATAGGGATAATATCCTATGTTTTCTTACAAAACCGAAAAAGCTTTTCTTTTCTTTTTTCTTTTCTTTTCTTTTCTTTTCTTTTCTTTTCTTTTCTTTTCTTTTCTTTTCTTTTCTTTTCTTTTCTTTTCTTTTCAGAGAGGGTCTTTTCTGTTGCTCAGGCCGGACTGCAGTGGTGCAATTATGGCTCACTGCAGCCTCGACCTCCTGGGCTGAAGTGATCATCCCATCCCAGCCTAAGTGGCTGGGATTGCAGACCCAAGCCACCATACCCATTTATTTTTTATAGAGACAGGGTACCCCTATGTTGCCCAGGCTGGTCTTGAACCCCTGGGCCTAAACAATTCTCTTGTTTTGGCCTCCCAAAGTGCTGGGATTACAGGTGTGAGCCACTGCACCCGCCCATAAGCTTTTCTTTTCATAGTTATGTCTTTAATCTGTCTAGATTTTCTTTTCTGTCTGGTGGCAGGGGGAAACTGGTTTTCTCTTCTTGCTTATGATTTGCCTAATGCCTTATTTAATAAATAGCTCATTTTTTTTCTCACTTATAATACCTCCAGTACCTGTGAGTCGGACCCTATTTAGAAATAGGGTCATTGTAGATGAAAGCAAGTTAGGATAAGATTGTTAGGTTATGACCTTGCCCACTACGACAGGTGACCTTACAAGAAGACAAAGGCAGGTGCCTGTAATCTCAGCTACTTGGGAGGCTGAGGCAGGAGAATTGCTTGAACCTGGGAGGCAGAGGTTGCAGTGAGCTGAGATCGCGCCACTGCACTCCAGCGTGGGTGACAGAGTGAGACTCAGTCTCAAAAAAAAAAAAAGAAAAAGAAAAATAGAGGCCCACAGGAAAAATGACCTGTGATGACAGAGACAGAAACCGGAGTGACAGAGCTGCAAGCCAAGGAACACCAAGAATTGGCCACCACCAGAAGCTAGGAAGAGGCAAAGAAGGATTTTCCCCAGAGTCACAGAGGCAGCATATCCTACTGACACCTTGATTTCAGACATCTAGCTTCCAGAACTGTATGACAATAAATTTCTGTTGTTAAATAAGTATTAGTTTGCTTGCCATTTATTGTTTATTTCTAAGTACTTATTGGAATTTATTGTAGTTCTGAATAAGTCTTTTACAGTTATATTTTCTTTACAGTTATATTTATTCTTTTACAGTTATATTTTCAAGTTGTATCCTGATTGTATATAGAAATGCAGTTACTCTTTCAATTTTGAATTTTTGTTTTTAATGTTTTTTGGTAGAAATGGGGTCTTGTAATGTTGCCCAGGCTGGTCTTGAACTCTTGGCCTCAAGTGATCCTCCTGCTTCAGCCTCCCAAAGTGCTGGGATTACAGGTGTGAGCCTCTGCACTTGACCTGTATTTTGAATTTTATTCACCAGCTTTGCCAAGCTTTTTTGTTGGTAGATTTTCTTTTGCCAATAAACATATAGTTGGCAAATAATAATCTGTTTATTTCTTCCCAACTCTCATGTCCTTATTATGTTTTCTTATCTTACTGCATTAACTGCAGATGCCAGTATACTGATGAATAGAAGCTACATTGGAAGGCACACTTGCATTGTTCCTTCCATTAAATGGTTTGGTTTTAATATTTCATCACGTTTTATCATAATGTTAACTGTAGTTTTTGGCAAATACTTGTTTTTCTCTTAGGGAAGTTGCCTTCAATTTAAGTTGCTAAGTGTATGTATAATGAGTGAAATGGATGGATGTTGCACATACTAAAAATAATGTCCTTCTTTCTTTACCTGGTTAATCCAATTTTTTCTTTATACTGCATATAGACATACATGTCCCTTCCTCTGTGAAGGGTTCTCTCATGCCTGTACTCTAGGTTAGGTGCTTTAACAATGTGCTTCCTTTACACTGTTGGTGGGACTGTAAACTAGTTAAACTATTGTGGAAGATAGTGTGGCAATTCCTCAAGTATCTAGAACTAGTAATACCATTTGACCCAGCCATCCCATTACTGGGTATATACCCAAAGGATTATAAATCATGCTGCTGTAAAGACACATGCGGCCAGGTGCGGTGGCTCATGCCTGTAATCCCAGCACTTTGGGAGGCCGAGGTGGGTGGATCACGAGGTCAAGAGATCGAGACTACCCTGGCCAACATGGTGAAACCCCATCTCTACTAAAAATACAAAAACTTAGCCGGATGTGGTAGCAGGTGCCTGTAGTCCCAGCTACTCGGGAGGCTGAGGAGGAGAATGGCATGAACCTGGGAGGTGGAGCTTGCAGTGAGCCAAAATCGTGCCACTGCATTCCAGCCTGGGTGACAGAGCGAGACTCCGTCTCAAAAAAAAAAAAAAAAAAAAACGACACATGCACACATATGTTTATTGCAGCACTATTCATAATAGCAAAGACTTGGAACCAATCCAAATGTCCATTGATGATGGACTAGATTAAGAAAATGTGGCACATATACACCATGGAATACTATGCAGCCATAAAAAAGGATGACTTCATGTCCTTTGTAGGGACATGGATGAAGCTGGAAACCATCATTCTGAGCAAACACTGCATGTTCTCACTCATAGGTGGGAATTGAACAATGAGAACACTTGGACACAGGGTGGGGAACACCACACACCGGGGCCTGTTGTGGGGTGGGGGGAGGGGGGAGGGATAGCATTAGGAGAAATACCTAATGTAAATGACGAGTTAATGGGTGCAGCACACCAACATGGCACATGTATACGTACGTAACAAACCTGCACGTTGTGCACATGTACCCTAGAACTTAAAGTATGTATTAAAAAATGTGCTTCCACAGCAGGGCATTCTGTATTCTCTCTCTCTCTCTTGTTTTAGAGATGGCATCTTTCTCTGTCACCCAGGTTGGAATGCAATGGTGTGATCATAGCTCACTGCAGCCTCCAACTCCTGGGCTCAAGTGATCCTTCTGCCTCAAACTCTTGATAAGCTAGGACTACAGAGGTGCACCACTGCACCAGGCTAATTTTTTAAATATTTTGTAGAGATGGTGGTCTTACTATGTTGCTCAGGCTGGTCTGAAACTCCTGGCCTCAAGTGATCTTCTCACCTCCACCTCCCAGAGCACCGGGATTACAGGCGTGAGCCACCATGCCTAACTGTATTTTCTCTCTTTTAGTACTTGTCTCACTTTATTAAACTTTAATGAGGACAGAGACCTTGCTGTCTGTCTCACTACTTTATCGTCAATGTCTAATCCAGGGCCAGGAATATACTAGTCGCTTAAAAATGACAATTGAAAGAATGAATAAATAAGTGAAACAAAAGAAGAGCAAGAGGTTTATAAAACTGAACAAAGCAGCATTAGACGTCAAAACACTAATCCAGTTCCAGGTTTGTGAAGGGTTTATGTCAATGAAATTACAGAAGGTCCAATAAGATAAAATATTTGAATTAATGGAGATTGGCCCCCTATATTTCTAGATGGGAAAATTCCAACATTATGGATTTATTATGACATTGGAGTTTCAAACTGTTGAGAAATAACCAGTGCTAGGAAAAAAAAGAAAGAGTTAGATAGCTTGGTAAAACTATACACAAACATGAATTTCAGATGGTTTAAACATTTGTGTGTAGAAAATAAACAAAAAATGTCCTAGAAGAAAGTATAGATGAATGTTTACACAGTTTGAGGGATGCCTTTTTCCATCAAAGGTAAAATACACAAAAAACATCACTGAGACATTGACTACATAATAATGAAAAACATATGTCATCAGAAACACTAAAACCAGTTAATTGGTAAAGGCAAATTGGTAAGTCAATAATTGGAAGATATCTGTTAGAAAAAAAAACCAGATACCTCTAATAAAAAAAGACTTTTTTGAATCAACGAGCTAGCAACCAAGCAATAGAAAACTTATAAAAATACAATAAACAGGCAAATAAACATAAAACATGAAAGATAAATGTCAGATCAAGCGGCTGTAACAAAATATAATAGATTAAGTGGCTTAAAAAAAGGAAATTTCTTTTCTTTTTTTTTTTTAGACGGAGTCTTGCTCTGTCCCCCAGGCTGGAGTGCAGTGGCACTATCTTGGCTCACTGCAACCTCCGTGTCCTGGGTTAAAGTGATTCTCTGGCCTTAGGCTCCAGAGTAGCTGGGACCTCAGACGCGTGCCACCATGCCCAGCTAATTTTTTGTATTTTTAGTAGAGACTGGGTTTCACCGTGTTAGCCAGGATGTTCTTGATCTCCTGACCTCATGATCCGCCCACGTCGGCCTCCCAAACTGCTAGGATTACGGGCATGAGCCACTGCGCCCAGCCTAGGAAATTTATTTTCTCACAGTTCTGAAAACCGGAAGTCCAAGATCAGGTGTCCAGCATGGTCCAGTTCTGGCACAGGCTCTCTTTTTGTCTTGCAGATGGCAACCTTCTTACTGTGTCTTCACATGGAGAGGGAGAAAGAGAGGGAGTGGAATAGAGATCATTTCTTCTTCTCCAGCTACAGTCCTATCTAATTAGGATTCTATATGTATGACCTCATTTAACCTTAATCACCTCTTAAAGACCCTGTTGTCCGATACAGTCACATTGGAGGTTAGGGCTTCAGCATTTTGAATTTGGAGACAGGGGGAGGGTGGCACAATTCAGTCCATAACAAGAAATAAACAGCCACTAAATATAAACATAAGCTTGGCTCTTCTCTTTATTATTTCCTTACTTCCTGACTCTTGCTCTTTTTTTAACTTCTCGAGTTGAACATGTAGCTCATTTGTTTTAAAATTTTGTTTCGGGGGGATAAGTATATTTGAATCTATAATCTTTCTTATGAGTATTGCTCAATTCTATCCACCAGATTTTGTCCTGTTGTGCTTTCTGCTCTAAGCAATTTCTATTTCCTATGTAAACACAAGGTCTTTTCAATGCAAGGTCTTTTCAGTGCAAGGTCTTATATGTTCATGGCTACTATTATTCTGTTTTAAATCTTTTTACAAGTATACAATGTTGTCCTTTGGGCTTTGTCTGGAGGCTTACCTCCAAATCTTTATAGATACACTTTTATTTGTTTGTTTGTTTGTTTTTTGTAGAGATGGGGTTTCACTATGTTGCCCAGGCTGCTCTTGAACTACTGAGCTCAAGGGATCTTCTTGCCTCGGCCTCTTTAAGTGCTGGGATTGCTGGTGTCAGCCACCATGCCTAGCTTATAGATATACTTTTTAATCAACAGATGAAAGATGAACTGAGGAAATAGAGTTGCTACATACGAGACAAGAATTCTGCTTATATTTCTGGAAAACTTTTCTTTTTTACCTGATGGGCTTTTAATCTTTCATTTATCTACTTTTGTGAAGGGGAATTCTAATATTGGAGGAGTGAAGCCATTGTGGCCAACAGCAAGGAAAATTAATAGCATGTGTGCTTTAATCAGTCAGATAGTCTAGGTTGTGCTGTGGTAATAACCAAGCCGTAAGTCTCAGGAGCTGAAAACAGCACAGATCTATTTCTTGATCATGTACCTGTCATGAGGGGCTGGATCTGTATTATCCTTAATCAACGTGCGGGATTGAGTAGATGGGTGCTGAAATAGTTTGCATGTGTGTCTCTGCCCAAATCTCATGTTGAATTGCAATTCCCAGTGTTGGAGGTGGGGCCTGGTGGGAGGTAAATGGATCTTGGGGGCAGATTTCTCATGAATAGTTTACCACTACCCCCTTGGTAATATTCTAGTGACAGTGAGTGAGTTCTCTGAGGTTTACATCACCTCCTGCCTCGCTCTCTTGCTCCTGCTCTGGCCATGCGATGTGACTGTGGCCCCTTCACCTTCCGCCATGATTGTAACTTTCCTGAGGCCTCCCAGAAGCCAAGCAGATGGCAACATAATGGTTCCTATACAGCCTGCAGAACCATGAGCCAATTAAACCTCTTTTCTTTACAAATTACCCAGTCTCAGGTATTTATTTATAGCAGTAAGAGAAAGGCCTAATACAGAAGCTAAGACCCTGTATTCAACCCTTTTCTTCTGCAATTGCTCAGGAGGGAAAACAGACCCTGGCAAATCTCCTCCTGCCTCTCAAGGCTTCTGCCTGGAAGGGACAAACCTCACTTCCGTTCATATTTCAGTAGCCAGAGCAGCACATAGTCACACCTAACTTTAAGGGGTCAGGGAAGTATATCCCTACCAGATGTCCACAACGAGACTGGACAATATTTGACGAATGTCAGTAATGACCACCACACACTGTACTGTCCTTTCCAAAGCCAATTTTGCTGTTTGTTTGTTGATTTTTAAAAATTCCCTTTAGTTATTTGAGTTACTATGAATCCTTCCAGTGATTTTATTTTATAGAAAATAAGCAAACAAAAAACCCTAAAACTTTACCAATATTCCAGAAGGCATTAGACTTGACATTATAAATGTTACAAACAGAACATCTTAGGACAGTGAACTTTAGCTGATACACTGGGATAGTTTTGAAGAAAGAGTACACACATATTTTTCAAGAATAAAGTTTTAATAGGAAAAGGAAGCAGAGCATGGCATAGGCCAATATTTAGATTTGAATAATTATTGGTAGGCACCCCATGTCGGGCAGGGAGCCAGGGATTTTTGCATATTCTAGCTAATTCAATTTAATTCTTTATAAAAACAATTTGAGGTGAGTCTTATCCATAATTTATACATGCAGAAACTGAGGCTGAGGGAGGTAAAATGACCTTTCCAAAAGCCACTTGGCTAGCAAATGACAGCTTTGCTCAAATGCTATCATCTGATACTACGGAGACAGAAGAGAAGGACGCAGTGTGTATGTTTGGACAGCATGCACTGTTTGGTTTGGCAGGACTGCGAGATACACCAAAGGTAGGGGGAATCTTGAGTACCAAGGTAAAGAGGTTGGAGTTTATTAGTTAGGTAGTGAGATAATGGTTTTTTGAGTCGGGGGGACATTGGTAGAGCTAAAAAAACATTGCCTCAGAAACATTGATCTGCTATTGTTTTCTAGGATGAAGGGAAATGAGGCAGAGTGAGGCCAGGAGACCAGTTAGAGGAATTCTGTGGGTGTTGGCAGGGGAGACAGAAAACTATCTTCCATCGAGTCTTCGGATCCATTGGGAATGCCTGGATGACGTCAGAGTTCGCCCTGTGTAGGTAGCTCCCACTTTTCATTGTAGGTTTCTCAAGGACTTGCTCCTAGAAAAAGCGTGGCTCAAAAGTAGATAAAAAATAGGCAACTGCCTAAGTGTGAAATTTACAAAGTTCCTCTCCAAAAAAGCCCGCCTCCTCCCTATCACTTGTGGGCCTGACATTTTACCAAAGGGGCTCTATTCTTTCAAGAGTTTGTTATTAAAGCGTGACTATTTGAGGATTGGAGGCAAAAGGGATACTGAGAAATGTCCTTACTAGCAGTGTCAAGGCAAGTGACATAAATGTGTGGGGGGGCAACTTGTATGAGCACTGTGAAAACGGCAGCATGTTCACTCTACTTCTCAGCTCTGACTGAGGGGCTCAAAGTTCAGGATCTGCTGATTTTTCAACAGTAACGTCCTCTCCAAGGTGTTTTTTTTTTTTCCTTTTTTGGGAAAGCCCCCAGTTTAAACTATTGCAGCCAGTTTACATTTCTTAATGTCACTGTGCTGGCCACATTCAGAGCTCCATTTGCCACCATCGGTTTTGATACCTTTTTACCAAAACCTTTCGAAATTTGAGAGCCCATCTTTAGTAAAACTGGGCATGGAGCAGATTCGTTTGGATTGCTGAGAGGGGAGATAGAAAAGTTTGGGTGCTAGGCAGGAACTGCAAGGAGGACCTGGGCCATATGCCAGACATCTAGTGCCTGGGCCTTGAAAGGGAGACTGGTCGCTGACAAGGCAATATCTGTTGCAACCCAGGCTTCCTAGATGACCACCTTGGATCATGGCTCGGAGCACAGGGAGGGCTGGGCAGTGCTTGTGTTTCTCTCCGTTCCAGTTGGCCCCTTCCCATTGACATTACAGTAATGCAGTTGTGTGCTGTTTGAAAAAGCATCCCTAGTTACACAGAATGATTTACAGGACACCAGACTCTGCATTTCAGAGGTCTCCAGTGTACCATAAAAAATATATTATAAAAGAATAATCTTTATCTGAACTAAAGCTGCAGTGAAGGAAACTCGTGTCCAGCTGAGAGCAGCAGTGAGCTTTTGTTCACTCAGGGAAAAGTCCGTGTTCTTTATCTTATTTGATTAACATTTTTTTTCTCTTTGGCACTAGGTATCTCGTTAATATTTAGACATTATATACATTTTCTTTCAACTGGTTTTCCTATTACGTGATCAAACAAAACCAGAGATGCCAGCCACAGCAGCCAACAAGGGAAAAGCAGCCCCGTCAGGCACCCAGCTGTGGCTGGGGGGCAAATGGTACTCACTAGAGCCACCCCCAGGAGGCACCTGGCAGAGCTCTGTGCAGAGCCAGCCCCGGTTGCAGAAAGCTGAGTTTGTTGGAGTGCCTCAGTTGATCACTCTGTCTCTTTCTCCCATTTCCCTCACTTCCCTGAGCAAAATGCAACAGGAAGCAAAGTCTAGTTGTGAATCTTCCAAAGCCTTCTGATGTTTACCATGTTCCCCCAGGAGAGGGAGGTGAGGGGTGGAGATCTCTCTGCAAAGAAAATACACTTAAAAAATTTCAGCGAGCCGATGCACAGACACCCAGCAACCCAGCTTGTCTCCGCTTATTAGGTGTTCAGAGCGACAGTGGTCCCACACTATTTCAGTCCAGGAAACCATGAACTCCGTTAGTGGCAATGCCCCCGAAGAGGCGCAGGTGTGTGCACCTGTGATTAAGGGTGTCGAGGAGGGGCAGCCTCATCTCTTGAAGCAGAAAGTGTTGTCACCTGGTGATGGGACAGAGGGAAAAGCTCTGGGGCTGGGAAACCTGGGGGCTTGTGTCAAAGCTCCACCCATCAGGAGCTTCAAGAGAAGATGGGGGGCGGGGGGCGGTGGCTGGAAAGATGGAAGTTGGGATGGGAAAGCGGTTGTAGAAAAGGATTCACTCCTGGACCGAAGGCAGGAGGATATCCCGGGCGAGAGAAGGGAGGGTCGGGGATGGGCTGAGTTGGAGTCCCAGAGGAAAAGCGGAAGCGAGAGCTTCGTCACCCGCTGTCTTCCAGCTCCCGGTGCGCGGCACCGGAGGCAGGCGTTGGGCTTTACCTCTCTAAAAGTACTGGGGCAAAGGAATGGAGAACACGGCGTCCCGAGCTCCCAAGGGAGGGGAGTAAACGAGGTGGGGTGGGGAACACCCCAAGTGCGTGCGTGCTGGGGGCTGGGGGGCACGATCTCCGTTCTCCCGGGTGCCCCAGCCCTAGCGCACGCCTCCGCTCCCCCGCCCCCTTCGCAGGCGCGCGCGAGGCGCACCCCCCTTCCCTCGGCGGCGCCGGGCGCGCGCCCGGCCCCCTCCTCCTCCCCTCCGCGCCTCTCCTCTCTCCCGGCAGAAAGTTAGCAGCGGGGAAGGAACTCCGGGCTGCAACAGCGCGCGGCGGCGGCGGCAGAGGCTGAAGCAGAAGCCGCGGCGGAGCCGGGGAAGCGGGGGCGCTGCAGACGGAGCAGGTGCCGCCGGCGGGTCCGCGCGCCCCCCTCGGTCCCCTTGCCTGAGGCTGAGGGGGGGGCGGTGGTGGGGGGGCCACCCGGACTCGGCGGGCAGCGTGGGGCGGGGGGCCATGCGGCCGGGCTCCCCCCTGGCGCAGCGGGACAGCGGCCAGGGCCGGGGGCGCAGCGGCGTCGCTTCATGCAGCCGGGGCGGCTGGGCAGCGGCGGCGGCGGCGGCGGCGGCGGCGGCGGCGGGGGCGGCGGCTGAAACCATGTCCGGGCAGCGCCGGGGGCTGCCGCCGCCGCCGCCGCCGCCGCGAGCCGGGAGCCGCGATGGCCCGGTGGCCCGCACCTCCTCCGCCTCCGCCTCCGCCTCCACCTCTGGCCGCGCCGCCGCCGCCCGGCGCCTCTGCTAAGGGGCCGCCGGCGCGCAAGCTGCTTTTTATGTGCACCTTGTCCCTGTCTGTCACCTACCTGTGCTACAGCCTCCTGGGCGGCTCGGGCTCCCTGCAATTCCCTCTGGCGCTGCAGGAGTCGCCGGGCGCCGCCGCCGAGCCCCCGCCGAGCCCGCCGCCACCCTCTCTGCTGCCTACCCCCGTGCGCCTCGGCGCCCCCTCGCAGCCGCCCGCGCCGCCGCCGCTGGACAACGCGAGCCACGGGGAGCCGCCCGAGCCCCCAGAGCAGCCAGCCGCCCCCGGGACCGACGGCTGGGGGCTGCCGAGCGGCGGCGGAGGCGCCCAGGACGCCTGGCTCCGGACCCCGCTGGCCCCCAGCGAGATGATCACGGCTCAGAGCGCGCTGCCGGAGAGGGAAGCGCAGGAGTCCAGCACCACCGACGAGGATCTCGCAGGCCGGAGAGCGGCCAACGGGAGCAGCGAGAGGGGCGGCGCCGTCAGCACCCCCGACTATGGGGAGAAGAAGCTGCCACAGGCGCTCATCATCGGGGTCAAGAAAGGAGGGACCCGCGCGCTGCTGGAGGCGATCCGCGTGCACCCGGACGTGCGGGCGGTGGGCGTAGAGCCGCACTTCTTCGACAGGAACTACGAAAAGGGGTTGGAGTGGTACAGGTAGGACCCTGGGCTCCGCGGGCTGGTGGAGACGCGTGGGGGAGACGCGGAGGGGAAGCCGCGGCTTTCCACGCCCTTCGAGCATCCAGGCACCGTCCCGAGAGGCCCAAGCCCCCGCGAGGGCTCTGCAAACCCTGGCGGCGTTGCTCAGGGGGATCGGCTGAGAGGGCTGGACTCCAGCGAAAGGTCACTTTATTTCAGGGCGAGGGGAGGAGGTGTCACCCTGCCCTGCCTCCCGCGCTCCTCATCCAAGGAGGTGCTGTCTGAATCTGCCCAGCTCCAAGCCTGGGAACCCCCAGCCCTCCTGCCTGCTGGGTGTTTCCGAAACCAGGCTCTTGCGGGGTTCTGGGATTCTGGGCAGAGGACTTTGAGGAGTGAGACAGGATGGCTAAATTGACTAAGGGGATTTGAGGTCCCCTGGAATCTCTTAAAATCACCCTCAAACGCATTTGCGTGGCTGGAATTCAACTTTAGTGTGTTAAGGTCAGAGCAAAATGAATAGGGAACAGTTACAAAGATCATGCTGGCGTTTTGGCTTTCTAGTAAAGAAAGGATGCCTCCCACCTCCGTAACTTTCCATCCCCCTTGGCTGAATGAGCACGGAGTTGATTTTGCACCAGAAGCCTCAATGTCTGCATGACAGTTGGTGCCCTGAGAGTTTTTATGCCTCAGACCGTGCCCTGTCTAATCTCCGCCTCCTTCGCAACAGATTGGAGCTTCTGTCTTGTGAGATGTTCATCTCCCTCCTTTCCCACCGTCTGCCGGTGGTGAGAGAAAGGTAGGAGAGAGGACTAGAAAGTTAAGTGCAGGTAAAATAAATTAATAATCCAGCTTTCCTGCCAGCCATAACATTTTAAACGGCACTGGTGCAGATGCCCCAAACGCAAACCTCCTTCGCCTTTGTTGTTTCTCTTTCTCTCTTTCCTCCTGTTTTATATCTTTCTGGGAAACAGATCTGCATGGCTGGCTGCATCTCCATTGCATTTCGGTAATTAATTGCAAATGTCAAACAGAAACACAGCCTTTGTCAGCTGAAGTGATGTTATCATCTTAGCAGAGCCAATAGGTAAAATCAAGATTGTTTCTCTGACAGGTTGCCTGCCCGTTGAGGAGATGTGCTTTCTAGGTTTAAATTACAGCCTGGGAAAGTTTTAGAAATAACTTAACTGAAGAAATACATAATAAATGTGTGCATTATGATTGATTTCTTCCACTTTTAAAAATATGCCTTATGCTTTAAAAGCTTGAGAGAAGTACACTTAGTCATAAACATTCCAGCACATTACAGGGAAGCAGCAAATGTGTCTGTTAACGTCTTGTCTGTTTCAACAGAGAGAACTAATTGCAGTATTTTAGGAGGCTTCAAACAGCCCCTTCCTATCAAAACATAAAACAGCAAATGCCTAATTTAACTGGAAAATCAGTATTTATAACATCAGAAGCCATGGCTTCCAGTTTGTGATTATAATTAAAAAGGTGTTAGGATGATTAATGCAGCAACAGCAAAATAAAGAAGGGGCACGATGTCTGGGAAGGTTTTAGTTGTTTAATTGCTGGTTGTAGGAATGTTCTGGTTTCTTCTGTGGAGTAGCTTTGGCCTTATGAGGGTAATTGCGTTTTTTTTTTTTCCAATTCTAATTTTAGAATTATGAGAATTGTCAAATGCCCCTTCAGGGAGGCAGAAAGATCAAATCTTTCCAAGATCTGAGGTGTTTGGGTTTGTGGCAGCTGGAAACAGAGGGCCGGGGGTGTTTTATTTGGGTGACTTAAAATAAAGTTAATGAAGGATGTGTGGTGGAATGTGTATCAGGAAGTCTTATCACTGGGTCTGGAGAGTTTTCCGAATGAAAGAATAGAAGATGCCAGATTTTCCTAGATTCCTTTATGCTGATGTTAGGAAGAGAAGGTATAGAAACTACCTTGTTTGACGTGGCTCCTGATTATGTTATTCCAGCGCTGTGGTATGCCCAGCCTTCTACTCCCAACCAATGCTTGTGGTATTTGGGACTCAGTGTCATATTTGGTAGCCACTCACAGAACTGTTAAAGTGAAGAGGTGTGGATAGAACAAGATTCCCCTGGTCCTCACTTAAGGGGACCATGTGGTATCTCTGTGTCCTTCATCCCCACCCCAGCATCTAGTCCAGGGGTGCTGATTGAAAGCACTGGACACAAAATTCTCTTAGGAACAAGCTTCCTGCCAATACATGTCTGTCTAACATAGAGGAGATCATTAGCCCCCAGCTCTGCTTTTGGGAAGACCCGTTGGACCCACAGGATCTGAGTGTGCTGGGACTGCTTTGGACCACTCTCCAGCCTTACCACAGACAGCGGTGCTTTGAGGCATTTGTGAAATTTTCATCAGTTCCATCTATCTCTTCAGACTCCTCTCTCACTCCCGTATAGGAAGAGGGGCAGCATTCTCACTGTATTGTAGAAAAGGAAACAGTGGCATTGATTTGGTATCAGATGGCACTGATCAGTGGCATCGATTCCAGTATCAGAAACTCTTTCTCCTGGTTTCCTAGTCCAACTCTTCATCTTTTAAATGATGGTATCTGTACCTAAACAGTATAGTTCCTTCCTATAACAGGTATGCTATCTGGGATCTATTTGACTGATTAGAGATCCACAGGTTAATTAAAGGTTTTAATTTTTCCACTGTTTATTTATTGTTATTTTGTTTAAATGTGCTTCCAGTAGCCTATGAATTCTGCACATGTTTCTGGTTTTTGTGTTTTCAGCAAGAGGGAGAGCCAAGAAGAAATTGGGGCTGCTCTCTGCACAGCTGGCTTGGGGTTTTCTCATATTCAACTCAAGAGCCCTAGCAGGTTCAGTTCCTCAGTGTCACTCCAGTTATCTCTAAATCCGGGTTTTGCTTTCCTCCTATGCTGTTGATCTAATGTGATATAAAAATACATCTGAGATTAGAACGTGTGCATCAGATTTTCAGGGCAAGATAGACTAATGGATTGGGATGCATGTGTTAAAATCTACAGAGAAGCGAGCCTCACTTGGTGGATTGACACAGGCCAGTGATTAATAAATTTGGTGAGATTAAACCCTCCATGCCCTCTTCCCTCTCCCTTTCCAAAAAAAGGCAAAGCCACAGTGCACTTTTCAGAATGAGCTGATTACAAGCTGTCTAGGCAGAGACTTTAAACTCTTCTAAGGGATGGGACCTCGGGCCAGGCCAACTGGCTGCCAATGCAGAACTCATCAAGGTGACAGAGACAACATGAGCTGTTTGCTCTCTCATGGTTTGCAGAGCATACGGTAACCATGACCACTTTACACTGGAAACCATTCAGCCCCAGGGCAATGGGAAGTGATTGTCCATGGTTTGTTTGTTTTTTTTTTTCTTTTGAGATGAAGTCTTGCTCTGTCGCCCAGGCTGGAGTGCAGTGGCGCAATCTCGTCTCACTGCAACCTCCGCCTCCCGGATTCAAGCGATTCTCCTGCCTCAGCCTCCCGAGTACCTGGGAGCTCTTCCATGGTTTTAAGTTGTCTTCAGTGTCAACAGTGAATACACACATTCCATTGGCTAGGGGAAAGTAACTCAGGAAAATGCTCTACAAAGTCACGCTTATGCTACCCAGAGGAAAATGGTCAGTGCTCAGCAGCATATTTTGCATGTGGCAACTGGGGAGAGAATGGAGAAGGATGGAATTTCATTGGTGTTTACCGAATGCCTGCCATTGTGGCAATTGGTGCTACCTACAATTATAGACCTGTTATTTCATTTGAGCATTTTGATGATATGCTGAGATATGTAGCAGCATTTCCACTTTACACGTGGCTCCGAGAGGGTAAATGATTAACTCAGGGTCACTTGGCTGTTCAGTGCCTCTGCTGAGATTTGAACCTGCTGTCTAATTTCAAAGGGCTGATTTCTTCCCTTGTACCACACTGCCACACATAAAGTACTAGGAAGCATATACCCTGTGTTCATTCATTCATTCATTCAATTATTTAAAAAATATCTACCATATGCCGTGCACTGTATTAGGTACTGGGGATAAAATGGTGAATAAGATAGATGAAGCACCTGTTCTCCTGGAACTAACATTTTAGTGGGAGGGTTGTGGAGACAGCAGACAAAGAGCCAAATAATATGTAATACAAATTCTGGTGGTGATAAAGACTACAAAGAAAAATAAAGTAATGGATGGCCCAGAGCTGTTTTGTCTAGTATGGTAGCTACTGTCTGTATGTGGCTATTGAATAGGTAAAATGTCCAAATTGAAATGTGCTGTAAGTGTAAGATACACAGAATACTAAATTACTCAATAATAATTTTAGATTGCTTACATGTTGAAATTATACTCATATCAAGTAAAACGTCTTGCAATTAAGTCCACCTCTTTTTACCTTTTCAATGTGGCTACTAGAAAATTTAAAAGTACACTTGTGACTCACATATTTCTACTGGGCAGCACCTGTGTGGTGTAGTGCTTTGTAAACTTTAGGATCATCTAGGGATCTTGTTAACATGTAGATTTGGATTCAGCCAGTCTGAAGAGGAGCCTGGGAGTCCACATTTCGTCTTTCTTTTCTTTTTTTTTGAGACGGGGTCTCGCTCTGTTGCCAGGCTGGAGTGCAGTGGTGTGATCTCTGCTTCAAGCGATTATCCTGTCTCAGCCTCCTGAGTAGCTGGGACTACAGGTGCGCACCACCACGTCCAGCAAATTTTTGTATCTTTAGTAGAGACGGGGTTTCACCATGTTGGCCAGGATGGTCTCGATCGCTTGACTTTGTGATCTGCCTGCCTCGGCCTCCCAAAGTGCTGGGATTAGAGGCATGAGCCACCGTGCCCGGCCCAGGAGTCCACATTTCTACAAGGTTGCTAGATGCTGCTGCTGCTGCTGCTGTCTGGATCTCACTTTGAGTAGCAAAGTCCTGGAAAGTAATTGGGGAATGTGTGTGTGCATGTTGGTTATTATTATTTGAAAAAATTTTTTTAAAGACAGGGGTCTCACTTTGTTGCCCAGGCTGGTCTCAAACTCCTGGCCTCAAGGAATCCGCCGTTCTCAGCCTCCCAAAGTGCTGGGATACGGGCATGTACCACGAGGCCAGGACAACATATGAGTTATATTAAGTAGAATGATTAGGGAAAACCTCTCTTTGGAGGTGATGTAAATGGAGTAACAGAGTAAGACCCTCCCATGTGAAGATCTGGGTGGAGAGGTCTCCACTTGGAGGGAACAGCCAGTGTCAAAGCCCTGGGGTGGAAACAAGCTTCGTGGCCCTACAGAGTGTCCTTTCTTGATTCTAAAAGCACTGTTTTTGTTGCTGGACAAATCCAGGTTCAAAACGTGGCTTTAAGACTTATGAATTGGATGATCTTGGTTGAATAACTTATTTGACATCGCTTAGCTTCAGTTGTTTATCTGAGGGTAATTGCTTCCTTTTAGATTGTTGGGAGGAATAAATGAAATAATAAAAGTGAATGTATTTTCTAAACAAAATGAGTATCCTAGAGCAGAAATCCAAATAGAGTCTCAGCTACCGAGTCTGTCCATTTCTCAAATCAGTTTAGTCTCGTGTATGCTCTACTTCCTATCACAGCTGTCATAATATTGTCCAAAGAGGCTGTTATTTGGGATGGTTTGGGAAAACCCCAGTAATGATTGGCTTTGCAGTGTGCATCTCCTTACCCTTTTAAACCGAAGGTCACACAACTTCAGGGCTCAGACAGGTCGTATAAATGAGCGAGGTAGACTAGGTGGAGAGAAGCTAAAGTGCCTGCCTGTGCTCTGGCTGAAGGGGAAGCCACTGCTGCAGTCTAGCTACTTTTTTCCCAATGTGCAAGTGTGGCATTGGGGTTATGAGATCTTCCACTGTGTAAGAGAAACTGGAAATCCAGGTTTTGATTTGAAATCTTTTGATTTTTAATATTGGCAACAGATTTAAGTTTCTTAAAAGCCCAGTGGGGGCCAACATTGTGGGACAAACAAAATACATCTGTGGGCTGGATACAGCCAGCTGGCTACCAGTTTGTGACCTCTGGTTTAAACTCATTTCAGAAAACAACGGACATGCCCATACCCTGTGTACCCTGTGCAGTGGCCAGAATCGTGGCTTACATGTGCTATTTTAGTGTAGGGTTTTTTCTTTTTCTTCCTTTACAGATTTTGTAACAGCATGGGGGAAATACCTCCCGGATATATTGCAACATCCACAAAAGCCTGATATAAACAAGAACATTGAGGCAGAAAAAAGAAAATTCGCAAATACATTCCCCTCCGTTCTCAATTAACGTTCTCTTGAAACTGGGGAAATTCTCAATTTTTCACTCGTTAATCAGGAGTGCTTGTATTTGATCTATATCGATAACTTGCACTTATAAAATAGATTACGCTCAGTCGTATTAAGATCTTAGAGTTAGAAAAACTGGATTCCAGGCTTGGCTTTGCCACATACTAGTTTTATTGGACAACAGGTTACTTATATTAATCTCTGTTTCTTAGGTGATGAAGGTATTTTAACTCCATAGGGTCCATTCACCTACGAAAAGACTTTGGTTCCAGAACACATTTCTGTATTAGACTCTTCAGAAAGAGGAAGCTGTGGAATAGAAGCAACATGGTTTGGAGCATGTTTTGTATGTCTGAGCCAGAATCTATTGGACAAATTACTTAATATAGCTAAGCCTCAATTTCTCCATCTGCAGAATGAGCTCAATATTACCCGCTGCCAAAGGATTACGTGAGGATGACACGAAATGGCATTTAAAGTGCCCTATGTAGAGCTTGTGACAGAGTAAATGTCTCTCTCCTCTTCTTTCCTCTCTCTCCCATTTTTCTTTTCTCTCTTACTCTTCTCCTTCATTTTCCTTCAATGCCTTCCTTTATCCTGCCCATCAGTACTGACGGCCCTAAAGAGAAAGCTGTAATGTATTTTTCATTTAAATGTAGTCTTTTATTTCAAGATTAGGTCTGAATGAGGGATTTTAAACCCTGAAGCAGCTCTTAAGTAGCTCTCCAGAGAATAATCAGAACCGGATTCCAGAATTTGGTCTATTGTAACTTGAGCTGAAGGAGGAAAAAAAGTATGATTTCATGAGGTAACTGCAGCCAGAATTCTCCACAAAAGAAATGCGGTAAGGAGGTGGACAGGCTCTGTGGACTTCCATGCTGACATTCTCTTGAGCCTCCAGTAGGAATGGATGCCACTTGCCCCGGGTAAGTTCAGAGACATTTAGGATGCCAGGAGCCTGTTTGCCTTTCGTGCTTCTGCAGAACCGAAGGCATTTGGGAATGCAGGATTGCTCCCCAAGACCCTACGAAACCCTCTATTTTGAGATTTGGCTGCTTTCACCGGTGTTCTCTAGACATCCTAACATGATTTATTTATTTTTATTTTTTATTTTTGAAAATCATACCAGGCATTTTCACTTTTAAATCAAGTCAGGAGAGAGGCCTCGAGACTTTAGATGAATGAAAGATTGCTAGGGTTGTTTGTCAGAAAGTTTTAAGGGTTTTGGTTTTGCATAATGGATGATCTCTCTGGAATGGATTGAACCACCGCCCCGTTCAAGTAATCTCCTGATTTCATTGGTTTTTGCGGTTTAACAAGCTCCTCTGTAACTGTCTTGGGAATTGCGTTCTGAAATTATAATTCACTAAGGGAGCTTTTCAGCCCATCTTGCCATTAATTAAAAGAAGGTGGTTGGCTTTTTTGTTGTTGCTGTTTGTACTCACTACTTAGGACTTACTTGCCTTAGACATTTTTTTTTCAACCTTATTTAAGAATATACAAGGAAACAAAGCAACACGTGAATTAGACAATATTTTTTTCAGTTGCAAATGACAGAAATGGAACTTACACTATTGTAAACAACAAAAGACATTTGATTGCCTTACGTGATTGAGAAGTCTGGGGATAACTTGGTTTCAGGAAAAACTGGATCCAGGGGCTCAAATGATGTCACTAGGCCCCTGTCTCTTTCCATTCTTTGCCGTGTTTGTCTCTACCTGGCTTCATTCTCAGACAGGCTGTCTCACCACAGTTTAGGCAAGATGGTAAGAAGCATTCCTAGACAAACATATTTTATGTTTATTAATCTTTTTGGAAACAGTTTTTCTTAAGAACTTCTGTAGGAAATTCCTAGAGATGCCTTGGGCCCAGGTTGGGTCCTGTGCCCCATTCCTAAAGCAATAATTGTGTGGGATTCTAATCAGGCCTAGGAGATGTAGCTAGCCCTTTGGCTTGGGGTGGTGGTAAGAGTAGAGAAGCAGGGTTCTCTATTCTTTACGGGGAAACTGTTCCATGTAATTTCCCCATTGCAACCACATGAAATAGTTTCCCCATAGAGAAAGAGGGGTTCAAGGGTGCTATTTTTAGAAAAGTGGGGGCCAGTTAAGCCAGATGTACGTTAAGTATATAAAGATCCATCCCCGGCCAGGCATATGATCTCTCTAATCCACTGGAGGGATTAGAGAGACTGGAGGGAGGTGCAGAGGGTGTTTGGGGACTTGTTATTTAGTTATTAATTCTGTGCAGCTGTTATTTAGTTATTCATTCATGTATTTATTCATTAAACATGTATTATCAACCATGTGCTATGTGCTTGGCTGAAACATGAACCAATCATGGCCAGCGATCTGAAAGAACTCACAGAGTGGAGAAATGGACATGTAAATGATCACATTGAAAGGTGTTATCAGTCTTGACAGAATGGGATTTATTCTAAGAATGGAAGGATGGTTCAATCTTGGGGAATGTAATAATGTGATTTATTGTTAATACAGGCAAATGAGAAAAATTTGTGATTTATTTTATGGATGCTGAAAAGATATCTTATAAAAAGAAATATCTATTTCTGATTTTCAGAACAACCTGCTATTAAAATAGGGTCATACCTAAAGCCAGCATCATCTTTAGTGGTTTAACACTAGAAGCATTTCCACTAAATCCAGAACCAGCCTGAAGTGCTCATTACTGTTACTATTATTTAACCATTGTTCAGGACTTATTAGATAATACAATTAGAAAAACAAAAGGAGAAAGGGGGGAGGTAGAATTATTACTATTTGCAAAGTAATTTTAACTTTTCCTTTTTGGAAAACCTAAGATTACCAATCCTCCTATGAATCTATTGGAAACAATAATAGAATTCATTAAGGTGGCTGGTAAGGAAAAAACAATGTATAATTTATAGATTTCCTATATGCCTATGCCACCCATTGTGAAAATATAATGGGAAAAAATACTGTGTGTATAGAACCAACCAGAGAGACGAAATAACTAGGAATAAATTTAGCAAAAATTGCAAGGGACTTGTAAAAACAAAATATTAATACTCTACTAAGGGGCGCTGGAGAGGACAGGAGTAAATGGAGAGACATCCTTCTCTAGGGTGGCATTTCTTTCTTTTCCTTCCTTCCTCCTCCCCTTTCCTGTCTCCCTTTTCTTTCCCATTCTTGTTTGTTTGTTTGTCTAAGTCATTGATGCCTAAATTGAGATCAGATGTGTTTGAGGGTGATCTGAAAATATTGTTTATATAAACTTGACCAAAATGTACTTCATATATGGGATATCCTTCCTTTGCACATTTTATTTGACAGAGGAAAGGGTGGCAAAATAACTGTCACTGTTTAGATTCATAAACTATTATAATCCCTTGCAGAGGGGCTGACTGCCTTACACCCCCAATTCAGGGGTAGAAGAACCATGCCCAAGGAGTGGATTAAGAGTTGAGCTAGCGGCTCAACTCAACTCTTAAGAGTTGAGCACGATGGCTCACAACTGTAATCCCAGCACTTTGGGAGCCTGAGGCAGGTGGATCACAGGGTCAAGAGATTGAGACCATCCTGGCTCACGTGGTGAAACCCCGTCTCTACTAAAAATACAAAAATTAGCCGGGCATGGTGATGCGTGCCTGTAATCCCTGCTACTCAGGAGGCTGAGGCAGGAGAATCGCCTGAACCCAGGATGCAGAGGTTGCATTGAGCCGAGATTGCACCACTGTACTCCAGCCAGCCTGGTGACAGAGCAAGAGTCTGTCTCAAAACAAACAAACAAAAAAAAAGAGTTGAGCTGGTGCACATTAGTCAATGTGGATGCACTCATGTTGCCACATAGCAAAAAGTGAATCAGAGACAAACCATGGTTATTTTAGGACGGGAGGGGGAGATGGAGGTTCGAATCTGATGGAATAACAGTCGCCGTGGGAGTGGCAGCACTGGTGGTAGATGATATTGTATCACGTGTGCCAGGCTTGGCTCCGAGTATTGAATTCCTTTAGGCTTCACTGGCACCTCGTGAGATAGGCACTGATATTACCCACGCCTTACAGGCGAGGGAACTGAGGCACAGTGCTGGTAAGTCACTCGCTCAAACTGTGGAGTTGGGATTCAAACCTAGGTGTATGGCCTCAAGCATACGTTCTTACCTTTATTTGTCTCAGAGTTCATTTCCACTGGAAGTGGTGTCTTCCAGCCTCATGGGAGTAAATAATAAGCTTCAGCATTTCCCTGCTTTTAGTTCCAGTGTGCAGATGGACAGGCTGCTGCAGGAGTCTTGCCCTCACAGTAAACAGTGGAAGTGGTTTTCTTTCTGTTCAGGGACTATGCCAAGCTCATTCCCCCTTTAGGGCCATTTTATTCTCTTTTCCCTCCTCCTGGAATATTCTGTCCCTAGATCCCTAAACTACTGGTATCTCCTTATCTTTCCTTTAGGTGTTGGCTGAAATTTCAGCTCCTCTAAAAGGCCTTTCCTGACTACCTAATTTAAATAACTTCTTCCACTTCTGAGCTTGTTATGCTGTTTTATTTTCTCCAGCACATCTATTGCTCTCCAAAGTTATCCTCATTACTTATCTCCCCCTCACTAGAAGGTAAACTGCATAGGACCAGAAATCGATCTTGTCCATTTTGTTTCAAGCCAGAGCCCAGAACAGTGCCTGGCAGATAGTAGATGCTCAATGCATGGTGATTTATTAATCACCAATGATAAATCAGTGAATTCATGAACAAAAAGAGGACCTTGTATGTACGATACTCCAGGCTTCTGGAAAGAAAGAACCCTCACATTTCTTGGGAAGTGTAGCTAAGAATTGTTCTCAGCTTTTTCACATACTCTTTTTTTGCAAGCCTATTTTGGGTGCAGAAAGAGAAACCCACTCAAATAAGCTGTGTGGGCTAGCTAGTCTCCCCCAAAGGTTCCTATAGCACACAACATTATTTCATTTATTCCTCACAGTGGCCTCATGAAGTAGATGTTTTCTTACAGATAGAGAGATTGAGACTTTGGAAGGGCAAGTGACATTCCTGAGCTCCCATAGCAGGATGTCCTGAGCTGGATGTCTTATTTATTTATTTTTAGAGATGGTGTCTCGCTCTGTTGCCCAGCCTGGAGTACAGTGGCATGATCATAGCTCACAGCAGCTTTGAACTCCTGGGCTCAAGTGATCTCCTGCCTCTAGTAGCTGGACTATATAGGTGCTCCACTGTGCCTGGCTAATTTTTAAAAAAATTGCTTTGGGAGGCCGAGGCAGGTGGATCACCTGAGGTCAGGAGTTCGAGACCAGCCTGGCCAACATGGTGAAACCCCGTCTCTACTAAAAACACAAAAAATTAGCCAAGCGTGGTGACAGGCACCTGTAATCCCAGCTACTGGGGAGGCTGAGGCAGGAGAATCGCTTGAACCCAGAAGGCAGAGGTTGCAGTGAGCTGAGATCATGCCATCACACTCCAGCCTGGGCAACAAGAGCAAAACTCCATCTCAAAAAAAAAAAAAAAAATTGTAGAGAAGACATCTTGCTCTGTTGGTTGCCCAGGCTAGTCTCAAACTCCTGCACTCAAGTAATCCTACAGCTGAGGCTTGCCGAGGTGCTGGGATTACCTGTGAGCCACCGCACCCGGCCCTGGGTGCCTTCCTACTATTCCTGGCCTCTGTTGCTGTAGCACAGTTGTAGGAGATGAGCACGGATTATTACTGATAGATCATTATGCTCCATGAGTAGTTGGATTGTCTTTCTCTGGATGTATTATCAAAATTACCTAATTGCCATATAATAATCAGGCCATGACACGGGGGCCCCCTGTTTGACTTTTGTTACCTCCTAGAGGTGTCCGCACACCATTCCCTCCAGGTTAAAGCTTCTGCAGAGGGTTAGAGATTTGGGAGCCCCTGGAGATGAGGAAATATTTGAGTCAAACTACGTGGGCACCTCTGTCATAGGACAGTTTGATTGCTTGGAGCTCTGTGGTATTTTGAAAAGGAAGCTGGGCTGGCTGCGGTGGCTCACGCCTGTAATCCCAGCACTTTGGGAGGCCGAGGCAGGCAGACCACAAGGTCAGGAGGTCGAGACCACCCTGGCTAACACGGTGAAACCCCATCTCTACTAAAAATACAAAAAATTAGCTAGGCGTGGTGGCACGCACCTGTAGTCCCAGCTACTCAGGAGGTTGAAGTAGGAAAATTGCTTGAACCCAGAGGCGGAGGTTGCAGTGAGCTGAGATCGCACCACTACACTCCAGCCTGGTGATGAAGCCAGTTTCCATCCCAAAAAAAAATAAAAATAAAAATAATTGAATAAAAGAAAGAAAAGGAAGCTGAAGGTGGAATCAGAAATTAAGGATTTGAGTCTGAGTTCTGCACCTTGTGGGACTTGTTTTGTGTGCATAGATTGGTGTGTAGAGCCTTTGTTTTCTCATCTCTAAAATGGGAATAACAACCTCTACTAACTCCACAGTGATTTTGCAAGGGTAGAATAGTGACTGTGTGTTGGGATCGACTTAGTCTACATATGTTAGTTGTTATTAATCCATGCACGTTTTCATGAATTCCCCCAGGTTATTGGTTTCCTGGAATGTTGCAGTCCAGGGAGTACCTGAAATACAGGACAAGCACTCTTATAAAGTTAGATTAAGAGGTTTAATTTACAGAAACTATTTTATAGCATGGATATCAAACGTTCTCAGGGCAGACTGCGTAAAGATCTGGGGAATTCCTGGACAATCTCAGACTGTGTAACTGTTTCACCGGATTCATCATTGTTACGTCATTTTTAAAATACCGAAACAACATAAAAACCTACGGAGCTACGGGTCACACTTGCTTCTTAAAACTGCCCTGCAGTTGTTGAGCTTTGGGAGTGACCAGAAGATTCTGTCATTTGGTTCTCAATTGACCTATCCTCTCTTTTCAGGCTGTGTTTCCCAGGTTGGTGTATTAACTTTCCACCTTCTAGTTGTCTGCCTAACATGCTTTCTTTTTAAATCTTTTTTAATATATATATTTTTTAATTTTACTTTAAGTTCTGGGATACATGTGCAGAACATGTGCCATGGTGGTTTGCTGCACCTATCAACCCGTCATCTAGGTTTTAAGCCCGGCATGCATTAGGTATTTGTCCTAATGCTCTCCGTCCCCTAGCTCCCCACCCCCCGACAGGCCCTGGTGTGTGATGTTCCCCTCCCTGTGTCCATGTGTTCTCACTGTTCGGCTCCCACTTATGAATGAGAACGTGCGGTGGCCTAACCTGCTTTCTAACCCTCTGTGCTAGACAGAATAATGACCTCCCTGAAATGCCTGCATCCTAATCCCTGGAACCTGCAAATATGTTAGATTAGCTGGCAAAGGGGAATTAGGTTGCAGATGGAATGAAGATTATGAACCAACTGACTTTAAATGGGAGATTGTCCTGAATTATTTGGTTGGAGCCAATGTAATTCCAAGGAATTGTATACAGAAGGCTTCTCTTATCCGCAGTTTCACTTTCTGAGGTTTCAGTTACCCATGGTTAACTGTGCTCTGAAAATATTAATGGGAAATTTCAGAAATAAATGTTCATAGGTTTTAAGTTGCTCATCATTCTGAGTAGTGTGGTGACATCTTGCGCTGTCCTGCTCTGTGCCACCCAGGATGTGAATTATCCCTTTGTCCAGCATGTCCACCCTGTAGACTCTACCCATCCTTGAGTCACTCAGCAGCTGTCTTGGTTATCAGATTGACTGTCGTGGTATCTCAGTGCTTATGTGTGAGTAACCTTTACTTTACTTAATGATGGCCCCAGAGTGCAAGAGTAGTGATGCTGGTAATTCAGATATGCCCAAAGAGAACCCATGAAGTGCTTCTTTTAAGTGAAAAGGCAAAACTTTTCAATTTAGAAAGGGTAAGAATAGTAAAATAAAATATTTTGAGAGAGAGACCATAATCACGTAACTTTTATTATAATATATTGTTATAATTCTATCTTATTATGAGTTGTTAATCTCTTACTGTACCTAATTTATAAATTTAACTTTATCATAGCTATGTATGTATAGGAAATAACATAATATCTATAGGGTTTTGTATTATTGATGGTTTTAGGAAGTCACTGGGGGTCTTGGAGCATATCCTCTGTAGATGAGGGGGCACTATTGTAAATGGAAGAGGGAGGCAGAGAGAGAACCAGAAGGTAGTATGAGAAGGACTCAATCACTGTTGCTGGCTTTGGCAATAGAGGAAGAGGCTACAAGCCAATGTGGGCAGCTTCTAGAAACTGGAGAAAAGGCAAGGATCTGACCCCTATTCACTGCTTTAGCCACATTCAGTTGCCTTATTTTCTTTGTTCCTCTGCTTGAGCTTTGCTAGCCTCCTTGCTGTACCTGAGAAGTCAAACATGGCCCTGCCCCAGGGCCTTTGCACTTGCTGCTTCCACCACTTACAATGTTTCTTTGCATTAGATAATTGCATGTCTTATGTCCTCCCTTCATTCGGGTCTCTGCTCAATCATCTTATCCTCAGGGTGGCTTTTTCTTGTACCACCTGGACTCACCTGCTAGTGGTAAGAGCATCACTTATTGGAAAATGCTGGTGAACAGTGTCATCATTGACATATGCCTGTATTCCATAGTTACTCCACACCCACCCAGGTTTCTGGTATCCTAATTTCCTGTTTTTTAATTCCCCTATTCTGGAGAGAGGATCTAGTCATTGATCCGGTACCACAAAATGACCTTAATGTTGCTGGGGTCAAAATTTAAAAGATGTTTATGTAACACTCAGCTATCCCTGCTATTTAAGTATGCTGCCACCAGGTGGTGATTGTGGGACACAGGTTGGGTCCAAAGTCAGGCATTTCCTGAGATACAAAACGAGTGGCTCCTTGCTCCTTCCAATCTGGATTAACCCTGCATATTTTGTTCTTATATCATAAAATAAGAGGCTTTATAAAATATTCACTTTCAGTAAACAATAAGCAAGTATCAAAACAGATGTGTAAAGCCGTGTTTAAAACATACTGGAATACAGTTGTGTATTTGTTTTTTCTCTTCCCCATTCTGAACCAATTTCTTCATTTGTGTTCAGATATAGAAAAAATCTTGGCAGGTGGAATTTTTCTTTCCTTCTTAGCATTCTTATGACTATCTAAATATGGACAAAAATGAAAATGCCATGTTGCCATAAGTATATCTTAAAGCAATTAATATTAAGAAATATTATTATAACACATATGCCATATATTAAATTGCTACATTACCCATTTAGAATTTGAAAATTGCATGTTGATTTCAACCAAGAAACCTCTTGACCTCAATGAGAACCATGGATTTCCTCATTTAGAACAAAACAATGAGTTTCTTCTGTATTTATGGGTTCTCACTAGCCTGTGTATCTGTGTCAAAAGTTCCTTCCTTCTTTTAGTTTACCTTCAACTCTTGGCCTTGGGACTTTTCAATTTTCCTGGGATTCCCTTTTCCCATCCTTCCATTTTTCATCCACTAGGAGGAAGAAATTGCCCCAAATCACAATATGTTAGAACATCTTTAAGGATAATCATTTTCAGTGGTGGTTCAAAACTTCATTTCAGCTCCAGAACTCTATTGGCTAGAATTCCTCTGGTTATAACACAGAAATCCAAGGTAAAATCTGAACCGAGCATAAATCAAAAAGGAATTTAATGGCTCATGTATCTGAGAAGTCCCAGGAATTGGGGATATCTTTTTTTTTTTTTTGGCTTAATTAGTGTTTAAACAATGTCACCAGATCTCTGCTTCTGGATTCTCTGTCGCCGCTCAGATGGTTGACTGAGTTCTCAAAACTTCTCTCCTTGTGGCTGTAAAGTGGGTGCTAGCCTGATTCTCTTTCCCCAAGTATAGGTGGAGAAGCTTGTCATCTTTGTCCTGGAAGTCTTTGCTGAAGACTCGATGTAGCTCATTAGTTCTTAGGGGTCGTGCACACATCCATCAAGCGGTTTCTGTTGCCAGCGGGGTGTGAGGCTTGAGGCACTGCCTCCCTGGAGCCTAGGGAGGAGTTAGTTTCCCTGGAGGCCCCTGGATCTGGTTATCAAAGACAGGAAATGAATGCTGCTGCCAAAACAACAGATGTCTGTTTCTAGACACTCCTCTGTTCAAATGCAATCTTTCCCCGAAGTACAACCGAATAAAACAGACACAGTGAGGTTCCACCGGCTTGCATGGAGATAGAGGACCTAGGTTCTGTTTTGTCTTTCTACCAAGGTGGACACAAACAGAGCAGCTCAAAATCTCCCTGTCTAGGTCTCTGCTTGAAGATTCTGCATCTTTTCTTTAACCGAGAGGGGAAGAATGGAAGGAAGAGAAGAAGAGAGAGAGGGAGGCAATGCAGGAAAAAAAATGTATCCAGTCTCTAAACCTAAGATGTGTTCAATCCTGAAAAAAGTATCTATGGAATCTGCCCCTCAGAAATCACTAATTATTTATTTAGAATATTTTCTATTTTCATCCCTTCCTTAGCAACCCCTAGCAGCTGCCTAGAAAATTTTAAAGGAATTGTGTATCTTACAAGAGAATTCTTCAAATAGCAAGTGAAATAGTTTCATCACATTAAGTCTTCCTGCCCGGATTCGCTTCAAGTGGAGAGGGAGAAATGATTTGGCATTTGATCAGTCTTAATTTAACAACTAGATAGCCTAGAATTTCTAGAAAATCTTTGATTTTATGCCATTCTTTTCATTTAAAGTGAGGCTCACAATATAGAATTAAGTGTGATTTAATTTTTTCTGCTTCTGTAAGACGTTTTAGGAAAATAAATCAGTGTTCTGGAGAAGAAAAATTCCCTTGTCCAATCTAGTGTTTTGACTTAAAAATATATGTATATCTGTCCACCTTGTGTGTTGTTTGGGAGATTCTTATTAGCACACAAGGATATTTTCTTCTTCAGCTTATGTGTGTGTGTGAGAAAATTATATCCTGGAGGATCTTGAAGGTTCTTCAGCAGGAATTCCTGGGGGAACCTGAGGACCTTGGACTTGTTAAGCCCCAGGGTCATTGATTAGGTCCCGGTCAATTTCCTATGGACTTTTGATGGCTTCAGGGCTTTATCCTCCATTTTTACCTCTGCCATCTGACCATCCTTTTTGCCTTAGGGTCCTTCCCCATATCCTGGCTGTGGAGCAGGTTGGAGTCTGGCTCGTTCCTTATTTCCCCCAAGATGGAGAAACTAGGAGTAGAAATAGAAAGACTTCCTATTGCTCATCCAGTCGCTATTAGGCCTATGTACTAGAATGGTTCTTTTTATAAAGAGATTTCTTTTCCTGGTTTCTTGCTACTTATTTTAAGATTCTGAAGACTTCTTCAGAAACTTATTTTATTTCAGAAAAAGGCAAAATTTAAAAGCAGATTGTACAGAAAGTTAAGTTTTGTGATTTCTAATTTCCAGCAGTTGTGCTTTTGCATATTATCCTTTTTTTTTTTTTTTTTTTTTTTTTAATGACAGGATCTTGCTTCGTCACTCAGGCTGGAGTACAGTGGCTCAATCATAGCTCACTGCAGCCTAGAACTCCTGGGCTCAAGTGATCCTCCAGCCTCAGCCTCCTGAGTACCTGGGACTACAGACATGCACCACTATGCCCAACTAATTTTTTATTTTTATTTTTGTGTAGTGATGGGGTCTTGCTTTTTTGCTTAGGCTGGTCTCGAACTCCTGGCCTCAAGCGATCTTCTTGCCTCAGTCTCCCAAAGGGGCTGGGATTACAGGCATGAACCACTGTGTCCAGCTCACATTTTGAGGCTTCTAGGGAAGTAAACCCATCTTCTAATTCCATGAAAGACTTTGGCGATGTCTACTTACTGTCGTTTGGTTTAAAGGTCTCAGCACGTTGGGTAACTTCAGAGAGAGGTACTGATTTTCCGAGCCCTGCTGTGCGTTGGCAGTTTCAGAGACTGCATGACTTAGCTACCCCTTCCCAATGTGGGGCAGCTGAGGTAGGAGAGTTGCCCTGGGCTGTGTATTCTTTAAAAGGAAAGGGAGAAAAAAAAAAATCCCTTCCGCCTGGGCTATTTCAAGGCAGCATGAAGGAGGGAAAGCAGTGCTTCTCTGCTACCTTGCTTAGAAATGCTGCTGACCCTGCTGCTGCCTTGGTGGTGTGGTGGCCCCGTAAAGAGGAGCTGGTGGCAGAGACATCAGGTGTTTGCTCAGTGACACAGTGACATCACGGCCACCTCTTATTTCATGGTGAAGATTTTTTTTTAGCCACCCCTCCCAAAATTGACTACTGCCTTTAGAAAAGTGTTCTCATGAGTAGAACTTAGCTAGAATTTTAGTAGTAACATCACTCTCTTGTTATGAAGCTCTGTGACACAAACACTCCCTGACTTTATAAGGTGCAAAGTACCTGGTCTGGAGTGGAAAAGCTTACGAAGCCTTTCTCCTCGCTGTCTGAGTTTATTTATTGCTTCATTTTTTCCTGTACTATCAGGGCCGATTTTGCCCAGGCTGGTCTTGAACTCCTGGCCTCAAGTGACCTGCTCGCCTCAGCCTCCCAAAGTGCTGGGATTATAGGCATAAGCCACTGTGCCCAGCCTCTTCTATAAATTTTTAATACTTATAAAGTATACATAATTTATTTCAAAAATGTGTATTTTAAAATAATTTGCTTCTTTCACTTGAAAGTATATTATGACCATCTTTTTGTGTCAAAAATATACTCCTGTAACATCATTTAACACTTTTACGTTTATAAAAATGATAGATTTTTGTCAGTCATACCTCAATAAAGCTGGGAAAACAGTAATATAGACAAGATACTATTCTTCCAGGAAAAAAAACCCCAAATTTTGAGCCTGACCACACATGAATTATAGAAATAAATTGCAGGTAAAGAAGGAAACAAAAGGCCAGGCGCGGTGGCTCACCTCTATACTCCCAGCACTTTCAGAAGCTAGGGCAGGCAGATTACTTGAGTCAAGGGGTTTGAGACCAGCTTGGGCAACATAGTGAAACTCCATCTCTACTAAAAATACAAAAATTAGCCTGCGTGGTGGTGCATGCCTTTAGTCCCAGTTACTCGGGAGGCTGAGGTGGGAGGATCCCTTGAGCCCGGGAATTGGTGGCTGCAGTGAGCTGTGATCATGCCACTGCACTCCAGCCTGGGAGACAGAGTGAGACCCTGTATCTATAAAAAAATAAAAAGAATGAAACAAAAGAAGCACCATAAGACAAGAACGTCAACAATGACAACAACAAAAATTGTTAAGAGTATTAGAAGGCAGTACGGATATATCTTAATAATATTGGGATGGCAAAATCCTTTCAAATCAAGATTGTTAAAAAAAAACAAAAACCCAGAAGCCATAAAGGGAAAAGGGAAAGATTGATGGATTTGCACAGAGAAAATGTAAAATTCTTTCATATGAGAAAAGAATCCCCAACAGAGTGTATTCGCTTGATAGGCTGCTGTAACAGAACACAAGAGACTGGGTGACAAACAACAGAAATATATTTTCTCACAATTCTGGAAGCTGGAAGTCTGAGATTAGAGTTGGAAAGTTAGTTTCTTCTGAGGCCTCTCTCCTTGGCTTGCAGACGGCTCTATTCTCCCTGTGTCTTCACATGGTCTTCCCTCTGTTTGTTTCTGTCTTAATCTCTTCTTATAAGGACAGCTATCATATTTCACCCATTTGACCTCATTTAAATGTTTTTTTTAATTTTTATTTATTTATTTATTTTTTGTAAGTTCTGGGATACACATGCAGGTTTGTTACATAGGTATGTATACATGTGCCATGGTAGTTTGCTGCACCTGTCAACCTGTCGTCTAGGTTTTAAGCCCCGGATACCTTAGGTATTTGCTATATGACCTCATTTTAAATTAATCACCTCTTTAAAGATCCTGTCTCCAAGGTCAGGTGTGGTGGCTCACATCTGTAATCCCAGCACTTTGGGGGCTGAGGTGGGAGGATCACTTGAGCCCAGGAGTTTGAGACCAGCCTGGGCAACATAGTGAGACCCTGTCTCTACAAAAAATACGAAAATGAGCTGGGTGTGGTGGTGTGTGCCTGTGGTCCCAGCTACTAGGGAGGCTGAGGTGAGAGGATTGCTTGAGCCTGGGATGTCAAGGCTGCAGTGAGCTGTGATTGCACCACTGCACTCCAGCCTGGGTGACAAGGCAAGACCCTGTCTCAAAAACAAACAAACAAACAAACAAACAAACAAACATCCTGTCTCCTTAGCTCAACACAAAAGGCCTTGGTTCCTTGCATGACCTGGGTTCCAAGGAATGGGCCAGGATCCAGTTGTTCTTCATAGGTATGGCGTAAACATCCAGGTTGGCCATTCCATGGCTCGGAGCACTGAACAAACACTCACCAAAGATCACAGGGTCATTCTCAGGGTATGCTTGAGTTCTTGCTGGCTAGCAAGACATGCCCACCTCAGAGAGAACACAACTCGGTCCATAACACAGAACAAATACTGTGTGAGGAGCCTGGGGGACACATTTGCAAATATGGGTCTAAGGGATCCAATTCCCTTGGCCCTGCCTGTTGCTTGGATGGCCTTGCTACCTCTGTTGTCTCTCTTCCTCCCAAGCTGCTAGGACTCCGTGGCATCCCCACCCCCCAGCCCATCTGTAGTCATATTCTTTCTTTAGACATGTTCCTGTTTCCAGTTAAGTTACCAGCAGGTCCTGGGGCTTAGAGTCTCCTCGGGGAATTTTGCAGATCTCTGTACTAATCCATTACAAGATGCTATTCAGGTTTAACTGTTAGAGGCCAATTGTTAAAGAACCTCCCCGTTCCAAAAAAAAGCACCCTTTATTATGACAGTAACATGAGCTCATTGTAAAAGAAAAAAGACAACTAACAAATACATGAAAATAAAATAAAGACTCTCTCCACGGCTCATCATCCTCCTTCCCGCACTGCCAACCTCATTCGCCAGACGGGAACCACTGCTTAGAGCCGGCTGTGTCTCCTCCCCTTTGTCTGATTAATACAGTAGATTAAGATGTGGTCATTGATAGAGTACGATGACACTGACGAGAAGTTATCCAGAGTGAACACGGCTGCTGATCCCTCTAGTTAACACACCATGCTGACTCACCGCCTCCTAGACTAGTTGGTGTGTTTAATCCTCACAAAGATCCTATGAGATATCCTGTTGTTATCTCATTTTATTAGATGAAGAAATTGTGGTTTAGAGATGATGCAGAACTTGTCCACAGTCGCTGAGCTGGGAAGTACTTAAGCCACCCTGGTTAACTTCAGAAGCTGCATCTGTTTTGTCTCCTTGTTTGTTATATGTTGATGGCTTTGTTTACTTATTTGCCTGTTTTGTTTGCTTTGTTTTCTTGTCATGAGATGGTGAACACTTTTCCCTGACATGGCAGAGAAGTCTAGCTCGTTATTTGGTAGTATCTACATTGTATTTTTCCATGGGGTTGGGTCATGCTTTATTTAACCACTTCTCTCCTGATGGACATCTCTGTAGTTTCCATCCTTTTACAAACAAGGCTGCAGAAAGTATTCTTGTGCTCTGGAAATGTTTGTATAGAAAATGGAAGGAGTATGCACTTTAAAATTCTGGATGCCTTTTGATAAGTGGTCAGAAGACAATCTTATTTCTAAGTTCTTGGGAGAGACCTCCATGTATTCCCCCATGTACTGATAGATATAGATTTAGTAAAACTCAGCGCCGGCCGGGCGCGGTGGCTCACGCCTGTAATCCCAGCACTTTGGGAGGCCGAGGCGGGTGGATCACGAGGTCAGGAGATCGAGACCATCCTGGCTAACAAGGTGAAACCCCGTCTCTACTAAAAATACAAAAAATTAGCCGGGCGCGGTGGCGGGCGCCTGTAGTCCCAGCTACTCGGGAGGCTGAGGCAGGAGAATGGCGTGAACCCGGGAAGCGGAGCTTGCAGTGAGCCGAGATCGCGCCACTGCAGTCCGCAGTCCGGCCTGGGCGACAGAGCGAGACTCCGTCTCAAAAAAAAAAAAAAAAACCAAAAAAAAAAAAAACTCAGCGCCTTTTGTGCCCCAGGCACCTACTGGCACTGGATAAAAGCTTTTAATAATAAGGATGGTGATTCCATATGCAATTACCATGAGATGAAAGAAAATATGTGGTTTGTGTGTGGTTATTGCTCTTGGATGCTATTATTTAGAGTTTAGTTTCTGTTATCAAAATAATACTCAATGCTCCTTTCTCTTCTGCATGAAAGGGAAAAAAAGCAAATACTTCTCTTCTCTCTTTGAACTGCTGCGGAATCATTTTTCTGTAAGACTTGGGGATTCACCGTGAGGCCAAAGATTCCTTTTTTAAACTTTTCCGAAGTGAATTGGAGCGGAGTGACAGGATGGCTTTAGCTCTGAACCAAGATTAAGTTTCTGAAGCAGTGGTTAGTGACAGATGGAGATGCCCTCAGTGCATCAGGTACAACAAAGCCGGAGTCCCTCTGTCCATGATTTGCCCTATAGGGGGATTCTGTGGTCAGAAGACTGCCTTGGGGCTTCCTGAGAAGTCCAGCTTGGCAGCTGTCAGCACCTTGTATATATCCAGAGAGCAATTCCCCCTATAGTCATAGGAGAATGACAATGCCAAGGACCTCTCAAAGCTCCTCTTCCATCGTGGCAGGGAAAGAGGTCAGGGGGATCCTGAGCAGGAGCAGAGCTAGACAGCTTCCCTGTGAAGCATGTCCTGTGGATTAAGAAGGGTCACATCTGGTGTGGCGATGGTAGTGGTTTTTCTTAAAATTCAACAAATACATTTATGTGTCGCTTACTGCAACAAGATGAGTTGCTGTGGATGGTGCTTCTGCAGACTTCTTTTCCCATATAATCTTTTATGGAGATGCTCCTTGACATAAAATCCCCAGTGTTCATAGAAGGATTCTCTTTTCGCTGTCTTGCTGAGATAGAGGTTGTTTCTTGTGTCTCCATTTTTCTTGGGCACCTGACAATCTGGAATAAAGACTACATTTCCCAGTCTGCTTTCTGGCTGATGTGGCTTCATGAGGTTAAGTTTGGACCAATGGGATTTGAGAGTAGCTGCTGTGGCAACTTCTGGGAAACAGCCTTATGAGGAAGCTCCCCTCTTTGCTGTTGGTGAAAGGGAGAACCTGATGGTTGAAGCTTGAACAGTCATTAGGTGCCAGGTAGAGAAAGCCGCATCTTGAAAATGCTGAGGCAACCAGATAAAAAGAGCCCAATGGGAGCCCTTTGGCTAAGACAGGCATACATTTCTTCATTGTTTAAGCCATATCATTTTGGGGTTTCAGTTGCTCTTAGCTAAACTTAATTGTAATGGATACATCTGCCTTCTCTGTTCCAGGCATCGTGCTGAGGGTTTCAGGCAGAGCATCTTATGAAGCCCTCATGAGAAACTTTGCTGTTATCCACATTTTACAGATAAATAAAGAAGGGGAATTAGGTCAGACGCGGTGGCTCACGCCTGTAATCCTAGCACTTTGGGAGGCTGAGACAGGCGGATCACCTGAAGTTGGGAGTTTGAGACCAGCCTGGCCAACATGGTGAAACCCCATCTCTGCTAAAAATACAAAAATTAGCCGGGCATGATGGTGCACACCTATAATTCCAGCTACTCGGGAGGCTGAGGCAGGAGAATCACTTGAACCTGGGAGGTGGAGGTCACAGTGAGCCGAGTTCGGGCCATTGCACTCCAGCCTGGGCAACAAGAGCAAAACTTTGTCTTAAAAAAAAAAGGGAGGCAGGGAGGGAATTACAAGTGACTTGTCCAGAGTGACACACACAAATCAACTTAAAGAAGAGGAACCTTGGCTGACCTTAGATTTGGCTCCAGAATCTGTACTTTTAATCTCCGTGCCTTCCAGAAATTATTCGGACATGAATTCAGGCATTGTGGTTGGTGCTGGAAAGACAAGGGTACGCAGAAGCAATGGATTCTTGTTCTTGTGGCATTTGCCTTCCAGTAGAGAAGAAAGATGTAATCAATTAAAGTAAATAAGGTTAAAATTACAAGCATAATGACTACTCTGAAGGAACAATACCCAGTACTGTAAGATAATATAATAAAGGCTGCAATTTGAGCATATTTAGTGAGAGATCTAACCTATTGGAGGACCAGGGAGATTCCTCTGAATAAGTGGCATTTGAGATGAGATCTGAAGGATGAGTAGAAGGTGAAGGGGTGTGTGTGTGTGTGTGTGTGTGTGTGTGTGTGTGTGTGTGTGTTTGGCAATCCAAGCAGAGGAAATAGCATGTGTAAAAACCTCACAGTGGGAAGGTGCATCGCATGCTGGAAAAACTAAAAGCTCAGAGTGCTGGAGCTCTGGGAGACACGGAGAAGGATGACTTAGGATGAAGCTGGAGAGGAAAGACATGCAAGGACTTGTAGGCCACGTTAAAGAGTTAGGGTTTTGTCCTAGGAAAGATGGAGAACTGTTTAATGGTTTTAGCAGAGGGGTGGCACGTTCAGGCATATTCTTTGAAATGATCATCCTAATTGCTATGTGGGCAATGGATAGGAGGGACAAGAGTACGTACATCTAGGAAGTTCTTCCAGTAGTCCAGGAAAAACATTTCTGGTGGCTTAGACTAGGGAGATGGCAGTGATGATGGAAAGAAGTGGCTGACTTTGAATGATATTTGGGAGGTAAAACTGAATGGCTATGTCACTGGCTTGCCTTTGAGGGGTGAGAGAGAGGAAAGTCAGCAGGAACTCCTAGGTTTGTGGCTGGCTTGTGTAACAGGATGGGAGAATGATGGTTTTATTCACCAAGACAAACCATAAGGACAGGAGCAGGGTTGGGGGTAGAACACCTGTGCTCACTTAATCTGTTCAGCACACCCTATACCCACTTCCTTTGAAGAACTGTTAATCCAGTCATAGGGTTTTTGGTTACATTTACCTTCAGAAAGCCCTGCTGACCTGGCTGTAGTGCACTGTGCTTCAGTGTGGTAACAGTGTTGATGCAGGCAGTGGCTTAGTGACCCAGGCTTGCACGATGAGATTCCTTTTCATGAATGTTTAAGGTTGGAAGTGAAAATGAACGGGACTTACCTTTAGAGTCTTGGAGCAGCAAGGATAGGGTGTCGGAGCTGCTTTCTGGTCATTTCTTACCTATGGAGAAAAGTAGTTGGCAATAGGAGAGAAGGTAGATAGAGGTAAGCAGAAATGGGAGAGAGAGAGAGAGAGAAAGAAAGAGAGACTTTCTTTTGTTGTTTAAATTCCTAAATCCAGGCATGCTCAAGACTAACTCTATCCAAGAAATTTCTAGTTACTTAAGCCAATATATTTCCTTTTAAGTCTCAACCCAGTTTGAGGTGAGTTTCTCCAATTAGGTATGATAACGAGCCTCCAAGAATGTTGAGTTTCAGGTGATTTTGAGACATCTATGTATAGATATCAGATAGGCAGTGGGATGCATGTACCTGAGCTCAGAAGAGAGGACAGGGATAGGAGATATAAATTTGGAAATTATCGGCATAAAGGCAATAATTGAAGCCATGGTCTGTGGTGATTTTGCACAGGGAGTAAGTATATGCTGATAAGAGAAGGGGGTTTAGGATTGGACTTTGAAATTGGAGAATATAGAAAGATGAGCTTGTAAAGGATGCAAAGACATAGGAGGACAATAAGAAAGAAGATGTAGTTTGATGGAAGTAAGGGTTTTAAAAGGGAGGGAGTGATCAACCATGTTGGATGTCACTAAAAGATCTTCTGCACTGAAGTCTGAAAAATGTCCACTTAGTTTAGATGTAGCTGGAGAAAGAGTTGACTTTTTAAAGATATGTCTTAACATCGTGAGAGCTAGGAGATGCCAGTGTAATACTAAAGATATCTCTAAAGGTCCAGAAAGACAGAAATGGGTCAGCATTTAGTTTTAGTTCTCAGGAAGTTGCTGGGGCAAAGGGAGGGAAATGAATTGCTTGTTTAAGAAATACTTAAGGCATCCATTCTTTACCAGGTGTTGTACGAGATGCCAGGGAGATGGTAAATAATAAGGCACTTTTATCCTTGTGAAACTTGATCTAAATAAGAAGACAGACAGACAAGTGACAATCACAATTTAGCTTAATAAATGCAAAGTGTGTCAATTTGAATACTTTTGGCTGTAAGCAAGAGGAAACTTAATGAACAGTGACTTAGGACATTTAGATTTCACTTCGCAAGAAATCCAGATAGGTAGTGCTGGGATAGATTCAGCAGTTTATCGGTATAGGAAGGGAAAGCTGTTTACATCCTTCCATTTGGCCACTGTTACCTGTTGGATTTTGAACTATAGTTTGTTGCAGCATGAACTCAAGATGGTAGCTGCAGTTCTGGGCATCATATGCTAGCATAAGAGTATGTGAAGAAAGAGTAGAGGAAAAGTAGCAAAAAGACTTTTTCTTCAGGCAGCCCTTAACTTTTATGGGGCAGAGAATTCCTTCCAGAAGACCACAGTATATTTGCTCTACATCCTCCTGCCCATAACTGGATCACATTCATTTATCATATTATCCATTTATTTTTTTAAAATCTGTTCACCAGACACTGTTGTGGATATGGAGTATACACCAGTGAGCAAAACAAACTTCCTTCTTAAATAAGTCAATATGGGAAAATGCTCATTGTAGTGTCTGGCCCATAGTAAAGGTTCTTTCCGTGAGTGTTATACACAATTTCATGGAACTTATATTCTATGGGGGAAGACAGATAATAAACAGGTAAATTTATAATATGTCAGGTGATGGTAAATGAAATGAAGGAAAATAAGGCACAGGAGAGAAAATAATGGACAATTAAAGAATGTAGTTAGGGGAGGCTTGTGGGATAGATCACTGAAGGACATAAGTGAGGAATATCATGTGGAAATCTGGAAGAAGGACATTCCAGCTGAGGGAATAGCCTTAATGCATGGCTGTGATTGGCATGTTTGAGAGGCTGCAAGGAGGTCAATGAGACTGGGACACAGTGAGGAAGCAGGAGAGTTAAGACATGAAGTCAGCTAGATAGGTAGGAGCCAGATCCCATAAGACCCCTAGTAAGATGGGAGCCCTGGTGGGATTGAACAGAAGGTATACATGATATGATATATGCAAGTGCTGGTGAAGAATCATTTATAGGGAGACAAGAGAGAATGCAGGGAAAAAATGGCAAGGTTACCGTAGGACCCCAAGTTTGAGAGGTAATTGTTGTTTGGACTGGCTGGTGAGCATAGGACTGGTAAGAATTGCTAAGAATTGGTTCTTCCTGCTCTAAGGCTCCTTCCCTTCATTTTCACCTCCAACCTTAAAAAATCCATGAAAAAGAATCCCATTGTGCAAGCCGGGGTCACTAATCCAATGCTTGCACCAGTCACATCACCACACTAAAATACAGTGTTTGGAATATATTTGGAAGATTATGTCTGGGTTACTGGACAAAATGAGAAGTCATGGATGAATTATAGATTTATGGCTGGACAGCTGGAAGAATGGAGTTTCTATTTAATGAAGAGGAGTAGTTTTAAGGGGAAAGATCAGGACTTTCATATTGGACATGAGATGCCCATTAGACTTCCAAGTGGACAGTTGGATGAACAAGTCTGTCTCATCTTGGACTACTCAGTCTTTGGCAAAAAAGAGCAGGCTGTCTTAGTCCAACCATGAGTCATCTTCTAGAGCTGGGCACGTTGTTGCCCAAACAAAAGATGAGTTCTGTTAGCAAGAAAAGAAGGGGATGCCTGTTAGGTAGGCAAGTAACAGTGCCTACCACAGTGACCCAAAGGAAGTGACACTTCAACTGAGAAGTGAGAGTTTTGTAGGAATGAGTCACAGACTAAGAGTTAGTAGTGAGGGAAGAGTGTTTGGGCATAAGGAACAGTGTGTGCAAAGGCTTGGAGGAGGAGAGGACATGGTACATAAACATCCCATGGTGAAATGATTCTTTTCTTTAAATGTGCCTGTGGTGTGTGTTATTACAGGTGGGGGTTTAGGGGGGCTGTAAGTCCTGTCTAACCTTAGGGATCCCAGGGAACACTCACTTACTTTGAATTGAGGATTGCCTTGCAGAACTACCTTTTATGGGCTTGCCTTAGTCTTTTTTTTACATTTTTTTCCTTTTCATTTTTCCCCTCTGATGGCACATGCCTGCATAATAATGAAATACCCTTCTTTCCCATAAAGCAATATTTTTTTCACAAATTGCATTCAAAGGAATTAACATTTCCAGCTTGTCTGACTCACTTGGCAGGAACATGTTTGCCTGCCCACATGTGGGATGGCCCAGTTGACCATCACACTGAAAATGAAAGCCCGTCAGCGTATTTATGCACAGACAGTTCTTGAGAGGCTGTTGAGTAGTTGTTTTTCCTTCCATTTTCACAGTGACATCTGTTGGATTACACCTGACATTCTGCAAAGTGTGTATGTGGGATACTGCCCAGTGCAAGAGGAGAATGAAAGAGAAGGAGGGAAAGAACGTCATGAGGGAAAGAAAGACAAACACATTTCCATTTTATAGTTTCTGCCTAAATATTTGTCTGGCAACCTCTGTTCCTGAAAGAGTATTGGGTGCATTTGTTTCATGATTCAAATGCATATTTATGCCAAAATGTCCCTTCTCTGTGCAAGACACATAAAGCTGCAAGGAAGACGTAGAAGATGTGGGGAGGCTTTTATACATCTTCCTGCTCAACTGTGACTGGATTTCTCTAGTGCACCCTATTTTATTAAACTCTGAAAGAAGATTTCGATCCTTTGTTGTCAGTGTTCTGTTTTGGCAGCGTGTAGCCCATTCAGGAAACTTCCATTTGTTAGATAACTGCCTGAAGGATTCTACTGGGAGTGGGTTGACATACTTAGGGTTTTTCAAAGAATAAAACTACTCAATTAATTCTGTCCTAAAATTAACTTGCTACCTTGTGTACCTTACAGTGCAAATGGTTTTCATTAAAACCTGCAGGGCTCTACCAGATCTCAGAGGGTACAAACCCCAGAACTGACAGAGCTGTCTTCCTGCATACCTTGGAGACTCCATGAGAAGGGTTATTTGGTCTACCAAAGGTAGATATATGTTCTCACGTATCATTTTACTAACACCATTTTATTTGTGTAGGTCCAATACACACACTGCCCAACAACCCTCATGTTCCTTTTCTTTTGTTTGATTTTGATTTGCTTTTCACCTACTGAGGAATGATGCTGGCCTTACGGGAACTTACGTTGATTTCTCAGACAATACCGGGCCAGGGCATATGGATACAGTGTCACCTGGGAAAGGTCACAATATTTTAACAGGCTATTTCAAGTGGATTTTGGAAGAAATGATGTGGTACAGTCTGCTGAACATTTATACAGCCTTGAAAACACAGGGCAGTGAGGCATCACAGGCTCTGGAGCCAACTGCTTGGCTGTGGTTATTGACTGCATGACCTGCTGGCTGTGGGGCCTGGGATGAGTTATTGACCTAGTATGTGACTCAGTTTGCTTATCAGTAAAATGGAACTACTAATAGCAGGACTTCATGGGGGTAGTTGTAAGGATTACATGAGATGGCACATGAGTATTAGTCTGTTTTCATGCTGCTGATAAAGACATACCCAATAATGGGTTATTTATAAAGAAAAAGAGGTTTAATGGACTCACAGTTCCACATGGCTGAGGAGGCCTCACAATCATGGTGGAAGGGGAAAGTCACGTCTTACATGACAGGAGACAAGAGAGAATGAGAAACAAGTAAAAGAGGTTTCCCCTTATAAAACCATCAGATCTTGTGAGACTTATTCACTACCGTAAGAACAATATTGGGGAAATCACCCTTATGATTCAGTTATCTCCCCGGGTCCCTCCCCCATGAGGGAATTGTGGGAGCTACAATTCAAGATCAGATTTGGGTAGTGACACGGCTAAACCATATTAACATGCAAAGCTCTAGAAAATAAACACGATAAAGGAAGAAGATGTAGATTTTGTTTTTAAAAATTAAGAAGTCAGTTATCAATATAAATATAGAATATATGGACAAGTTAATTCAGGTGCCTTTGGTAGTTTCTTTTTAAACCAGCTATGTATGTTCCTTTAGCATGTATGATTCTTTCCTCAAATCTTCATTGGATTTCAACCAAGCAACCATATTTATCTAACATTGGATGGTTATTTATAACTGTCTGCTAACTCTAGTACTGTTCAGGGTTCTAGGAATACACAAATAAATCATAAGCCATGAAAAAGTGGTACAAATTTGACCAGTATACCCTTTGAAAATCACATGTGATCATTGAAGCCGTCTTAGTTTGGGCCCACATTTTTGCAGTAACATCTGAAAGAATGGATTTGTCCATTTGCCTAACAATTTTTTATCTCTTTTACTCAAAATATCCTCGATGAAGCTCAGATGCTTTTCTTCTTCAGCCTAGAAGTGATTTACTACTGTTCTCCAGTCATCATACTTTTCTCCCATCATTCTTTGTATTTATGTTCTTTATATTTATGTCTTGTCTGAATATTTCTAAATCACCTACTAAATAGAAATCTACCAGCTGCTGGCTGGGTGCAGTGGCTCACGCCTGTAATCCCAGCACTTTGGGAGGCCGAGGAGGGTGGATCACGAGGTCAAGAGATCGAGACCATCTTGGCCAACATGGTGAAACCCTGTCTCTACTAAACATACAAAAAAATTAGCTGGGTGTGTCGGCGGGTGCCTGTAATCATAGCTACTCAGGAGGCTGAGGCAGCAGAATCGCTTGAACCCAGGAGGTGGAGGTTGCAGAGAGCCGAGGTCGTGCCATTGCACTCCAGCCTGGCGACAGAGCGAGACTCCATCTCAAAAAAAAAAAAAAAAAAAAAAAAATCTACCACCTGCCATTGTTTCCCCCAAAAAATATAAACATTTTGAGCCAGGATAGTGTCTGTATTCAAGAAAGATTTGGAAAATAAAGCAGTGAAATGAATACAGAAGAGCCATCTTTTTCTTGTTCAATGCTGAGCAATTTCAGCAGATACCTGCCACACTGGGGCGAAACAGAAGTTTAAATAAAGTCACTAATGACTATGTTTCCATACTAAAGCTCCCCTCAACTTTTTTTTTTTTTTTTGAGATGGAGTCTTGCTCTGTCACCCAAGCTGGAGTGTGATGGTACCATCTTGGTTCACTGCAACCTCCATCTCCCAGGTTCAAGCGATTCTCCTGCCTCAGTCTCCCGAGTAGCTGGGACTACAGGTGTGCACCACCACGCCTGGCTCATTTTTGTATTTTTAGTAGAGACGGGGTTTCACTGTGTTGGCCAGGCTAGTCTCGAACTCCTGAACTCGTGATCCCCCCACCTCGGCCTCCCAAAGTGCTGGGATTACAGGCATGAGCCACTGCGCTCGGCCCCCTCAACTTTTTTTTAAATGTAACTCTGTTCGTCTAACAGCGAAGTCATCACCTGAACCCGAAGTAGAGCTGGCTCATAAAATTCCTCATCCAATATTAAAGGAGGTCAGGTCACTGGCAACTTCGTTAACTCGTTGTGAATTAAAACAATGAGTTTGTTGAGTTCGTGGACATTTTAAAATTTAATAACTTTAGAAAGATATTTGGTGGCTGAAATCTCTAGTCATTATGTGAAAACCTCGTCAAGTTTTTTTTTTTTGCTGCTATTTTTCAAAGATAGGCTTTCCTTTTGTCCCCTGGGGAGATTAGGTATTTTTTGTGCTTTCTTGCCTTTTCTCCCTCTTCTATTTCATTATCTTCCTTCCTCCCTCTTTTTTTTTTTTTTTTTTTTAAATAGGAACAGCAGTCACTTGTGTATGTTATCACACCATGATACAGGATACTTTTAATTCTACTACTATTTTTGTTTTTCATAGGCACCCTTTTCCAGAAATGCTGCTTCTCTAAATGCATGGGCATGCAGCATTTCTGAAAGATGATTTTTCACAGGAGTGTATCAGAGGATGGAATGGCTTCCTGGTCATCTCATTTATTTATTCTGTCACCATTGACTTGCTCTTAGGAGCCATCTAAAGGTTGTGATTTACTTACCACAACCATATCCGAAAAATAGCCTTTCTTCCCCTTAGCCCCCGGTTTTTAACGTAAACATTGTACATTATAAGAAGTTTAGAAAATACCAAAAGTACATAGAGAAAAATTACATTCTCCCATAATCCTACCATCCAGAGGATATCTTTTCTGTGCCAAAAGCCTTTAAATCATTCTAACTGCTCCCCCTTTAACCCAGTGATATATGCCAGAGTTTATTAAAAGCTATAGTATAATCCCAAATTTGAGATAATACTAATAGTTAAATATATATGCACATATACTAATTTGCATATAATGCAAACAATTGGATGCAATTTGAAAATTATATTTAATTGTAAATTCTATATTGTGTATAGAACTTATATATTGCAATTTATATATAATTTAAAAATATAGATTGCACATTAAATAGAATGCAAATACATATAATTTACATATAATGAATATAAATATACATATATACATATAATTAAATAAATGCATATATTTAATTATTGGTATTATCTCAAATTTGGGATTATACAATAGTTTTTAACTATGTTTTCCACTTACACATAGAATATTGTCATAGTCTCATGCTTTTGAATATTCTATTACAACAGTGGCTTTCAATTTTTCTTTTACTATGCCTTGCAGTCAGAAATGCATTTTATATAATGACCTAGTATAAACACACATGCATTAGAAAAAAAGTTTCACAAAACCATGCTTACTATGAATAATGGACTCTTACATTTTCTGTTCTTTCATTCTATTTAAAAGGCTGGCCAAGGCCCACTAAATTGGTTTCCTGACTCATTAATGATTTGTGACCCACAGTTTGAAAACTGCTTTGTTACTGCATGAATTTTATTGGTTGTGTAGTGTTCATTGTATGGAATGGGTGTATTATAATGTATTTACCTGATGTTATACAGTTGAACATGTAAATTGCTTTCAATGTTTTTCTAGTCCTAAAACATTGCAGTGAACAAGTGGGTACGAAACACGTCCACACACACACACGTACACACACATTTTCTTTGTATTTCTAATGTATTTACTTGATGTTATACAGTTGAACATGTAAATTGCTTTCAATGTTTTTCTAGTCCTAAAACATTGCAGTGAACAAATGGGTATGAAACACACACACACATACACACACACATACACACACAGACCCCATTTTCTTTGAATAAATTTCTGGGCATTTATCACTGGGTTAAAGGGTGAGCAGTCAGGGTGATTTAAAGGCTTTTGGTACACATTACTAAATTTTTCTCCAGGAAGCTTATATAAATATTTACACTCTTGCCAGCTTTGTCTGGATATGCCCTTGTTCTCCCTGCCCTCACATATGAAAACCATATTCTTTGAGTTGACTTAGAATCTCAGTCACAGATGAAATTCGTGGCATCAGTCAATAGCGAGGGGAGAAGTGTTTTCAGCAGTGATTGGTTTGATATATGACTGAAATTGCTATTGTGTCTAAATTGTATTATGTTAATGTCCCATGCAACGTGCTCTGTAGGTGACGTTTAGCATTGCATTTACATTTCTCACATATGCTGCCAAAAAGAAATGCATACTTTAAGAATTTCATGATGCTTTGTAGATCCTTTCTATTTTCCATTCTCAGTGGTCATGGATTCACTGATTCTCAGAAGGGGTGTGGATTCGGCAACCCCACATGGCACAATTGTCAGGACAGGCCTCACTTCAAATGCTCAAGCTATCCATAGGTCTACTTAACATTTCTTACTTGGTATCCCTACTTTGGAGTTGGAGAATATAATCTCTGTAAGAACAGGTATGTACTTAGATTTAGAGCAGCTATTACTCAGCATTGTTTGCAAAATCTCAATTGTCTAGCAAAAAGGACCCATATATATAAGATCCATTTTATTATTAATAGCAAAAGACTGGAAACCACCTAAGTGTATCAGAAGCTGGTTAAAAACATTATGGCATATCTGCAGAAGGGATGCAATGCAGTTACGGAAAAGAATGAGACAGAGATGTATATAGAGATATGAAGCAATCTCCAAGATCTGCTGTTGAAGAGAAAAACAAGATGCAGAGTGACATGTAGTATACATCCTTTACACCATGAATTTCCCTTTAAAAAATATGTTTGTATTACTTCAATTAAAAATAGATAATGGAAAAAAAGGTTAGCAAGTATAAGATACTTTAGAAAAATATATCCATCAGGGAAAAAATAACACTCAATTGTCTAATATTGATAGTGTGTTGTTTCTGGTTGAGGATTTTGAACCAAGTTCTGCCAGAGTGGAGAAAATCTAACAGACACTTGGAAAGAGTTAACTCCTCCTTCTACAATGCCCCATTCACTTCCATGGCTTCCACCCCATTCACACCCAGGGAGAACCCACATCATTCAGTCATACTTAATCCATTTACGGGGTGACTTTTTGATGCTGAATTATGCCATTCGGTACACCTCATGACTAGAATTATGATCAGCTTCTAGGGTTGCTGATCATTCAGGTGTTTTATGGAAGACTAAAACTAGGACAAAAATACACATGTGCACACATACTTTAAAATTATGATTTCAACATTATGGACCTCGTGGAAATACTGGGGTGAGCTTGAAGAAAGTAGGTTTGGCTTAGTGTGGAGGTCCAGAAAAGCTATCACTTGAATTTAACCTTACTCTTGTTCTGATTATTACTATTATTAATATATAGATTTTTTGAGACAGAGTCACACTACATCATCCAGGGTAGAGTGCAGTGGTGCCATCTCGGCTCACTGCAACCTTCGACTCCCTGGTTCAAGCAATTCTCCTGCCTCAGCCTCCTGAGTAGCTGGGATTACAGGCACGCGCCATCACACCCAGCCAATTTTTGTATTTTTAGTAGAGACAGGGTTTCACCATGTTGGCCAGGATGGTCTCGATCTCCTGACCTCATGATCTGACTGCCTTGGCCTCTCAAAGTGCTTGGATTACAGGCGTGAGCCACTGTGCCTGGCCTGTATTTTTTCAGTAAGTTTATTATATTCAGCTTTTAGAGTAATTCTGACTCAGGCTCAAATATCAGGTCTGTGTGACCTTGGGCCAGTAGCTTGGCTTCTCTGTGCTTATTATTTTGATTTGCAAAGAACATATAATACTTTTGCCATATCGCTGTTGATTGGATTAAATAAAATAAAGTATATAAAGAGCCTAGCCTGACGGCAGACCCTTCATAAGGACTGAATAACTGATAACCGTTTATGATGATGATGATGATTAGGGAAGAGAGACTGTAGGTAAGGAAAGTATTCATGGGAATTAAAGAAAGCCTCTGGGCAGAGTAGGGCCAGCAGGATCAGAGCAACCAACAGCGCCCTCAGTAATACGGAATCAGAGACTCGGTGGGATAGTGGCAACGATACAAACCAACACTCCAGAAGAGTCTCCAGTGTTTGTTTCCTTACATCTTCTGTTTCTCAGTAATGATAACTAGTAACACCCTTAAAAAGTTTTAGTCTTGGCAAAACACAGTGGTTCATGGCTATAATCCCGACACTTTGGGAGGCCAAGGCAGAAGGATCTTGTGAGCCCAGGAGTTTGAGATCAGCCAGGGCAACATAGTGAGACCCCCATTTCTATAAAAAAATAAAAATTAGCTGAGTATGGTGGCCTGTGCCTGTAGTCCCAGCTACTTGGGAGGCTGAGGTGGGAGGATCTCTTGAGCCCAGGAGTTTGAGACTGCAGTGAGCTATGACTGCACCACTGCACTCCAGCCTGGGCGACGGAACAAGACCTTATCTTGAAAAAAAAGGAAAAAGGAAAGAGAAAAAAAATAGTAATTTTGGGGTACATCAAGAAGGAGTCTGGATAGATGGGACCCCACTCAGGAGCCGGGCTAAGAGTGACAAACCAAGAAATCCAGTGGGGAATAGTGAGAGTTTCTTTCTGGGTTCTTCCTGAAAAAGAAATGAGACACAGCGTTTGGAAGATGACCCTAGACATCTAATGGTGTGAAAATCTTGTGGTTTCCTGCATTGGCCACAAGTTCTAAATATATGCATATGGAATCTTGTGAAATCCCAGCCTTGCTATAAACGCCACAGCACGCCCACATCCTTCTGATTTGGGACAGGCAGAAAGCATGGAGTAGATTCAGGTTCCATCCTGGTGCCTGGATCCCCATCCTCTTTTGATGACGTGTAGTTAGGTTCCACGCTACCACCTGGGCAGGCAGAACAGCAATAGAGAGGAAGTTCCTTTCTGGGATTGCAATCGCAAAGACAGATTTCGAAGTACAAATTAGTGATGCCTTGTATTGTAACAGACTTGAATCCTCTAATTTTTCACTCATTTCCTTTCCCTTCTTGTTGTCATGGGGACTTCTTTTCCCTGAGTTATTATATCTTGCACTTCGGCAAAAATTTTATTGCTTTGGGACCATCGAGTCTCACGTGGGTCGTTTTTCACTGCTCGTGGTATAATACACAGAGGTAATTTCTTTCAAATGATTTTTGCTTGAAGTGGTTTTCAATGAATTGAGAAGGATAAGAGGACCGAGCTTCCAGCCTCGGGTACAGGTATGGAGTTTGTACCCTCCGCCTTTCCAGAGCATTAAATGAGAGCTGTCCAATTGCTCTGGTGGCTCATACACAGGCAGCAATCTGTTTGATTCCCTTGTCTAACCACAAAGAGAAAAGAAAAAGGGCATTATTTAATGCTATAATCTGTTTAAATCTCTTCCAGGTCACTTTTGAGAGTTTTATTTTATTTTGAAACTGGATGGTTTTATCAAAGAAGGAATAGTTATTACTTCTCAAAGGTGTACTGGGGAAATGGTTAGACAATGCAGTCTCAATGGCGGCATGGTGGTGTTAAATTATGTCCTGGGTCTTGCTCTGGTAGCCTCTGGTTTTTATCTATTTTTGGTGTTTTTCAAGGCTCTTGTATAGGTGACATTTTTTTCTTCCTGTTGGTACTTTGAGCCTAAACAGTAAGAAAGTTGGTACTAGAACAGCTCCTTGGGTTGTTTTCTTCTTGTTTCATTTTATATTTCCTTCCTTCCTTCCTTCTCCTCCCTCCCTCCCTTCCTTCTTTCCTTCCTCCCCTCCCTCGTCCTTCTCTCCCTCTCTCCCTCTCTTCCTTATCTCCCTCTCTTCCTCCCTCTCTCCCTTCTTCCTTCCTTCCTTCTCCTTCCTTCCTTCCTTCTTTCCTTCTCTTTTCCTTCCTTCCTTCCCTCCCTCTGTCCTTCTCTCCCTCTCTTCCTTATCTCCCTCTGTTCCTCCCTCTCTCCCTTCTTCCTCCCTTCTCCTTCCTTCCTTCCTTCTTTCCTTCTCTTTTCCTTCCTTCTTTCCTTCCCTCCCTCCGTCCTTCTCTCCCTCTCTTCCTTCTCTCCCTCTGTTCCTCCCTCTCTCCCTTCTTCCTTCCTTCCGTCCTTCCTTCCTTCCTTCTCTCCCTCCCTTTTTCCTCCCTCTTTTTCCTCTTTTCCTCCGTTCTTTACTCTCTTCCTCCCTCACTTTCTCCCATCCTTCTATCCCTCTTCCCTCCCTGCCTGACTTGGGGGTCTCCAACACCACCTTTGTGTTCTGTGATTTACCAGAAGGACTCACAGAACGCAGAAAAGTTGTCATATTTGCATTTATGGCTTATTACAGTGAAATGACACACATTAAAATCAGCAGAGGACAAAGACACATACAGGGTGGAGTCCAGGAGAAACCAGACATGAGCTTCCAGGTGCCCTCCCCCAGCCAACTCACCTAGGCAGCGCTTGATCCTCCCAGCAACAAGATGTGAGAACATGTGCCCAGTGTTGCCAGCTGAGGACGCTTGCCTGAGGCTTGGTGTCCCGAAATTTGATTGGGGGTCTGTCACATAGGCATGGGGCACCCACATGACTGATCTTAGCTATCAGTCTTCAGCCTCCTGCCATTGGAGGTCAGATTGAAATGTCATGGCCCAGGGCCCTACATGAACAAAAACAGCTGTTCACTGCATATCACATTGTTAGCATAAAGTATTTGGTATGGCCTAATTTTTCAGGTATACAAAGATACTCTTATTTTTTCTTTTTTCTTTTTGAGACAAGGCCTCCCTGTGTTGCCCAGGCTGGAGTGCAGTGGCACAATTACGGTTCACTGCAGCCTCAACCTCCTGGACTCAAGCAATCCTCCCACCTCAGCCTCTTGTGCAGCTTGGATTACAGGCATGCAACAGCATACTCAACTAATTTTTGTATTTTTTTAAGAGATGGAGTCTTGCTATGTTGCCCAGGCTCATCTTGAGCTCCTGGACTCAAGTGATCTTCCCACCTTGGCTTCCCAAAGTGCTGGGATTACAGGTGTGAGCCACCACACTTGACCTACAGAGACACTCTTATGAGGTAGGATATTCCAAGGGTTCAGAGATTATCTCCCAGGAGCTGGTCAAAAGTTGGTCCTTTCTTTGGAATGTGGAGGGTTTGGACATCCTTAGCCTGCTGAATAAACCCTTTATAACACACTGCCACAGTCACACAGACTCCGGTTGAGGCAAGTGCAAGCTGCTAGGAAAATAAAGATGCTTCATTAGATTGTGTGTAAATCTGAAGACTTGCTTGAGACTAATAGAAAGATTTGCTTTTCTCTCTTTGCTACCCCACAGTGAGCAGACGATTTGTTAGAATCTACTTTGGAAGAACAAACCTTTTCATATTGTTTGCAAAGGAGCAGTTTAATCACATTGCTGTATTTCTGTTTGACCCCTCCTGATCCAAAATTGGGGTAGACACATTGCAAAACCCATAAGGGGTTGACTAGAGATGGTCTGACAATTGCTTTAGTCACAGTAACTGGATCAGGCTGCTGGCTTTCCATAATTGAATTTTAGATCTTTAAAAAATCTAAACCAATATTGTCTAGAACACATATTGTGATTTTTCCCCTTTTCCACTTTCTCTTCTGCCCACCCCTACCCCCCAAACCCTTGGCATCAAATAAGCATTAGTAAAAATTGACAAGTTGGCAGTACTTTTTGGCGGCAGTTTAGACCAGCTACCTTTTTACATTGTAGGAATTACGTTGACACGTGCTTGCAAAAATAAATTGATATTCCCATCTTGACTGGCTCATTTGGTGAGCCACGTTGATATGCCATCTCCGAGGCTGACCTCTGTAGCTCTACCACCAAACAATAAGAAATGCATGATTATTTTCATGCTAACAAGCTCTGTAGAGCAACAAGCTTTTTCTTTTCCAGCTTTTCACAGTGACACCCCGTCACCTTCAGCTGGTGTTCTGGGTGCCACAATGAATGGTCAGAGTCTGTGGAGCTCTTGATACCCTAAAGGAGTATCAAAAAAAAGGAGTATCAAATAAGATGGCTGCAATCATCTTATCATGCAGTCTTGACTGATTTAACAGCAACAACAATCATAAAAAAGCATTCCATAACTTGGATGGAACCAGTTAAATTTCTGGAAGGAGGCAGTATAGCATGGATTATCGGAAGCCCTGTGTCTTCATTGTCGGTTTCTTTCTCCCTGCTACTTCCTAGCTGTGGGACTTCGGACATGTCGCCCAATCGGTCGCAATAGTTCCTCCTTCTTAGTATTGCTGTGCTGATGAGCAAGATGAAACATATCAGGCTTATAGCCCTGTGCCTAGCCCTGCTACACATCAATAAAATGGCAACGTCTGTCTTCATCATTAGTAGTAATAATAAAAACAACACACTCAGGATCTCTCTACCTACCCTGCAGATTTATGGGTTGGAGGTGCCTTCCAAAGAAGACCATCTCTGAGGTCCATCTAATGTAGGGACTTTCTAGAACGTTATACCTAGGCTTTCTCTTCCTCTGGGATGCAGAGAAATGCAGACATGGGAAAATGTATTTTAGAGATTATCAAGATGCAAACACATGCATCTTATTTTGTTTTATGTGCCAAGAAATTGGTGACGTGAGACACGCTTTTTCTATCTTTGGTTATTATTTATCGGAATAATCTTGATTCTTTATTTCCCTGCTGGGCTAACTGGATTTGTTAGTCTCCACTTGTGAGCATCTTGGTGGAGGATAACAGGTTCACTGAAAGTCCTCTGTTTGCTGGTAGGTCCCTGTGCACAAGCCCACACTGGACGTTCCTCTGTATTCAGGTCTGTGGCCACATTCACCTGAGCATCTAGCCCCGTCATGAGGCATCATGTTTTACAAGGTAGTGAGTGAGACTCTGTAAAATGACTCAATTATCTTGGTTCAGAAGGAAGGAACATGAGAGTTTAAACCCAGTACAGGTTGCAGGATTAAAAATCATGGTGCAGAGAAGACCATGGGCTTGAACACAAGGAGGCTGGGATTCTGTCCTGTCCCAAATTTGCTTGGATTCTGTCCTGTCCCCTGCCCTGTCCCAAATTTGCTGTATGAATCTGGGGGGCGGGGGGAAACGCATCACTTGCTATCTCTGGATCTCAACTTTCCTGTCTGAAAAATGGTGTGGAATTAGGGGATATTAGTTAACAGGTGAGTGCAGCAGATGGGGTGTGAGTTAGGCTGGATTCTTTCAGCTCAAAGACACATTGGGTGCCGGACGCAGTGGCTCACGCCTGTAATCTCAACACTTTGGGAGGCAGAAGCAGGCAGATCACGAGGTCAGGAGTTCGAGACCAACCTGACCAATATGATGAAACCCTGTCTCTACTAAAAATACAAAAATTAGTTGGGAGTGGTGGCATGCACCTGTAGTCCCAGCTACTTGGGAGGCTGAGGCAGAAGAATCGCTTGAACCCTGGAGGCAGAGGTTGCAGTGAGCCGAGATTGCGCCATTGCACTCCAGCCTGGGTGACAGAGCGAGACTCCGTCTCAAAAAAACAAAACAAAACAAAACAAAAACACATTGTAGCGACATATACTAGGTGTGCTTCTCTTTTCTGGCTATGTGTGCAATATGGGTTCAGTTTTGCCAGAACATCCATTTTTCAAGAAAAGCCAGAAATCTGAATTTTTATATGAAATTTCCCAACTCTTTACATTGCCACAAGTATGTAAAAATCGCAGAATGTGCCAAACGCATCCATCTGTACAGGTCTTCCAGCTTGGATCTTAAATTTCAGGGGTCCACCTCCTCATATTTCTGGGAAGAGGGCCCAGGCTCCCAGAGAGGCATTGCGTGAATGTGAGTGTGTAGACTTGGGCAGAGCTAGGACCAGCAATTAGTCCTCCTAACTCCCACCTCCAGGGTTGTCTACCATAAATCATTCATCCAATAAATATTTATTGTGGATTTCCGGGCACTCTGTGAGGTGCTGGGGTATGATGGAGCTCAGAAAGATGTAATTCCTCCCTTTTATGGAATTTACAGTGTAGTGGAACATTCTGGCCACAATCATGCAAACAGTCCCAGGCATGTGTGATTTCCCTAGGAAGCTGTCAGCTCATGTAATGAGCTGGGTGATATGAAGATGAGCTGGTGAGTTCAGGTGCCCCTTTGTGTGACACAGATGTATTCCAACAGAAGCCTTTGAGAGAGAAAGAGGGAGTGCTAGAAGCCTAAGGAGTCACCTGATGGTGGGGATTTCAGGATTTATTTTGGGATGCTGGGGCGACCAAAGCCTACACTGGCCCAGGGGAGTTTTCTGGTGCTTCCCACATCATTCCTCCTGGGGACACCTGTGCCAGGCTGTGAGTCAGCTCACCCACCCTGGAATGTTCTCTACAAAGGAGTGTGTTTTGTGGATTCTGAAGCTGACTTTAGTTTAGAAAACTCTTGGTCAAGGAACTGACTCCTTGGGAGCACACTTCAGATGTCTGTGCCTTGAAGGGTTTGACAACCAGCCCCTTGCTCTCTAACAGAAAATACTGCCTTCAACCCTTGGGTAAGAGGCCAACATGTCTACCTGCCTGAATGTGTAGGCAGTGAGCACTGTAAGATATAGTAGTACACAGTGTCATGTAAGTCAGGACTCTGACATCATGCTTCCCCTTGCAATAATTTATATGTTCAGCTAACTAAAAATTCTAGCATCATCCAGAAGCTTCAGGCAAAACTGGATCCAGAGACTCAAATCATCAGGGATCTGTCTCTTTCCAATTCTTTGCTCTGCTCTGTGTTGACTCTGTTCTCATGTGTACTTTTTCTTTTTTTTTTTTATTTGAGATGGGGATCTTTATTTGTCACCCAGGCTAGAGTGCAGTGGTGCAATCATGGCTTACTGCAGCCTTGAACTCCTGGGCTTAAGCAACCCTCCACTCTCAGCCTCCTGAGTAGCTGGGACTGCAGGTGTGCACTACCACAACGGGCCCATTTTAAAAGTTGTTTTGTAGAGATGGGGTTTCACTGTGTTGCCCAGTCTGGTCTCGAACTCTTGGTCTCAAGCAGTCCTCCTGCCGTGGCCTCCCTAAGTGCTGGGGATTACGGGTATGAGCCACCATGCCCAGCCCAGGTATACTTTTAAATGGCTCAGCCACAGCAGAGGAAAGGGAATGCTGCTTTCCAAACAGTTTCAGCAAAAGTTTTAAGGCTGACTTTCACTGGCCCAGATTCAGTTACATACTCATCCCTGAGCCTACCACTGTGAGCCTAATGACATAGACCTGGAGCTAGGGGGTGGCATCAGCCTGCCTCAGACAATGCAGAACTGGAGGAGGAAGAGCTGTCCCCTAAAGGAAAATTGAGGCACTAATTACCAGAAGACAGAAGAAAAAAGATATGCAGAGAGGGTCTGGGGGATCAAATTCTTTGTTTATTATCTTGTAACAGTTGTAATTTACTTGATCACCAAGTTCTACCTAACTTTGCAATACTTCTCAAGAATCCCACTCTGTCAGTGCATCTGTCCTAGGCTAGGTTTTCATCTCCTCATACCACAGATTTGCTTCAAAACAGGGCTTCCCACGTTGTCTGAGCAGAGGTCAAAGGATATTTTTCCAGGGAATAGTGGGGAAGTTAATTGGAATGGCATTCATAACGACGTTGGAAGAACATGTTTTTGAGGCTATGACCACCCTTTGTCATCATGTCTCTGCAGTGTGGCTTTGGCCTTTACCTACTGGATGTGGTTCATTTGAAGCGAGAAAACAAACCTTGCCATATGAAGTCACTTATTAACATCTGTGAGGTGGAGTTTATAATATGGATTTTGAGAGTGTGACTGTGAAGATTACGTGCTATATGGCACATATAAAATTCTTGGCACTCACTGGATGCTCTGTAAATGTTCTCAGATTTCCTCGAATCTGTAAGATGCACTCTTATTCATGTGATCCCTAAGAATAAAACATTGCTAATTAAAGCATGACAATACATTTACATTTAGAGCTTTAACATTTTATTTTCATGGAAAGAACATCCTTATACTAAGACATTTATCTTCTATCACTCTTGTGTATTCAATTATCAGAAAAAATAAATTGGTTCCAGTATTCCAAAGATTTCCTATTCAAAGTCTGATCCTTCTAAATCACCTCCAGTTCCCAGTGTCCTCCTCCCCTCCCCATACTATCATTCATTGTTCCATCAAATCTCTTGCAGAGTTTCTAAAGAGTGTTGGGTTATTGTCCCTAGGATTTTCTTCCATGATGCTGCTGGTTTTTCTTTTCTTTTTATTTTTTTTTGGGGATGGAGTCTCACACTGTCGCCCAGGCTGGAGTGCAGTGGCGTGATCTCGGCTCACTGCAACCTCCACTTCCTGGGTTCAAGGGATTCTTCTGCTTTAGCCTCCCGAGTAGCTGGGAGTACAGGCACCTGCCATCATGCTTGGCTAATTTTTGTATTTTTGTAGAGATGGGTTTTTTTTTTAACTTTTATTTTAGATTTGGGGGTACATATGCAGGTTTGTTATATAGGTAAGCTCATAACAGATTGGATAAAGAAAATGCGGTGCATGTGCACCATTGAATACTACACAGCCATAAAAAAGTACGAGATCATGTCCTTCATGGGAACATGGGTGGAGGTGGATGCTGCTGGTTACGATGCACATTTTGATGTGCATGCTCAGGCGATGACCGTATGTCATGACTACACTTGGCCAGTGGTGATACTTGTGAGACATGTTCTGGTTTGATGTAGATTAAAATGTGAATAAAAGTATATGTTTTAAGTGACCCCCCCCACACACAAACACACACACACACACTCAGTGGAATACTATTCAGCCATAAAAAGAATGCAAGCATATCTTTTACAGCAATGTGAGTAAAATTGGAGGCCATGATTTTAAGTGAAACATCTCGTAAACAGAAAGTCAAATACTGCATTTTCTCACTTATAAGTGGGAGCTAAGTAATATGTGCACATAGACATAGAGAGTGTAATGATAAATATTGGAGGCTTCGAAGGGTAGGAGAGTGGGAGGGGGGTGAGATATTACTTACTGGGTACAATGTACATTACTTGAGTAATGGTTACACCAAAAGCCCAGAAGTCACCACTATGCAATATATTCATGTAACACAACTGTACTTGTACCCCTTACAAGTATACAAATAAAGAAACAATGTATACATTTTAGGATAATGAAACAAGGCAATTTGCCCACCTCCCTCTCCCTTCTCCCATCTTTGCTAATAGCAGCATCTGGGCAGCAAAACTTCATGTAATTGTGTCCCATTTCCTGATATTGTGAGGAAACCATGTAGATACCTGTAGCTTCTTTTTTTTTTTTTTTTTTTGGTGGAGTCTCACTTTGTTGCCCAGGCTGGTGTGCAGTGGAGCAATCTCGGCTCACTGCAACCTCCGCCTCCTGGGTTCAAGCAATTCTCCTGCCTCAGCCTCCCAAGTACCTGGGATTACAGGCACGTGCCACCACGCCCAGCTAGTATTTTGTATTTTTAGTAGAGATGGGGTTTCACCGTGTTAGCCAGGATGGTCTCGATTTCCTGACCTCATGATCTACCCTCCTCGGCCTGCCCAAATGCTGGGATTACAGGCGTGACCTACCACGCCCAGCCGATACCTGTAGCTTCTATGCCTTGCTCATCCTCTGTCTCCTACGGGAAGTTTTCCTAGGCTGATGGTGTGGAGACCTAGTAAACCACAGCTAAGCATTTATGACTATCAGCGCAGCTCTTACCTCTTTCCCCATCACTCCTTACATGCCAGGCACCCTGGCCTTCTCTCTCTTCTTTGAATAGTCCAATCTTGTTTCTAACTGAGGGCCTTCATCCTAGTTCTCCCTTTTGATCAGTGGTTCTCGAACAGGGAGTTATTGCCTGTCCTTTTGGGAAGTGGGCAGGGACATTTTTGGCTGCTCTAGTGCCAAGAGAAGGGACCCTACAGATGTTAGGTGGGTGGGGTGGGGTGTCAGGAGTTGCTGAATGTCCCACAATGCTCAGGACAGACCCACACAAGAAAAGCAATCCTACTTCAAGTGACAGTAGCATCCCTTTGAGGAAACCTGCCCCTCAATGCCTGTTTCCCTTAGTTTTTCCTGGCTTTCTCCCTGGTCACTTATTCACCGTGTGGATGACGTCTGCTGTAAGTGTCAGAGCACAGCCTACATTGTTAGGCTTCTCCCTCCAGCTCACCTCCCTCCAGCTTGTCTGTGTGTCTGTTTTTGTCCCAGAACCATACTCTCTGATTACTGTAGCTTTGTAATATAACTTGAAGCAAGGAAGTATGATGCTTCCAGCTTTGTTCTTGCTCAAGATTGACTTGGCTATTCAGGGTCTTTTGTAATTTCTTATAATATCTGTTGCTCCATGTAGTTTAATACCCTTCATAGCACTTGCCACTGCCTAGTATTATCTTTACTGCTCTATATTCAGCCCCCAGAACAGAACCTTGCACTTTATAAATACTTGTTGAGGTTGGGCGCAGTGGCTCATGCGTGTAATCCCAGCACTTTGGGAGGCTGAGGCGGGCAGATCATCTGAGGTCAGGAGTTCAAGACAAGCCTGGCCAACATGGAGAAACCCCATCTCAACTAAAAATACAAAAATTAGCTAGGCGTGGTGGCGGGCACCTGTAATCCCAGCTACTCGGGAGGTTGAGGCAGGAGAATTGCTTGAGCCTGGGAGGCGGAGGTTTCAGTGAGCCAAGTTCACGCCACTGGACTCCAGCCTGGGCAACAAAGTGAAACTCTGTCTCAAAAAACACACAAACAAAAGCAAACAAATAAACGAACAAAAAAAACTTGCTGAGTGAATGAATGAAGGCTTAGAATTGTCTGCCAATTGCCCTAAGCCTCTGGTTACATGGCAGTTTCTATCTGCCTACTTTTGCTGTCTCCTTTTCTGTGCATGACATGCTTAAAAACAAACAAACAAACAAACAAAAAACTCGAAAGACTCACCAATGGTTAGCTGGCTGTCATCATGACTATATGCCACTCCTGTTTCATTTTTCTGAGGAGCGATGACACTGTTCATCAGAGTCAAAGTGAATTGGATGGGTGATGTCTTAAGCTGATTGTTTCCTGAAAAGTGCTTCACAGAGCAGGACTCCCTGGATGTCTCTGTCTGTTGGGATGGTAGTACATGGGAAAGATGATGATGTTGGTTATTGAAAGATGTCCTTTCCACTTAAGCTTTCTTTGAGATTCCAAGTTTGGGTTTTCAGATCTTTTTCTTATAAGTGAAAAATGCCATTCTGAATTTGACATCTTCCTGTGGTTGAAGTGACTAAAGAAACAGCATCTGTTGAAGGCTTTTTCTTTTTACAGAAAGGTAGAGATGAGACCTGGGTGAGACTCTTTACCCAGTGCTCAGTGTTCCTTCCAAGACAAGGACCTATTTCTGCCTGTTTCTTTTTCTTCCTTTTTTTCTTTCTTTCCTTATTTTTTTAGCCCCCAAGGATTCTGACTTGGTATGCCTGGGGTGGCCTGAGAATCTGTAGTTGGATGATCGTCATCTGCATCCAGGATTTGAAAAGCACTGAGCTGAGAGAGCTGAGAGCCTACTGCATCGTTCTAGGATTGGGGTCATGAGGCACTGGACTACCGTCGTGGCAATGGCAGTAGAAAGGACTGTTTGCATTTGAATGACATCTTAAAGAAACAGAGAAATTGATGATAGGTTGACTAGAGGGGATTTAAAGGGAGAAAAAAGTCAAAAATTACTTCCAAGTTTCTACTCTGACAGAAAAAAAGATAGTTTGAGATAAATTGTGGCACCATTGAGTTTGAGTAGATGTCTGCCTGTTTCGTTAGTATAAATATTTGCCTGCTCCAAATAGGTCCAGTTTCTTGGATGCACTGAGCCCCAAAGATCCTAGTTTCTAAGTGACTCCTTTAACAGAAGGTGAATTAACTTGATCCAGGTGAGACGAGTAGAAGGACAGCAATGAATAACAACCCGGTATTCTGGTTGTAGCTTCCTTCTTGCTGGGGGAATCATTTAGATTTTGTGGTGGCTAATTTAAACCATGTAAAATAAAAGGATCATTAAAAGAATGATCACTTCTTTATGGTAACCACTTTCTGTGCCTTTGTCTCACCAATCCCAACAACCTGTGAGGACAGTGTTATCACAATCCCTGATACTCATAAGGAAACTGAGGCTCAGCGAGATGGAGTCACTTGCCCAGGGTCACACAGTGCCAGAACCAGGGGTTCACATATCCTTTGCCCCTCAAAACTCACATTCCTAATTACTAAGTGGATGGAGTTCCCCTAATTATTTACTTTTTAATCTTATTTGCTAAGATCCATGGAAAAAAGGAGTGTGTGAGTAAATACAGTTGAAAGACATAGTGAAATTTCTCATTACTGGGCCTAGCATAGATTTTTAGTTTCTGTCTAGCGTCTGCTACTATTACATTTTTGATTATACTACATAAAGTGTGTGTCTGTGTGTGTGTGTCTGTATGTACTTTACTTTTGCAAAAAATGTTTGAAGGGATTTCTTTTTTTGAATTACTTGTCTTATTTCCTTCCCATGCAGGACTTTAACAAATCTTGAAACATGTATTGTACGCAGACTTTTTTTGTGTCCTATTTTACATTTGAAAATCTGAGATGGATCATAAATTGCTTTTTTATTGCTTTAAATGATGTACTCCTCAGTCTTTTTTGTTTTGTTTTGTTTTTGCATAAAGAAATGCATTTACCTTGCCAAAATTTCATTTTAAGTACCAGCACTGCATTTCTTAAAGGATGAGTTTGAATTCAAGGTAAAAAAAAAAAAAAAAAAAAAAAAAGGCGGGGGGAGGAGGGGAGGCAATGGGGCCAGATTTTAGGATTATACATAACTGTACAAAGTACTTTGAGGGTCCTGCTTCTTGTTGAACTTGGTTGAACTTCAGATTCAATTCATTTGCTTTAAAAAAGAGGGGCTATTGTATCATCTATGAGATGATAATAATGAATACTTTGGAGCTTATAAAACCCTTTTGTCTGCAGTATTTCATTTAATTGATTCAAATAATTTCAATGAGGTTTGTTTCTGTTGTTAACATACCCGGCCCTGTGCTAGTTTCTGCCCCATGGAGGAGACCACATATGTTGCTCTTGAGTTTATGCTGTAATAAAAAGGCATGGAGGTGTGCAGGAATCCATGCTGTGATAGAGGTCTCTCTGACACTATTATCACAATCCCTTATACCAGTAAGGACACCAAGGCTCAGAGGGATGGAGTCACTTGCCCAAGGCCACACAGTGCCAGAACCAGGGACTCACATGTTCTCTGGCCCTCCAAACCCACATTCTTAATTGCTAAGTGGATAGGGCTCCCCTGTTATTTACTTTTTAATCTTTTTGCTAAGATCTATGGTTAAAAAAAAGAGTATGTGAGTAAATACAGTTGAAAGACATAGTGAGTGTTTCTCATTACTGGGAAATTATAATGAATAGTGACCGTTACTCTCAGAGGCAAATGACAGAGACATACTGGAAATAATTCATTTTTGCTGGCATAATTGAAAAATCCAGGGAATATATGTAACTATTCAAAATGCTGGCTTTGAGTGTGCAAATCCACATCCCCCACCTCACTGCCAAACCGGCGCCTTGACACTGCTTTTTGTCACATTGGTTTCATTTATGGACAAGCCCTCTTCACATAGTCCCAGAAATGGTACGCAGAAGCTCCATGCATTCATCTTACTAGCTTAGGTACCTGGGTGGTAAAGAGAAGCCTCCTTCCTGATAATTCCACCAAAAATCTCAGTGTTGATTCTCACTGGACCCACTTAGGTCATCTATTCACTCTAAACCAGCCACAGTGGTCAACAGTGATCAGGGGAATAGACTGTGGCTATCAGCCAGGTCAGAAACATGGGAACCTTGGATTCAGGGGAGTAATGCCAGGGTAAATACAGGGTAAATCCCACCAGGTAAACATGACAGAGAAGCATGGTTCCCAGAGGATAATAGGGGTGCTATTAGAAGAATAAGGGTGAATAGATTCTGGGCAAGTGAAAGCAACAGAGGTCTCTGACTCTTCTGGATCAGTCAGCCTTTTGAAAGTGCCATGCCCTCTCTTCTGTAGCATTTGGCTATTTCCATGCTTAGCTGCTGCCGACCTTTTGTTTTACTCTCAGCATGCAGTGCATGGTTCATGGGTTGAGCTTAGTATCTGCCATCCTCTGCTTTCAACCTTCTCAAATATGAATGCTTCATAACTTCCGTTGTCACATATCCAAGGGTGGATTTCAAATCCTTTCTCTCTAGCCTTGACCATTCTGACAAATTTGTGCCTCTGATTTCTAATGCATCTCTTGAACTACCTTCCAATTGTGTTACCTTCCCATGATGCTCCACATGTTGTTATACAAACCCAGCATATCCACTGCTTCACAAAACCAGAATCCCATTGAACTTCCGCAAAGCCCCTGGTCATTGAAGATATCACAGAAGTAAGTCCACGATACCCAGTTGCAACCTCAACATTCCAGAGAGTTAGCTGTCAAAGTCTCTTCCAGTAACATGGCACTCACGGGAAACCTTGCATGTTTCAGTGAGGAAGAGGCAGTGTAGCCTCCTGGTGATGACTGTGTGGGCTCCGAGGACCAGAACACTGGAATCTTGGCTGTGCATGCATCTTCTTATCTGTGTGACCTTGGGCATGTTATTAAACCTTTCCTTCTCAGTTTGCTTATCTGTACAAATAGGGATAATAATAGTACTTACTTTAGAGAGTCCTGTGAATGAAATGAATTAAACATATAAAGCACTCAGAATAGTGTTATCACATAATCACTTTAAAATGTTAGGTATTTATTTTGGGAACAAGTTGAGGTGTAAGTCAATTAATCAATCGGCATATCAGAGGAGGCTGGATTGCATAAGGCAGCTTACTTTTTGTTTGATGGGTCTTTATTTTATTCTTTTTTGAGGTGGAGTCTCACTCTGTCACCCAGGCTGGAGTGCAGTGGTACGATATCGGCTCACTACAACCTCTGCCTCCCGGATTCAAGTGATTCTTCTGCCTCAGCCTCCTGAGTAGCTGGGATTACAGGCGTGCTTCACCATGACCATCTAATTTCTGTATTTCTAGTAGAAATGGGTTTTCACCATGTTAGCCAGGCTGGTCTCGTACTCTTGGCCTCAAGTGACCTGCCCACCTCGGCCTCCCAAAGTGCTGGGATTACAGGTGTGAGCCACCCACCTTGGCCATTTGATGGATCTTATGCTGATTTCCTCTGACTCTCACATCTTGTTCCCCTAGCTCCTTCTGTAGCAACATGGAATGAGTCTTACTGTTCTAGAACTTGCTGACTCTTCATACATTTCCCATAGTCTTTATCACACATCTCAGTATTCTCTTCTCCAGTTTAAATAGCCTAGATTTTTCAGTTGACATTTTTCAAGGCCTTTGATTACACTTGACTCCATTCTGAACCATCTCAATTTTATCAGCATTCTTCTTCAAATGAAGTGTTCAGGAATGAATTAACTATTCCAGCTGTTGTCTAAAAAGCATACTAGAAAATCTGTCTTCTCTGTTCCTTATCGTCTACCTTTATTAATGTAACCTGACAATGAATTAGCTTTTTAAAATCAGCTGCAATACAAGGTTGACTAATATTGAGTAAAGTGGTTAACTAAGATCCTGGAGAGGTATAACTTTTTAAATTCAGCCTGATTTCAGCTAGATACTTTTAATACCTTCATTTTTTAATGGGTCTGAAAATCTGCCTGACATTTGATTCTGTCACCTAGTACACTGGATAATCAAATCAGCTTCGTGTGAGAAATTCGAAGTTAATAAGCTGCAGGTATGAGTTAGGACTAGGTTCCACTGGATATAGTAGAAACATCCTAAATAGCAGTGCCTTAAATATCACTGAAGTTTGTTTTTCTCTTAGATATATAAAAAAAGTCCAGAATTAGGCATGGTGTAACATGGTCTGTCATTTTTCTATCATCATCATCATCATCATCAATATGATGCCTCAGGGATCAAGATGGCTACTGGGACTCCAGCCACTGCATTTACATTCTGATATGGTTTGGCTGTGTCCCCACCCAAATCTCATCTTGAATTCCCATGTGTTGTGGGAGGGACCTGGTGGGAGGTAATTGAATCACAGGGGCAGGTCTTTCCCATACTGTTCTTGTGATAGTGAATAAGTCTCATGAGATCTGATGGTTTTGAAAAACGGGAGTCTCCCCTGCACAAGCTCTCTCTTTGCCTGCTGCCATCCATGTAAGACGTGAATTGCTCCTCCTTGCCTTCCACCATGATTGTGAGGCTTCCCCAGCCATGTGGAACTATAAATCCAATTAAACCACTTTCCTTTGTAAATTGCCCAGGCTTGGGTATGTCTTTATCAGCATTGTGAAAGCGGACTAATATACATCCTAAATGGGAGGAATAGAGAAGAGATAAAGAAGGCACATCTCTTCCTCTTAAGGGAATTTTCATGAAAGTCTTGAAAACGATTCTCATTGGCCAGGACTTAGTCATATTGGCCAGGACTTAGTCACACGCTTAGTTGCAAGAGGGCCTGGAAAAGATAGTCTTTTGGCTGGGTAATTACATACCCAGATAAAAATAAGTGTTCTATTACTAAAGATGAAGGAGAGAATAATTGGAGAGTTGGGTCACTGGCAATCTTGGCCACACATTTTTGTTGATAATATTTTGAACAAGATCAAGGATCTTGTCCTCCCATTGAGCATCAGGTGCTTGGTCCATGTGCTACCATTGTTCTGTGGACTTACACATTGATTCTAAGCATTACTGAATGCTTAGAGCAAGCTTAGAATCAGTAATTAGAAAAACCATTTCTGAAATAACTGTTTTCAGACCATCCTTGTTAGATTTGCCAGAGATGCTTATTAAAGTTGCAGAATCCTGGGCCATGTCCTATATTTTTAAACCTGGTAAATATTTTATTACTCCCTGTTCAATAACATTCACAAAATTTAAGTGTTAAATTGGTGGATTTTGATGAATGCACACAGTCATGTAACTACCACAACCATCAGGGCATAAAACATTTGTATCACCCAGAAAAATTCCACTGTGTCCCTTTGAAGTCCTCTCTCCTACTCTGGCCCCTAGAAATATGCTGTATGTCAGTTTGTGTTTATCTTGTCTAGAGTTTTATATAAAAAGAATCATATAATGTGTAGTCTTTTGCATATCATTAAAATTGGAAATTCACCAATCTACATGTTTTGGATAAAAATAAGCTCTGACTTATCCTAACCATTTTTTCACTTGGATTTGATTTCTTCATCTGGTCTGTATAGTATCGTGGGGCAGTTTGTCAGATGTTACGTTTGGCAAATATTGAAACACAATGTCCACTGCATACAGGCTTCCCCTCTTCATTTTCACCTGATTAAGTTATCCTCCAGATCTTAGCATAGATTTACCTTCTATTGGAAATCCTTCTTCAGTTCTCCCATTGTGCATCAAGTGCTTTGCCCATTGTTCCATGGATTTACCTGTTGATTCCCACCTCACCCTAAGTCTTCTCAATTAGACTATGAGCTTCTGAAGGTCAGCACCTATTCCTTGCTCATCATTGAATTCCCAGTGCCTTGGCCATGTTTAATTGAAAGTACTTGGAAAACATTTTCAAGTGAATTAATTGAGTACAAAATAGTGTTATAAGTGTTATAATGGGATATTAAAGGTGATGGATCAGCCAGGGAATATGGCTGAGGAGATTCAGAGAATGATTTTCAGGTCATAATCTGGATCCTGAAGGAATTTTTCCAAACAAATAATGGGATTAGAGGATCTTGAGTAAAGCCATCAATGTGGGCAAAGGCATGGAGACATGACTGAATATGAGGAGTTTGGAGAGGAAGAAAGAGTTACAAGTGATTACAGCACATGGTGCGTAGTCAGAAAGAAGGCGATAAAACTTTGAGTCAAAAGTTGATGCCAGCCATCACAATTGGTTGGTTTTTTTTTTTTTTTAGACGGAGTCTCACCTTGTCTCCCAGGCTGGAGTGCAATGGCATGTTCTTGGCTCACTGCAATCTCTGCCTCCTGGGTTCAAGCAATTCTCCTGCCTCAGCCTCCTGAGTAGCTGGGATTACAGGTGCATGCCATGACTCCCAGCTAATTTTTTGTATCTTTAGTAGAGACGGGGTTTCACCATGTTGGTCAAGCTGGTCTCAAACTCCTGACCTCATGATCTGCCCACCTTGGCCTCCCAAAGTGCTGGAATTACAGGTGTGAGCCACTGCGCCCAGCCCACAATTGTTTTTATAGAGAGGGGGTCTTGCTCCATCACCCGTGCTGAAATGCAGTGGCATAATCATAGCTCACTGAAGCCTGGAACTCCAGGGCTCAAGCAATCCTCCTGCCTCAGTCTCCCGAGTAGCTAAGACCACAGGTGTGCACCATCACACCAGCTTGATTTATTTTTTAATTTTAATTTTCTGTAGAGATGGAAGTTGCTATGTTTTCCAGACTTGTCTTGAACTCCTGGCTTCAAGCAATACTGCCTCAGCCTCTCAAAGTGTTGGGATGACAGGTGAGAGCCACTGCACACAGCCAACCATCACAATTACTCAGAAAGAAGTGAGAGAAACTTGATATTTGGCATGGAAAAATACCTTCATCATTATTCCTTGATCCTGGTGACTACTCCTCTTTCCATAGATTTCTAGCCATTACAGGCTGGTGACACCACAGGCATACAGATAACGCTATTTCAGAAGACACAGAAATGGCTTGTCTTCAGCACCGTTGGCCGTGGACAGCTCCCCAGGCAAAGCTGAGCTTTTGCTTTTGCTACCAAACCAAATGGTCCAGCCCTTTGGTTTGTCTCCATGCAGGGCATGTGGCAGTCCAGAACTCGCAACCTGTGGTGGCAGAGCATTCCACATTTCAGAACCAAGAAGTAACAGCTACCCTCACTGGCATAGCTTCAGCATTTCCTCATTTAATCCTCACGACTCTTATCAGGCAGATGTTATTTTTGTTCCTCTTTTGCAGAGAAAACTGAAGCAAAGAGAGAAGAGATGAGTGGAAGAACCAGAACTCAAGCCTGGTTCCTTCTGACACCAATGTCTGTGCTCTCAGTCCCTGCGCTTGTTTTCTAGCGATCACTAGCAGACACTTACAGAGGTCTCCACTGCCTCTCAGATGCCCAAGCATGGATGTTTTCTCTAGCATTGCAGACAATTCGTAGTTGGAGTCTTACTAGAGCAAACTCAACAATCCTGGGAGGGATAGGAGGAGAGAAGGCTTTTCCTAGCTCACCCCCTCCTGAGTTTGAAAGGGCGCTCTCAGCTTAATGTGTCATCTGGCAAGCAGGTGTGTGCTCCTGAAATGTTCTGGCAATTGCACCTGTGAAAGGGAAGTTAGTGAAATTCAGGGATTAAATATCTCTGTTACCAATAGAAGTCGCTGAAGCTGCAGTTGGTGGTGGTGGTTGCAGGGAGGAATGGCTACTTTCTCACTAATTTTATTTATAATTATACTTCCCTAATGATTGTCTGGGACCTGGGCATTGGGAGGTCCATCTCGATGTCTGCAGGGGAGATGCATTGAGCTCTCCCCAGAGCTGCTGCATCCTGGCTGTGCTTGGGTGGGCGTGCTCACATATGGCATAAGTATTTCTTTCTTAATGGTTGCATGCCGCTCCCCTCCCCCCCTTTAAAATGAACCCATACTGTGCCCCATTAGCTGAAATTGACATGATGCTTATTTTCAATACCATTTCTTTACAGAACTCAGTCTCACTGTGCATTGCTAGCTTTTTCCCTTTGCTAAGTGGAATGAAGAACCCCTGGGAAAGTGTAGTGGCAGCTTTTCAGAAACTGCAGAGCCCAGCTCCTACCTTCCCACCCCCACACCTGCAGCTCAGAGAGCATCACATATTATGCAAACATTAAGAATTCCTCCTTCAATGCAGAATCCTCTGGAAATCTCAGAATCAAAAAGCTCCATGATAAAAATGCATGAAGCAGTGTCCTTATTGGTAAACTTACATATCCAGCTGAGATACTGTACATGATAATGCAATTTTCTATGCAAAAAGGGTTTATCTCCATCCAAATATTATTCCATGTCATTATTCATTCTGGAGAAGTGATTGCTGTCCTAGGTTAACTGATTGAACTTTTAGAACCAAAGCTTCAAGCTTATCTTACTGGCTATTGCCTGACTTCTCATAAATTGCCATTAGATTGGTAGGAATGAATAAATGTACACTCTATTAGGAAATATTAAAGTTTTTATACTGGTTTAGAATAAAAACAGGATTAAAGGGGCATTTCTTAGATTCAGTACAGCATGAAATTGAAATCTTTTTTGGCATGTGAAATATACAGTATGAATATTCTTCCCATTTTCTGATAGCCAGGGGATTATGAAGACTGGACAAACCATTCCAGAGTTCGCCTATAGATGCTAAAACAGGAGAGGTAGGAAAAGCCCATCTTGGTATTTCCCAAGTGTGTGTCTATTAATTATCAGACTCTTAAATAATAACAATAACAGCAGCAGCAATAAACATTTCTTAAGTTTAGATATACGCCAGGCATTCTTATAGGCTTTTTCACCTTTAGACGTATTTTTTAGGCTGATTAAGAAGCTGGGGCTGTGGGGCCGGGTGCAGTGGCTCACACCTGTAATCCCAGCACTTTGGGAGGCCTAGGTGGGCAAATTGCTTGAGCCCAGGAGTTCAAGACCAGCCTGGGCAACATGAGGAAACCCTGTCTCTACTAAAAATACAAAAAATTAGCTGGGCGTGGTGACATGCACCTGTAGTTCCAGCTACTTGGGAGGCTGAGGTGGGAGGATCACCTGAACCTGGGAAGTTGAAGCCGCTATGAGCCATCATTGCACCACTGTATTCCAGCCTGGGCAATGGGAGTGAGATCCCATATCAAAAAAGAAGAAGAAGAGAAAGAAGAAGAGGGAGAGGAAGAGGAAGAGGAAGAAGAAGAGGGAGAGGAAGAGGAAGAAGAAGAAGAAGGAGAAGCTGGAACAAGGCTGCCTGCCTTAGTCCTTCTATGTGAGTTTGGGCAAGCTGTTGTCCTCTATGTGCCTCAGTTTCCCATTTGTAAAAGGGATAATAGCTTTCTACCTCATGAGATTAAGTGATTTGAATGATGTAATACATGTAAAATGGGTCTGGAAACATAGACAGCTCTAAATAATTCTTTGTTGTTGTTTTTATTATCGTTTTATTTTGATGATTCTTCCAAGAACCTTATGTGGTAGATATTATTAGTCTTAGTCCCATTTTCTAGATGCTAAAACTAATAAGGTAGAAATTGATGATTCACCGAAGTAACAGTAGGTGTTTATAACACATACTATTCTGGCTGGCAATGTGGTATAACAAATTCACAAAACTTTATACCATTACACAACCACAATTTTATTATGCTCATATATTCTGTGGTGGAAGGACTAGAGCACTATACAAAAAGGTTGTTTCCCTCCATGGTATCTGGTGTCTTAGATGGAAAATCCCAAATGGTTGCTACTGAAATCCTCTGGAGTCTTCTTAATTTATATGTTTTGGATCTAGGCTGGTATGAAACAAAAACTGGGTCACCTGGGATGGTTGATTGGCGTTTCTACATATGGCCTCTCCATATGGCTTGGGCTTCCTCACAGCATGGAGACCTCAGAGTAGTCCAACTTCTTAGAGCAGCTCAGAGCTCCAAAATTTAATGTTCTAGTGACAAAGTTAGAAGCCGCATGATCTTTATAACCTAACCTTGGACATCACGTACCATCATTTCATACTCTAGTGGTCAAAGCAATCACTAGCCCAACTGTGTTCAAGGCAAGAAGACATAGACTCATTTTCCATGGGAGAAATGTCATGGACTTTGCAGCTATGCTTTATAGCCAACACACAAACTGTTAGACCTGATGCTACCTTTGTGTCTAGATGTTGACAGCTGTTACTTACTCCATCAAGAGTACAGTGTGGCTCTTGAAAAGCTCAAAGCTCAGAGTATGAACTACTTGAGGCACTTTCTCAGTACTTGTGAGCCCAGCCCTTGGCAGCATTGCCATCTTGGAAGCTATTTGCATTCACACTTATGCAATTTCTCTCCCATGAATATTCAGGTTCCCACTCACTTGCCTGGGCCTGTGTGTGCCTGTGTGTGTGCATGTGAACGTGTATGCCTGCATAGTATCAGCCTCTTCTGTCTTCATCATTCCACCCTCCTACTTCATTTTCCTTCCCCGCTTTTCCCTTCTACTTCTTTCTTTCCAGTGGATTCAATTAGTTCTCTTTGCTGCCTTAGGAATAAAACAGTTCCCTCCGCAGCATTTGAATGAGTCTCTATCATTATTTCATTTAGATTGTTGTTATGTTTGAAAACTTCAGGGCAGGGCAGGCAGGAGGAAAGGAATGTTAATTTGCAGGGAGTCCCCATTGTGTGGTGGAAGTGCTGTGGAACAGGAGCCAAGAAGCTGCCACTTGATGTGCTCATAGATACGTAAAGAATTGATGAGGAATGCTTAAAACTGCACAACTCCTGTGTCTGCTCCTGCTGAGACCCATGACCTTGCAGGAGAGAGCAGTTGCGCAGGTTCTGACCATGGCCCGGTTTGCAATGGCTGATTGACACAACTCCTTTTGCCTTTTGAATAGAAATATTTCCTCTGAAAGTGCGTGTGTGCGGATGTGGATGGATGTGTGTATTTATGTGTGCTCATGTGTGTGTGTATGCATGTGGCGTCATTCAGTTTCCCTCCATACACTCCTATTATGGAGATGCTCTTTCACTATGGCCATCACTGGGAAAATGCAGTAGGTGGCAGAGACTGCACTTAGTATCCTTGTAATTTGACTCACAGAATGTCAGAGGATGTTACACAAAGCAAGGAATTAAGCTCCGTGAGTGCTGGAGTGACATTGATTATGTAGGAATGACATATAAATAATTACAAAGCACTCAGGGTTTTTGTTAGTAATCTGTGTTTGGAGTCCCCTTTCAGGAGTTTGAAATGTCATCATGTAGCTGAATAGTGCTAACAGACCTGCATTTCACTCCTGCTTCACACTGTGCTAAACAGGAATCATATTTGTTACTATGCTGAAGAACATCTTAGTGGAAAAAATAAAAAGGGCTGGTGTGGAGTAAGCAGGATTAGATTTAAATCTAATCGCCTTTCCTGTTTTCCACTGCTATTTGGCTTACACACAGTGGTAGTATTTGTGGGAAACAAGGGTTAGTTTGCTTGCTGGAAGGTACAAGGAGGAAAGGCTGGTACTGGAGCAATCGGGAGCAATCCCAGACCACAGTGGATGAAAGGAGGTCCCTACGTTGTTGTACATTAGATTGTTTTTTAGAAAATGGCCTTCCTGCTGTGTTTCTGTGACTAGTAAGTTTTAAATCTACTCAACTGCTTCCATTTCCCTTTTTTTTTTTCTCATCCTGAGATTAAACCTGGGACTGTCTGAAAGCTTTCAAACTGGAGAATGGATCAGACCAGCTTTGGAATACAAGTGGAGATTGGACTAGGAAGGTACCTCTCCATTCATTATTCAGTGAATAAATATGTCACACAAAGAGAAGTTTCATGACAGACTCTGGGGTCACAGTCACTAATTACGCCAACTAATTATCAAGTCAAGGTGTTGGGCTCTTTAGCTTTAGATAAGTTTCACAACAGCAAGTGGCCAACTGAATGGGCCAATTGAAAACTAGTATTAATAACATGAAGACATAAAATGGAAATGCTTTGGGAGGGGGTGTGGATATGTGTACTTGGACAAGAAAGGCCATTTTGCTCATGAAAAATGAGTCCTTAGAGTTGTGTAAGAATGAGGGAAAATTTTAGTAATTAATCACATTTGTCATAATGAGGAGAGGAAATCAACATGATAAAAGGATTTGACGGAACGGATTATAGGCAAATTTAAAAGAGGGAGGAAAAAAAAGGCAACAAAGGGCATTGCTGCATTGCTGGCTTGGGAATTGTGCTGTTTAAAAATCCTCAATCATTCTTACAGTCAATTCTACATTTTCTCAATAGCCACATGAAACACAGCTCTCTCTTCATTGTCTTAGATTAACCACTAATGGCAAACCATACATTAAACAAAGTATTGAGTATTTGTCTTCCAAAAATACACTTAAATGTTGTTTATTTCCCCGATAGGTCTGCTATGATGCATTTAGGTGCCATATTGCTAACTACATACTGTACTTTAATATCTGCACCAGCTAGTCTTCAACTGCCTTACTTAGGAAGCAGCTGTGCTGGGGCCCTGCAATTACAGATAGAGTTTTTCTCATAAACTGTTTAATTGTTTGCTTCTGGAAACAATTAGACTGACGGTATTATAGAGGGAGTGTCGTATTGCAGGCAGCAATCCTCTTTATGAGTTTTCTTAGCAAAATGCCATGTTGGCATATGTTGGACCCACAAAGAAGATTCAGTTAGATGGTGACCTGACCTCCAAGAAAATTGTGCTCAACAGTATGATGGCTCAGTAGAGGCCTCCCTGGAAAATGGCTCTGCCAAGGGGAAGTCAGTCTATAAATAAGAGCTGTCCTGGCATGGGTTGCTTCTGATGAGAATGGCACTAGGTATGGATGACACCCTTTCCCCTCTGCTACAGTGGTGGTAAACCTTGTAGTTTTCTTCAAGGCTGATTCAATAGCAGAACATTATCATAATTCATCATTCATGACGTTTGTCCAACTTGAGACATTTTCACGGGGCTGATGGTTTGCAAAGCCCTGGGAAGTAAATTGCTCTGGGAAGGAGTCAGATGTGTTGATATCTTTCTTTCATAGTCCAGGTCTCATAACATTAGTGATTGATGGCCAGAATGGCCTCACAGCTCCCTGGTGCTGGTGAGTTTCAGTTGGGTGTTTAGTTTGTGCGAGATACTGTGTTATGTGTTATTCATGCATGATTATCTCATTTATTCCTGAGAAGCTCTTTACGCATTTGTGTTACTATTTTCATGTGAAAGGTGAGGAAACAGAGGCTTAGCAAAATTAAGTGCTGGTGTGTTCAAGATCACTTAGTGATATCAAGTAACGAGTCCTAGTCTCAAGCCCAGGCCTGTCTGGCTCTAATCCCCTGGCTTTTAACAATGGTAACATACAGTTTCCTGCATCTTAATAAGGAAAGGAGATTTCTTATTCCCAGTGTTGTCTTTTATGCCACAAGGCCAATAAAAGCACCAAACAAATGGGTTTCACTTATTTTTTTAATTGCTTATTTCTTCTGTTACAAATCAATAAATTTATTAAATTTTCCCGTATTTATTCAGCACCTACAATGTGTCTGACACAACGGTAGGTATAGATCTATAGCAATGCCTTCATGCAATTTGCTAGTGGAGGCAAGTGGGAGGCATAAAATAAACAGGTAAACAGAAATATACAACGTAATTTAAGACAGCCAGAATCGCTAACAAGGACAATAATGTAATAATTATTGACTTGGTTGTGGTTCTTATGATGGGAATGGTTGAACAAGACTTTTCTGAGGAAGTTTTATCTGAGTTGAAGCCTGAATCATGAGAAAGTGCCGGTCTTATAAAGAGCTGGGGAAAGGGCAAGTTCAAAGTTCTCAGTAATGAAATGAGCTTTGTATCTTCTAGCTAAGCTAGAACTTACATAAAGCCAGAGTGTCTAGACTAATCCATGGCAGCTCTATTTAAGGCCCTGGTAAGGAGCCTCCAATCACACACTCCATACAGCTACCCATCCACTTATCCATCCATCCACCCACCCACCCATCCATTCATTTAGCCATTCATCCACCCACCCACCCATTCACTTAGCCATTCATCCACCCACCCACGTGTCTGTGGATTCATTCACCTACCACCCATCCATCTATCCATCCATCCATCTACCCATCCATCCACCCATCCACCTACCCATCTGTACTAGCCCATTCTCATGCTGTTAATAAAGACATACCCAAGACTCGGTAATCTATAAAGGAAAGGGGTTTTAATTGACTCACAATTCTGCATTGCTGGGGAAGTCTCAGGAAACTTAACAATCATGGCAAAAAGCACTTCTTCATAGGGTGGCAGGAGAGAGAATAAGTGCCCAGTGAAGGGGAAAGCCCCTTTAAAACCCTCAGATCTCCTGAGGACTATCACGATCACAAGAACAGGATGGGGAAAACCACCCCCATGATTAAATTATCTCCACCTGGTCCCTCCCACAACACATGGGGATTATGGGAACTACAATTCAAGATGAGATTTGGGTGGGGACATAACCAAACCATATCACCATCCATCCATCCATTCATCCACCCATCCATCTATCCACCTACCCATCAACCTGCCCATCCACCCATCCATCCATTCATCCACCCATCTGCCTATCTATCTACCCATCCAGGTACCCATTCATCCACCCACCCAGTCATCCATCCATCTACCCATCATCCATCCATCTGTCCATCCATCTGCCCACCCATCCACCCACCTATCCATCCACTCAGCCTACTATCCATCCATTCATTTATTCATTAATCTGTCCATCCATTCATCCTTCCACCCCTCCACCCCTCCACCCACACATCCATTCATTCAACAAGCAGTCACCTAGTCCTACTCCACAAGTCCCCTTGCTAACATGGAAATCACAGAGATCAATAGGGCATACTTCTTGCCTTTAAGAAACTCCATACTATTAAAAGAGTCAGAAATTAATACAAATAATATGAAAGTGTGTTCATAATGTAATCCTCAGGAGACTAAAGGAGCCTGAGAGAGGCAACAATAAACTGTGGAGGTGACATTCCGGGCATGCTTTGGAGAAGGAGTATTTCCAGATAGAAAAAGAGGAAGAGGAAATAGCATGCCCAAAGACCCAGATTTTGGAAAAACCATGGCATGCATGGAGAGGTTTGAGGGTGAATGGCTGACACAGGGTAGTGCTGGGAGATGAGGATGGAGAACTTCGTAGATCATGTGGTTCTAGGTCAGAGGTCATAAAATGGAAGTAAGAGGCTGTAGCCTTTTGGCTTGCAGGTGTGCTTTCTTTACCTTGGCCCGAGGTTTTAAAAGAATACATCAATTTCTTAATGTTTAATTAGGACATCTTTTACATTACTTAGATTTCTAGCTTCTCTTGGAAAAATCAGAAAATTTGGCCACACTGCACCCATATTTCTGTAAGGTTACAATGGGCTGGCCATCAAAGCAAAACTGCCCTCTTCAACTGGGGCATATGTTCCCTAATTTTCCAGGATCCCTGCCCTTTCCAACTGTATTCCCAAAATTGATGCCGAGTATCAGTTTTTTTTCATCATCACACTGGCACTATTGTCTTATAGTAAAGAGGAAAGTGAAATATTTCCTTGACTTATGTCTTCATCAGACACAAAAGGAGGCAAACAAAAGCTAGTTTGAGAGATCTGTCTGATTCAAGAACAGTAAAAGAGAAACTACATTTTTTTGTGGAAGTGAAGAATATTCCTTGATCTTTAATATGCAAACAAAGTATGTCATTGTGGGAAGGATACAACTCTAGGTGGTGTTATAGAAACACACACACACACATACACACACACACACACACACACACACGCACACACACACACACACACACACCCTGCCTTATTCCTTTCTGTTACATGGTTGGCCCTCAAACACATGTGAGTCTGTGACCATTACTGCAAGGATTGGAGAATCTTGAAGGATTTTAAGCAGGGGAGAGATACAAATATTGTTTGATCAGTGGTTTAGTAAAATCACTCTGGTGGCAGTGAGGAGGGCTGCAGAAGATGATGATGATTTTGCGGTGGGAGGTGAGTGCAGGGTACATCTAAAAGCTGAACTGTTAAATAGAAAGGCTGTTACAATGATCCAGTTGAGGGATGATTAAGACAAGACAGTGGCTGGAGGAGTTGAGAGCAAGGGCAAGACTGACAATTTAGACTGTGCATGAAAGTGATGAATCACATGACAACCATTTGAGTCCCTTCCCATGCTCTGATTTCACTCCAAAGAAGATCGCAGATCTTCAGATTCAATATTGACCACAAACCTTCCTGCAGAAGTAGAGGCATCTGTAGCCTCTTGAAACCTACAGTACATCCTTGCGGTGAAACTGCTTTGTTGATAAAAATGATCCCTGTGTGAAACAGATGTCACTGGTGCTGGCACAGAGAGATGAGGAAGGATAAAGAATTACAGTGGAGTTGAAAACACTGTTAAAAAAATAAAAGACCTAACAGTATAGCACAGCAAAGAAGCAAAACTGCTTTGAAGCTACATATTTTTTCTGCACCTGACAGTGAAAACCTGTGAAACTTCATACTTCATGGAAAAAACTGAAGTGAAATTTGTTACAGTAGCTCCCTTCAATTTGTGCTATACATACGTCTTATCTCTTTAATATGACCAAGAGCAACCTGAGGGAAGGTACCTAGCCATGTGTCTCCTAGCTTATTTTAATAACCCTGTGCCTATGTTTATAGTTAAATAAACTCAGTTTTCTGATGCAGAACTGGCATGTAAGGCTGAGCAGGTTGTGCACAAAATAGTGTCCTAGGAGGACACTGTTTACATAGATATCATTGTGAATAGTGTTCTCTAGATTTTTGCCATGGTTCAGCCTGTGTAACTGTACTTGGCAACCTTATTAGACTAGATCCCAGTACCACATTATTTTGATTACTGTAGCTTTGTAGTATATTTTGAAATTGGGAGTTGTGAGATCTCCAGCTTTGTTCTAATAAAACTTTTAAAAACCTTGGTTCAAGTTATTTAACTACTTTGAGCCTTATGTTCCTTATCTTTATAGCCATACCTCATTTTATCACACTTCACTTTATTGCACTTTGCAGATATTGCATTTCTTATAAGTTGAAGATTTGTGGCAACCCTGCATTGAGAAAGTCTATAGGCATCATTTTTCCAGCAATGGGTGCTCACTTTATGTCTCTGTGTCACATTTTAGTAATTCTTGCAATACTGTAAACCTTTTCAGTATTACTATATATAATATAGTAATATATTATATAATATATATAATAGAGAGAGTGTAAAAATAACGAATGTGTCCTCCCGTCATGCCCTGGTCATATGTTCTGGAATTTCCATCCCTCTTCCTTTTCATCTTGTCAGGTGTCTAATTTAGAGGGAACATCAAACTCGGCATTTTTCTTCCTGGAGGCTACCATGGGGGCCATCTAGATGCAAGTATCTCGTCGGGTGGGGCTTTTAGAGAATCAAAACTTCTAGAGGTCAAGGACTGAGCCTGTCTTGTAAACTGTAGAGTTCCCAGCTCCCTTGATGGCACCTGGCACATTGAAGAATCACAGTAAACATTTAGAATTTATGTTCCTGGGTTGGGCCTTTGAATGGAAGGTAACTTTAGTTCTGTAGAGAGATGTTATCTTCTAAGCGGCACACAATCCCTGTGTGTGCCTTCTCCCCTGCCTCTCTCCAGAGCCCCCAGAATAACTTGCAGCATTATCAGTCTGTCATAGAAAGATTCCTCCTGCACCTATGACGAGATAAGGGAGATACCTTGGTTACCCCTGTTCTCCATTTCCCCTAATTCTCTCCACCCTCAAACGGGAGAGAGAAATAAGAAGTTCTGAATAGAAGAGGTGCTTCCTGCTTCTTTCTTACCCACTTAAACAATGTCTTTGCTCTAACCCTTATATCATTCCCATTCGATACTAGTATTGATCCTGTCATTGATTGTCTTTTTAGCTATTTCTAATTGGTTACAAATGTTAATCATGGTCTCTCTGCCTAACAGATTGTTTCTGTTATCAATACCTGTGCTCAAATTGCCATAGCTTTGTAGTTTTAACCCATTGTCAGGACTGTTGAGCGTACCCCAGCTTGCTGTCTCTTATGTCATCGAACCAAGTCTGCTCCCTTTAGGGTCCTTCTTTCCATGTGGGTGTAACTGTCTGGGGCCTCAAGGATGCCTAGGCCTGGGCTTTCTCATTTATCTGAACTTCAGAAATGGATAGTTCATTGACTGATCCCCATCCTCTACAAGGATAAAAAGACCACCTTGGCTCAGAGCACCACAGCCACCTATGCTGCCTCTTTTATGCCATATGAAGGGAGATAGAAAGTGTTTGATTTGAAGCTTGGTGGCTCATGCCTGTAATCCCAGCACTTTGGGAGGCTGAAGTGGGCAGATCACCTGAGGTTGGGAGTTTGAAACCAGCCTGACCAACATGGTGAAACCCTGTCTCTACTAAAAATACAAAAATTAGCCGGGCGTGGTGGTGCACGCCTGTAATCCCAGCTACTCGGGAGGCTGAGGCATGAGAATCACTTGAACACGGGAGGCGGAGGTTGCAGTGAGCTGAGATCACACCACTGCCTTGCAGCCTGGGTAACAGAGTGAGACTCTGTCTCAAAAAAAACAAAAAACAAAAAAACAAAAAAAAACCCCAGAAAAACAAAAAACAAAAAACTCGAAATGGAAGTGTTTGATGTGGATGATCTAAATAGCTGTAGCCAGGGAAACAGAGGGGCCTTCCAGGTGCAAATGAAGAACCTAGAAAGGTGAGCATGGCTCAGAGATAGTTTGCTTAGAATAGGAATGGAGGGGCTGCAGTCATTCAGGTGACTGACAAATGATCAGAGCTCTTTTAAATAAAGCAATTTACTAAA